>NC_000002.12:85666076-85971460 GCF_000001405.40 Homo sapiens
CGTACAGGCCCACCGTGTGCACCTGAACCTGGGGGCCCATGGTCGGGTGCATGGCTGAAGGGCACGTAGTTTCCTAGGCCCTTTGTGGACAGGGTGTGTGTGTGTGTGTGTGTGGCCAGCTGGGGTGCTGTGTGTGTGCTGTGTGTGTGTGTGTGTGTGTGTGTGTGTGTGTGTCTGGCTGGCTGGGGTACTGTGTGGGTATGTGTCTGGATGGAGTGCTGTGTGTGTGTGTGTTTCCAGCTGGCTGGGGTACTGTGTGTGTGTATGTGTCTGGATAGGGTGCTGTGTGTGTGTGTGTCCGGCCAGCTGGGGTACTGTGTGTGTGTGTGTCCGGCCAGCTGGGGTGTTGTGTGTGTGTGTGTGTGTGTGTCCGGCTGGCTGGGGTGCTGTGTGTTTGTGTCTGGCCGGCTTGGGTGCTGTGTGTGTGTGTGTGTGTGTGTGTGTGTCTGGCTGGCTGGGGTGCTGTGTGTGTGGCTCCCCATGGGTGGGCACAGGGGCCTGCGTGGGGAGGCAGGCAGGAGGTGAGCTTGCAGCCCTCACAGTCTGGTTCTGGAAGTAGTCGATGACCAGGGGGAAGTAGTCGTCAAGCACTTGGTTGCACTGGGGCATGAGCAGCTTCAAGGGGAGGACGTTGCACTCCTGCTCCAGGAACTTCCTCATCGTGTCCTGGGAGGCCAGAGGGGGCCGTCAGCTGGGCCTCTCTGAGGTCTACCCCGCCCAAGTCCCTGGACACAAGGCCCCACCAGGGCAGACTGACCCCTAATCCCCCAGGGTGCTGGAGTTCACGAGTGCCAAGGAGTTAAGTAGTTGGGCACATGTAGGGGCCCTTCCCCTCAGGGAAGACCATCTCTGGCTGTGCTATTGAGCTCAGGGCCATGACCTGCTCCCAGCCAGGAGGAGCTGGGACTTCCCAGGCACCCAGGCCTCCTCCTCAGCCTGGAAATGGCCCCTTTAGGGGGCTCAGCTCTTCCCTGCTCTGTCCCTCATCTCTTGGGCCCCAACCTTCATCCAGGATCTGGGCATCATTACCTGGAAAATGGCCTCCTTGGCCATCTTGTTAAGGATGTGGACGATGTCCTCACACTCTTGGCATAGGTCATCCTGGGGAGGGAGGGGCCCCAAGGTGGAGGACACATGAGTGGGGGAGGCTCCCAGCTCCAATGGGGAGGTTCTCTTAGGAAGAGGCCAACAGAGCACTCCAAGGCACATGCAGCTGCCCACCAGCCCAACTTGTCCCATCTCATCCATATCAATTTATCCCATCCATCTCTTCTATTCATCCATCCCAATCCATCCATCTTTATTCTGTGTCATCCCATCCCATCCCATCCCATCCCATCCATCTTTATTCTATGTCATCCTATCCTATCCCTTCCCCTCCCATCCATCCCATCCCATCCCATTCATCCGACTCCATCTATTCTATGTCATCGTATCCCATCGCATCCATCCCATTCCATTTTATCCTATCTCATTTCATCTCATCCCATTTCATCTCATCCATCCCCTATGGGGGCTCCACTCTCCTCCTGCCCATCCAGAGCCCACCCAGCACCCTTCATTTCAGACCCCCAGTTGCCATGCATCCTTGGTGGTACTCACGGCTCCCACATGTCCCCAGACTTCCTGTAGGCAATGCCCTAGGGCTCTGCACTGCAATGCTTGCTCCAGGCTTTGGCACCAGAACTCAGGGCCCTGGGCACAGGCCAAGGATGAGGTGGTCCAGGCAGCTGTGGTTTGGGGCCAGAGCAACCTTAATCAGGATCCAGGCTACACACCTGGCATCATGATTTCACCCACCCTCTAGACCCAGTTTTGCTGGGAGTGTGAGGCCATTAAACATGTGGACGTCAGACAGCTCTGGGTTCCACCTGCTCCTGGACCCGCCAGCTGTGTGACCTTGGATAAGCTCTGAACCCTCTCTGAACCCCAGCTGCCTTGTCTTTAAAATGAGGACAGACTTGGGTTAATGCCTAGCACAAAGCAGTGCTCAGTGAGTGGTGGAGCTGCCTAGGAGAGGGGAGGCTGGGGGAGACTCACCAGTGCCTGGGCCACAGAGCGTGGGCAGCAGCAGCAGCAGCCACTGCAGCAGGTGTGACTCAGCCATGGCACCTCTGCAGCCTGGGTACCCTGCTTGGTGCATGGCCCCTTATAGCTGGGCGGGGCGTGGGGGCTCTGTAGGAGTGGCAGCGACCTCAGTGTTTGTCTTTGCTCTGAAGAGCCCTCCAGGTGCTTGATCCCACCTTTTCCCAGCAGGAACACTCCTGCCTGCCTTACCACCTGTCCTGGCTGATGGCCTGTTCCTGCCTCCTTTGCCCCCTGCCCAGACTCCCATGTTCCTGGACTTGTGGCTTCCTCCAACCAGGGGCTCTCAAGCCTCCATACCTGGTCCCACCTCTCCAGGCCGTGGGAGGGAGGTTGAGGAGGGTGGAGGGCATCTGGTTGGGGGCAGCCTGGGTGTTCCCCTCCCATCCCCTCCCTGGGCCTCCCAGGCCCCCTCTACTCTTGAGCAATGCTCTTGAGAGCTTCCTGCCTGGCTCTTAACCCAGGGCAAGCCCTGGAAGGGCAGACCCAGGACACTCTCACCACCTCCTTACCTTTTCCCCTGGAAAAATCTTCTGGTTCTATGGACACATGGTTTGCATTAGTCAGAAGAGCATTTACACAAAACAGAAAACAAAATACCCTGAGTCAGAGACAAGATTTCTGTGGCCCTGGAGTGGCTCCCAGACAGCCCTATACAGGAGGTGCTGCCCATGGCCCCTGGGGACCCCTCCAGGGTAGGGGCTGGGGCATAGCTGCGATGGTTCAGCAGAAAGAAACTGTCCTCTGCAGCTGCAGGGGCTCTCAGGCAGGGCCCCCACTGGCAGAGCACACTGGAGAAAAAGCTCACAGGCTGAGGGAGACAGAGGATATCTTGAGTGGAAGAAAGAGAGCATTAGCACATTGCCACCACCCCAGCCATTGTGATCAATTTATCTGATCTCTGCAGGAGCCCTCTCCCTAGTGGAGGCTCACAGGCCTCTATACTCGGGAAGCACTACAGTGCTTTTGTGGGTGGACGGGCAGGAATTAGTACCATGATGAAAAGAGATGGGGCTGGGTGTGGTGGCTCACTCCTGTAATCCTGGCACTTTGGGAGGCCGAGGAGGGAGGATCCTTTGAGCCCTGGAGTTTGAGACCAGCCTGGCCAATATAGTAAGACTCCATAACTACAAAAAAATTAAAAAATTAACCTTGTGTGGTGGTGCATGTCTCTGGTCCCAGCTACTCAGAAAGCTGGGGCAGGAGGATCGCTTGAGCCCACCAGGTCGCGGCTGCAGTGAGCCATGATTGCACCGCTGCACTCTGGAATGGGAGTGTGAGGCCATTAAACATGTGGCCATTAAACATGTGACTGAGCTGAGGGTGTCCTGGCTCCTGGTCCCTGGGATGGGCAGTCTCCTGACACCATGTTGGCCAGGTAACACTCTGTCTCAAAAAAAAAAAAAAAAAAAGAATTAGATACAAGGTGGCTAATGCCACACTCAAGGTTACCCAAGGATTTATGTAGTTTCTGTTGGCCTCAAGTCCTTGTCAGTACAACAAACACAGCTGCCATCATGGGAGTCCACCAAGACTGTGTAAAAATGAGTAACCAAAGACTGGGAACTGAGTGACCTTGGTAGAACCTCAGGAAGGTGGAACTGAAACGTGCTTGTTATTCAGTATGTATTAAACAAATCAGCGAGTGGTATCTCGTTTGAATACAATCAGGACAGGCTGCGCAAGAGAGTGGGGATTTGTGGCTGGCTGCCTCCAGGGGCGTATTGGTCAGGGTGGTCCCACTACCATAACAGAGAGCCCTCCAGTCTATGGGCTTCATGCAAGTTTCTTTTTCTTTTTTTTTTTGTTTTTTGACATGGGGTCTCACTCTGGCGCTCAGGCTGGAGTGCAGTGGCGTGATCTTGGCTCACTGCAACCTCTGTCTCCCAGGCTCAAGTGATCCTCCCACCTAAGTCTCCAGAGTAGCTCGGACCACAGGCATACGCCACCACGTCTGGCTAATTTTTTTCTATGATATTTTTGGTAGAGACAGGGTTTTGCCATATTGCCCAGGCTCGTTTCGAACTCCTGAGCTCAGGTGATCCACCCACCTCAGCCTCCCAAAGTGCTGGGATTACAGGCATAAGCCACTGTGCCTAGCCACATGTTTCCTTCTTTTTTTTTTTGAGATGGAGTCTCACTCTGTTGCCCAGGCTGGAGTGCAGTGGTACGATCTTGGCTCACTGCAACCTCTGCCTCCCGGGTTCAAGCGATTCTCCTGCCTCAGCCTCCTGAATAGCTGGGGAGTACAGGCACCCGTGATCACGCCCAGCTAATTTTTGTATTTTTTTAGTAGAGATGGGGTTTCACCATGTTGACCAGGTTGGTTTCGAACTCCTGATCTCAGGTGATCCGCCTGCCTTGGCCTCCCAAAGTGCTGGGATTATAGGTGTGAGCCACCGCGCCTGGCCCACATGTTTCCTTCTTACTCGGTTACAGTGCAGCACAGGTTGGCTCCGGGTGGTGAGACTCAGGTCCGTACCGTCATTCAGGTGCTCGGAGTCCCCCTTCTGCTTGCTTGGAGGGCTCAGAGTCCTCCCCTGGGTCCCCTGCATCTGGCCAACAGGGAGAAGAGAGAAAGAGTGGAAGATGGTGGAGGAGGTTTTAGGGACGAGGCCTGGGAGTGGTGTCCGTCATTTCTTCCCTCTCAGTTCAGTCTCACACCCTCACTAACCCCAGGGAAAGCTGGGAAGTGCAATGCGCCTGCATGCCCAGGAGGGAAGGGAGATGGAGTTGGTGGACACATAGCATTGTCTAAAAGCCATAATGCTGAATGCAAAACCAGGTGCTTATGTGGGGTTTTCTAGGTAGTGGGTCCGTGGCTTTTATCAGAACCTCAAAGAGGGATTGGTATCTGACTGTCGAGAGCTGCCATCCAAGAGCACCAATAAAGGAGACACAAAAAGCCAGCTGTTGACTGAGCTGAGGGTGTCCTGGCTCCTGGTCCCTGGGATGGGCAGTCTCCTGGCACCCCTTGCTTTGATGCCATCCTCACCACAGTCTCTGATGAAAATCGGGCTTCCTGTGAAGCGTGGCTGCAGGGGGAACCTGCATGGATCTGCCTCTACTGACGGTTCTTCTCCTGGCCTACCTGCTTCTCACTGGAAATGAATAAAGAAACATTCTGGGAAAAAAAAAAAAAAAAAAAGAACATTCTGATAGCTACTCTGGGGATGGAGAACTTGATTAACTCAAGTTTATTCACAGGAGATGCCTCTTCTCTTGGTGTGTGGACAAACTCATGTTTCTGAGAGCCAGTTCCTTGTCATCAAAATATAGAAGACACATGTCCCGCCTAGCATTGTGTCCATGGGTCTACACCACACAGGTCTGCCCCTGCCTGCCCCAGTAATACTGTCTAGAAAGCCACGCACCACATCCCTGGAAAGGGAAGCCTCATGGACCACCTCCCTTCATCCCCCTGGCCAGAGCCGACTGGACCAGAGGTAGACACACCAGACCCCAAAAGAGTCCATCTGCATGCTTGGCTGAACCAATTGGATTTTTAAATTGGGAGATGAGAGCCAAGTCAGCTGATTGTGGGGTGAAGGATCAAAGTCAAGTTAATGGTGCATTGCCAAGGGGGTCCTTGGCCACTTAATGCAAAATGGAGCAAATCAAAACCATACCTCACACCCTCTAGGACGGCTATTATGAAAAACCAGAAAATAATACATGTTGAGAGGATGTGGAGAAATTGGAACCCTAGGTGCTTTGCTGCCGAGAATGTGAAATGGTGCAGTCACTGTGGAAACCTGTGTGGAAAATAGTTTTTACAAAACAGTTTCTGAAAAGTTTGAATATTGAATTACTTTCAGACCCAGCAATTCCACTCCTACGTACGTATTCAAGAGAATGGAAAACAGGTACCGGAACAGATATTTGTATGTCAGTTTTCATTGCAGCATTATTCATAATAGCCAAAAGGTAGAAACAAGTGTTCATCCACGGATGAATGGGTAAACAAAATGTGTTGTACACACTCAAAGGAATATTATTGAGCCTTTTTAGGAAGGAAATTCAGCCAGGCGCAGTGGCTCATGCCTGTAATCCCAGGACTTTGGGAGGCCAAGGTGGGCAGATCACGAGGTCAGGAGTTCGAGACCAGCCTTACCAACACGGTGAAACCCCGTCTCTACTAAAAATACAAAAATTAGCCGGGCCTGGTGGTGCATGCCTGTAATCCCAGCTACTCGGGAGGCTGAGGCTGGAGAATCGCTTGAACCCGGGAGGCGGAGGTTACAGAGAACTGAGATTGCGCCACTGCACTCTAGCCTGGGCAACAGAGCAATACTCCGTCTGGGGTGGGTGGGGGTAGGAAAAAAAAGGAAAGAAATTTGGACACATGCTACAACATGGATGAATCTTGAAAACATGACGCTCAGTGAAATAATCCAGTCACAAAAGGACAGATATTGTGTGATTCCATTTATAGGAAGTATGCAGAGTAGTCAAACTCGTAGGGACAGAAAGTAGGTCAGAGGTTACCAGGGGCTGGGGAAGAGGGAACGCGGAGGTACTGGTTAATGGAAACAAAGTTTCATCCTGTGATGAAAAGTTCTGGAGATGAACGACGGTTTTGGTTGCATAATGTGGGTGGGCTTGACGTCCCCGAGCTGTACACTTAAAAATGGTTAAGGCAGTATTATGTTATCTATATTTGTATATTTCATCACAATTGAAAAAGAAAGGGGAAGAGAGAGAAACAAACCAGGCTGCAGGTGGAGAAGAGTCTTGTTTTTCTTCTTGACTGTGGAAAGTGTGAGACTCCCAAGTGTGGGACTTGAGACACCTGGGGCTGGGAAAAAAGAGATCAGCCAAATGGGACAGTTGATATTAAAATCTCTTTTATGTCCTTGCAGAGATGCACGGAAGAGCAGAATTCATTTTAGTTCCTTTTGTTGTATTTTGGGCTGCATTCTTCTGACTCTGCTTGGGGCCTGAGCCTAAGGACCCATGACTTTCCTCCCCTCTCCTATCCCCACTCTTCGTAGTTGAATTTATTTGAGTGTAGTTTCTGTTTCTGGGGTAGAACCAACCCATGAGAAATACAAGGCCAGTGCACCTCAGGAGGCCTCATGGTAGCAGCCTTTCCTAGCATAGCTCTATCTTATGTCTTTCTTTCAAAAGAAGGAATTTCTCCGTGGGAAGGGGTAGGGAGGTAGGGCCCTTGGCAATGAAACTTACAGTTTATAAAGACCTTTCACAATTCATTTGTTTGACCAAAAAATGGTTAATGAGCTAGGAGTTGGGATGACAATGGTCACCACCCTGGTGGACTTAATATCTATGGATGAGGGCACAGACCAGTAATCAGAGTGGAATACTACCCAGGCCTGGAGAGGAAGAGGAGACGCTGGGGGAGATGGGGCAGCTACGGGGAGACTTGGGGAGGCATAGAAATTGGCCTGGTCAAATGGTGGGGCGGGATTGATTGAGGAGGATTTCCAGGCAGATAAATAGTTCATGCAAAGGCCTAGGAAAAGAGAGAGCATGGGGCTGGTACAGGGAGAGTTCACCACTCTGCACCACAAATAGAGGTTCAGAGTGTTGGGGAGCTTGGTAGAGAGTGACAGCCAAACCCACATCTCCTGCTCCCTGGTCTGTGTCTGAGCAGCCCGAATAGCTTTGGCCCTGAACATCTCTGGGGACTGGGATCATCTCTTTTCCTTCTTCTGTCTCCCCAAGCTCAGCTGGATTCTATTAAGAATAGCCGGTAGGAGGAACTGGCAATGTTGACATTGACCTTCCTCGAATTCCCTTTTCTTTACGCTGCTGTTGTGGGCTGAATTGTGCCCTTAAAATATGTTGATGTCCTAACCCCTGGTGTCTGTGACTGTGACCTTATTTGAAATAGAGCCTTTGCAGATGTAATCAATTTAAGATGTGGTCATTAGGGTGGGCCCTAATCCAATGACCGGTGTCCTTATAAGAAAGGGAGATTGGGGCACAGAGGGAGTGCCATGTGACCATGGAGGCAGAGATTGGAGTGATGGCAGCTGCAAGCTCAGGAACACTAGGGATTGCAGCAACCGCCAGAAGCCAAGAAGAGGCAGGGAAGGGTTCTTCCCTACAGCCTTCGGAGGGTGCACGGCCCGGATTTCAGACTTCTGGACTCCATAGTCGTTAGAGAACACATTTCTGTTGCTTGAAGCCACCCAGCTTGTGGTGCTTTGTTCCAGCAGCCCTAGGAAATGCATGCAGCTGCCCACCGTATTTGCAGCCCATCCATGTTTCCCCTTCCCCACACCAAGATGTGAGGCTCTGTTTACCAAATCCAAATTGAACATTGGACATGTTGGGTTTTGGGCAGGCACAGTTCGAGTCACTCTTGCTGTGCGTGAGTTCTATGACCAAAAAGTGTGATTGCAGTAGAGGCCTTGGGGAAGATCTGAGTGTTGAATCTCAGTGAAGAAATATTCCTTGAGTAAGTGTCCAAAATGGGTGACATTTGGCTCTTGCATCAGGGCTGTCCTCTTTCATCATCTGTCAGATGTCCATTCCCCCAGGGCCTTGATGAAAGCTCATCTGCTCATCCTCCCTGCCAGGAATGTCCTTTCCCTCTGTCCCTAACTGGACACTCCCTGCAGGAAGGAAATGTGCTTGTCTGCTCATGGCTGATTCAGGCCCCAGCATGGTGCTGGGAACACAGTGGCTGCCTAATCAACCAACTGCCATTCCCTCTTTCTTCCTTGTTAATGGAACCCAAGTTTTGTTCTGGTTCAGAGAGCTGATTCTGTGGCCTCACCCTGGGGACGCACCATGATCTGGCCATACCATCTCCCTTTGCCGGTAATTACTTAGGGTAAGCATGTATTTGGGTTCTGGTCAACCAGACTGACGCAAGTTGGCTGGCGGCAGCATGGTGGGGGATCCTTCCGGGGAATGTTTTCATCCTGGTTAAAGCAGACAGATGAGGAGAAGTGCCTCTTTCTTCTTTTGGACATTCTCATGCAAGGCTGGGATGTCGAAACCATGGCAGCCATCTTGCTCCAAGAATGGGGAGACAGAAGAAGTACTGAGAAGGAGCTCAGAGCATTGACATGGCCAAGATGCTGATTTAACCAATCCCAAGCCCTTATTGTTCTGTTTGTATAATTTCTACTTGGATATTCTGTTATGTGCAGCCCAAATAATCTCAATCAAAGGCAGAAGGAAGGAAAGACAGAAAGAAACAGGGAGAAAGAACAGAGGGAGGGAAGGAAGAAAGGAAGTTAGTTAGTACTTTACATCCTTTTTGTGCAGGTTAAATTTCACATCCTCCAAGGAGGTCTCCCAGTTTCCTCAGACCTGGAACCCAATCCCCTCCCTCTTGCCATTGTACTATCTGTCCTTTGGGAGAGCTCTTAGCACCTGCCAGGCTTTGACTTGGGTGTTCATTTGGCCTGGAGGCTACAGCTTGAGCCTCTCCCATGCCGCCTCCTGGGTGCACACACATTTGGTTCTGGCCGGTGTCGTCCTGCTGTAGTAGCCTGCTGGGAAGGAGCATGGGGGCCTGGGAGCCTCTCAGGAGAACCTGCTCCCTAAGGGACGAGAGAGTCAGACTGACCAGTTCGACTCTCTGACAAAGCCCCAGTTATGAGAAGAGACGAAGGGAGCTGAGCTTTTTTTTTTTTTTTTCTGAGACAATGTTTTGTTCTTGTTGCCCAGGCTGGAGTGCAATGGCGTGATCTCAGCACACTGCAACCTCCACCTCCTGGGTTCAAGCAATTCTCTTGCCTCAGCCTCCCGAGTAGCTGGGATTACAGGCATGCATCACCATGCCCGGCTAATTTTTTTATTTTTTAGTAGAGACTAGGTTTCACCATGTTGGCCAGGCTGGTCTTGAACTCCTGACCTCAGGTGATCTGCCTACCTCAGTCTCCCAAAGTGCTGGGATTAGAGGCGTGAGCCACTGTGCCCGGCCCAGGAGCTGAGCTTTTTATGGCATTTGTCATCTACCAGCGCAGCCCTGCCCCTTCAAGTAGAGCCTGGGTTCCAGGAAAGGAGAAAGCAAAGAAATCTGTTCCACTAACAACTTCAAGGGGACCCTTTTGAAGTTCAAGTTGTTTGACTCTGGCATTGACTCCATTTTTAAGTCCACATTGGTATGACCTAAAGAAGTAATGGTTCCATTCATTTATTCACTTCTATTATTTTTATTCAATTATAAAAATATATACTTGGCAATGTGCCAGGCACTAATCTAGGCACTGGAGATACAGCAGTAAACCAGCCAGATAGTGGGCTTGGCTTCCAGGAGCTTCCCTCCTAAGTGGGTGCTGTTCATGAAGGCAGGTTTGTTCCTCATTGACCCCTGGAGCAGAAATTGCATCTAATGATATCTTCGGCTCTTATCACACCCTTGATGGGGCTTTGTCCATAGTGGGGGCTCAAAAATATTTTCTAATTTCAAGTAGTCCTGATATCTTAACCCCATTCAGGACAAGCTTAATGTGAGAATTCGCTCAACACGGCACTTGCATATTTTATTCAAAAGCCAGAAACATCTGAGGGCAAAGGAAGAACTAAAAATAACTTGCAGGCTTTCTTAAAGCTGGTAAGAGAAGATTTGACCTTGGGGAATGTATTTATTGTTTTTGTGTTAATTAGTTAAATTCTGATTGCAAAAGAAAGTGTTGTCCGACATTTTTATGTTACAAAGCAGAGAGAACTCGATGCAAACTGACCTATAGGAAAGGGAATTTTCGCTTGAGCCCAGGAGTTCGAGGTCAGCCTGGGCAACATAGTGAGACTCTGTCTCAAAGAGAAAAGCAGGGGCAGGATTTTTGGTTCATGTAATTGAAAAATCTGGAAGTTGATCAAGTAGTTGCTGGCAAAGTTTATCCACGGGTGCAAATCATGTCACCAAGATATGGTTTCTCCCTGTGCTCAGCCTCTGCTGTCTGGAGCCTCCAAGTCTTCCTCCATAGCAGTGAAAAGGCTACAGCTGTTCCAGATGTCACAGCTTTATCCACGTTGTCCAAGCAGGTATTGGGACTCCTCTGGTAGCTCTAGTGCTAGTCTTGCTCTGTTGCCCAGGCTGGAGTGCAGTGGCACGATCTCTGCTCACTGCAGCCTCAACCTCCCGGGGTTCAAGTGATCCTCCCACCTCAGCCTCCCGAGTAGCTGGGATTACAGGCACCTGCCAGCATTTCCAGCTAATTTTTGTATTTTTAGTAGAGACGGGGTTTCACAATGTTGGCCAGGCTGGTCTCAAACTCCTGGCCTCAGGTGATCCTCCCGCCTAGGCCTCCCAAAGTGCTGCGATTACAGGCGTGAGCCACCGCGCCCGGCCTAGCATATTTAAATTTTAATGCACACTGACAATAGGTCTCCCAAGATGTCATGCTGACATCTCCTCTGAGCAGTATAGAAGACAGTGCCTTTCTCCTGACTGGAATTGTGAATCTTTTTCTTTTTTCATTTGTGGTAAAATACACATAACCTAAAATTTGCATCCTAGGCCAGGAGTGGTGGCTCACGCCTGTAATCCCAGCACTTTGGGAGGCCGAGACGGGTGGATCACCTGAGGTCAGGAGTTCTAGACCAGCCTGGCCAACATGGTGAAACCCCGTCTCTACTAAAAATACCAAAATTAGCTGGGCATGCTAGCGGGTGCCTGTAATCCCAACTACTTGGGAGGCTGAGGCATGAGAATTGCTTGAACCTGGGAGGTGGAGGTTGTGGTGAGCCGAGATTGCGCCACTGCACTCCAGCCTGGCCGACAGACAGTGAAACTCCATCTAAAAAAAAAAAAAAAAAAAAAAATTTACATTCTAACCGTTTCCAAGTGTACATTCAGTGGCTTTATGTACATTCACATTGATGCGCAACCATCACCACCATCCATCTCCAGAATGCTTTTCACCTTCCCAAGCAGAAACTCTGTGCCCATGAAACACTAACTCTCCTTTCCTCCCATCCCCTGACAATCATTCTACTTCCCATCTCTAACTCTCTTTTCCCCCATCCCCTGACAATCATTCTACTTCTCCTCTCTAACTCTCCTTTCCCCCATCCCCTGATAATCATTCTACTTCCTGTCTCTATGATTTTCACTGTTCTGTGTCCCTCCTAGAAGTGGACTCATATAGTATTTGTCTTTGGTGACTGGTTTATTTCACTTAGCAGAGTGTCTTTTGGGTTCATCCATGTTATCATGCATCTCTTATAATTTCCTTCCTTTTAAAGGCTGTGTGCATACACCGCATTTTGTTTATGGAATTATGACCCTTTTAAATGTCCCTAAAATTGCACCTGTTGGCTGTAGCTGCGCCTATAGGTTGTAGCTGGAGGACATTCCTGCCCATTGTTGGTTTCTGTTCCTTTCTGCCTTTCTGACCCAGCCTCCAACTGCTCCGGTCTAAGGAGATAAGAAGCCACACAGGCCTCTGGCAGGGGCTGGGTCTCCTTTCTGCAGGAAGTGCTTCAGGCCCCTCTTCTTGGTCTCTCCCTGAAGTAAGAGGCCTCAAGTGGAGTCCTGAGGGGCATGATGAGGGCTGTGCCCTGAACAGGTGCAAAGTATGGAGGGAAAATGTGGAGCCTGAGGAAGGCATCTTGAGGCTGGAGCAGGGAAGGCCGAGTGGGCACCTCCTTAGTTGAGCTGCCTTAGGACAAGGGAGCAGTGATGGTGGCTTCAACAGGAAAAGAGAAGCTGATTCTGACTGGAAGGGCACCAGCTGCCATTCCTGCAGGAACGAACAAGTGTTTTCCCAGGAAGATGGGGTCAGGTCGCTGAATCTGATGGGTCCTGGCTCTGTGCCCAAGTGCTGTTCCAGGCACAGGGTGGGGGTGACAGAAGGGGCAGCGCAGCCCTGCTCTCACCAAGCCACCTGTATGAGAAAACACAACAAAGACATTCCTTCAGCCACTAGGAGCCTCTGTCTCCAGGAAATTACCATGAAACCCCTAAGTGTAGTGGCTCAGGGCCACAAAGCTACGTCCCATGCCCAGGCTCAGGCCCATTATGTGTGGCCAGGGACTCTGCTCATCACAGTCACCCCGGGGCACAGGCTGACTTGCAGTGGTCGTCTTGAACACTGCCCATCATCATGCCAGGAGAAAAGAGAATTCTGGGGTCTCTCCCTGGCTGTTAAATGTTCCAGTTGGGAAGGAACAGGCTTAACTTCTGCTCAGGAAGCAACCTGGCAGGACGCCACCCAGCCTTCCCAACCCTCACTCGCAAACACAGGGCGGCCAGGGAGTGCAATTCCAAAGCAGGACCGGAAGGTGGCGCCCGGGAGCCAGGTGGAGATGCACCGCCCTGGGCAGCGCGATCCCCACACCTTGCCCTTCGCGGACTTCGCTGCAGCCCAACTTTCTTGGGGCAGCTGTTTCTGCTGAACTAAAGGAACACCAGGGGGTCCAGTCTCTCGACACCCCAGGGCCCACGCACCTGCTGAGGAAGGCGCTCCTTCATTACAGGCGGCAGCACCGAGTACCTGGGCTTTACAACATTTTAACCTCCCCTCCCCTCCCCTTCCCTCATTTTTCTTTTCTTTTCTTTTTTTTTTTTTTGACGGAATCTCGCTCTATAGGCCAGGCTGGAGTGCAATGGCACGATCTCGGCTCACTGCAACCTCTGCCTCCTGGGTTCAAGCGATTCTCCTGCCTCAGCCTCCCGAGTAGCTGGGATTACAGGCATGTGCCACCACACCCGGCTAAGTTTTGTATTTTTAGTAGAGACAGGGTTTCACCATGTTGGCCAGGCTGGTCTCGAACTCCTGACCTCAGGTGATCCGCCTGCCTCGGCCTCCCAAAGTGCTAGGATTACAGGCGTGAGCCACCATGCACGGACAAGCTGTTCTTTCTTACTGTTTACACTTATTTGTGTATATATATATATTTTTGAGATGGAGTCTCGCTTTGTCACCCAGGCTGGAGTACAGTAGCACAATCTCAGCTCACTGCAACCTCTGCCTCCCAAGTTCAAGCGATTCTCCTGCCTCAGCCTCCCAGGTAGCTGGGATTATAGGTGCCCACCACCACACCTGACTAATTTTTGCATTTTTAGTAGAAGTGGGGTTTCACCATGTTGGCCAGGCTGGTCTCGAACTCTTGACCTCAAGTGATCATCTGGCCTCGGCTTCCCAAAGTGCTGGGATTACAGGTGTAACTCACCACGCTGGGTCCACTTATTTGTAATTTGATCATTGTCTTCTCTCCCACTAGAAAGTAAGTTCCATGAGGGCAGGCCCCATGTTCATGTTTACTCATCTTCCTGTTCTCAGTGCCTGGCGGAGTACCTGGCACAGAGTAGCATTCACTTGGTGTTTGCTGAATCAATGAACATGACCGAGGGCTGCAGTCTGAGGTCTGGAGGCTTTGCAGACTGGTTGGGGGCACCATCCTAAAGGCTATCAGAGCAACTGCTGAGAGAGACTCCAACCAGGCTGGAGCTCCACTTGTAGCAGAGTCCCAGTGTTCTGGCTGGGCAGGGAGTAGGGCAGTTCTGAAAATTGACAGGGAGGTCTGCCCCAGCCCAGCCCCCAGGGGCTCTTGTCCAAGTCCCAGTGACAGGATGTCTGCAAGTAAATGCTGAAGGAGATGCTTCAGCTAAAAGCTCCAGGACATGTAGGTTCAAATGGCCTAACAAACTGGGAAACCAGAGTGGAGGGGAGACATTCTCATTTCAGGATAGACCCTGGCTGCCTTGGGGCCTCCAGGGTGCTAGGGGACACAGCCCAGCTCTGCATCCCTGGCAGAGATGGCCACATCCAGCAGGCCCTGGTGGCACTGCAGAGAGAACAGCACCCTGGGGACCAATTATCCTGGGAAACAGGCTGGTGCCTATCCAGATGGTGGTGCCAGGCACTGCCACTGTACAACTGGCTGATTTGGTGAATAAGTTGCAGACATAATTGAAGGGCAATTTGTTGGGGATGTAAAGTACTGCAATGGCCCACAGGGTAAGAGACAGTAAAATAAGGGTAAATGTCACCACTCAGAATTTACACACAGGTTGGTATGCCTCAGGAAACTTAGGTTAATAATGAAAAAGAAAAAAACACAACAATACGAAACACTGGAGAAATACTGGCAGGATGTGTATCACCTTGTTGATAATGGTATTTCTTGGTATAATTACATGTGGTCATTACTCATTGTCTTTGTACTTTGAAAAAAAAATTAAGCCAAAGGAAAAAAAAAAACCTTCCTTTCCCAGTCAAATATACTAGCAAACAAGAAGCTGTTAGAAAACAATTCTCGCTGGTGTAGATTTTGTCCTGTTTTGGTTGTGAGGATGAGGGGCTGGTGTGGATCAACAGTCCTGAGGGGGAAGCAGGAATCCCAGAAGACGGAGGGTCAGGCTGGGGAATGCAGTTCTGGAAGCTGAGAGCAGAGTGCCCAGTCCTTTCACATCAGGTATGAGTCAAACGCCAGGACAGGGGTGTGGTAAAGGTCAGGCACCAGGACATCCAGGGACAGAAGCCAGCAGACAAGTGAGGCTGCAGGGGAGGCCAGGGTCATGTGGGTCATTCTGGGATGGAAGCTGATAGGTGGGAGAGTGGAGAAAGCAGGCAGGTAGGGCTCGCAGCCAGGTGAGGGTTCAGAGTGGGCGTATATGAGCCTCAGTTCTAAGACCTCTGGATCCAAGCTGTCATCAACCGTGAAAGTCAGACATAGAAGTTGCCAGTGACTTTGGAGCCTCCCAAAGGAAGGGACCCAAGTAGGGGAGGTCCTGGGGTGGCAGAGTTTTGAGAAGTTATGTGGCAGAGAGCCTGTGCATGAGGGAGAAAGGGTGATGTAAAGGGTTAACCTCTGAAACCAGAGGCATGGATGAAGGCTGAGCCTCTCTTGCAGCCTAGGAACTTGAGAAATGAGTTATGGACAGTTCAGGTGAGGTCTGCTGACTCCCTGGGAAACTACTGACATTTCCTTTGTGTCATACTCCAAAGCCTGATACAAATGGTGGTGGCCATGTGGTCAGGAGTGTTTTTTTTTTTTTTGGTAGAGATGGGGGTCTCGCTATATTGCCCAGGCTGGCCTTGAACTCCTGGCCTCAAGTGATCCTCCTGCCTTGGCCTCCCAAAGTGCTGGGAATACAGATGTAAACTGTCGTGCCCAGCCTCATTTCTTTTGGGTGCATACTCAGAAGAGGGATTGCTAAATCATATGGTAATTCTATTTTTAAATTTTCAAGGAACCTTTATACTGTTGTCCATAATGGCTATACTAATTTACATTTCCACTAATACTTCACTATGTATATGTTTGCCAAAATATCACGTTGTATGCCTTAAATATATGCAATTTTTACTTTAACAAGTCAGCCCTCAGACTTTTATCTATTTTTAGTTTGCCATAGTGCTGCATTCAGGAGCTTCTGTCCAAGACACAAAGCCTGGCTGGCCTGTCATTTCTTAATAATCCAGCAAGCTTCCAGGGTGAGTAGGCTGCCTGGGCCCAGAATGGGTCCTTAGAGTCAGCTGATGCATAACTGTCTCTGTAACATCTATTTTAAGGGGCATCCAGGCAGGGCGCGGTGGCTCACGCCTGTTATCCCAGCACCCTGGGAGGCGGAGGCGGGTGGTCAGGAGTTTGAGACCAGCCTGGCCAATATGGTGAAACCCTGTCTGTACTAAAAATACAAAAATTAGCTGGGAGTGCTGGCACATGCCTGTAATCCCAGTTCCTCAGGAGGCTGAGGCAGGAGAATCGCTTGAACTTGGGAGGCGGAGGTTGCAGTGAGCTGAAATCATGCCACTGCCCTGCAGCCTGGGCGACAGAGCGAGAATCAGTCTCAATAATTAATTAATTAATTAATTAATTAAATAAAAAAATAAAATAAAATAAAGGGCATCTGGGGGGGTGTATCCAAAATGATGAGCAAAAACTATGGCATGTGGGGGCTGTTTCCAATCATCCATCCATTCACCCATGATCTAGATTTTCTTTCTTGTTTCTTCCTTGCAGACTGACTTCATCCTTCTGTCCATTCAATCATCCATCCATCCACTTACCCATCCATCTATCCAAAGGGGCACAAGGACACTTTTAGGGCTGATGGATGTGTTCACTGTCTTGACTGCTATGATGGTTTTATGGGTGTGTACATGTGTTAGAACTGGTAAAGTGGTATACTTTAAATGTGTGCATGTGAGTGTACCTTAATTATATTTCAATAAAGTTGGAAAAAAGGAAGGTAAATAACAGTAGGTCAAAACTGATAACACCCCACATTATCCATGGACAAGACAATGGATAAGCTGTGGAATATCCATACAATGGAATACTGCTCAGCAGTAGAAAGGAACAAATTGCTCAAATATACGACAACATGGACCATCTCACACATGAATGCTGATCAAAAGACGTCAGATGCGACAATCATTCTGTACAGTTCCATTTATATACACTTCAAAAACAGAGAAAACAGGCCTGGCATGGTGGCTTATGCCTATAATTCTAGCACTTTGGGAGGCCAAGGCAGGTGGATCACCCGAGGTCAGGAGTTCAAGGCCAGCCTGACCAACATGGTGAAACTCTGTCTCTACTAAAAATACAAAAATTAGCTGGGTGTGGTGGCGCACGCCTGTAATCCCAGCTACTCAGGAGGCTGAGGCAAGAGAATTGCTTGAACCTGGGAGGCAGAGGTTGCAGTGAGCCGAGATCACGCCATTGCACTCCAGTCTGGGCAACAAGAGCAAAACTCCAGCTCAAAACAAACAAACAAACCAGAGAAAACAGAGCTATGGTGTTTATGAGTATGTGCTCAGGTGGTAAAACTATAAAGAAAAACAAGAACACAATGATCATTAAGTCCTCCCTAGGGAAGGAGGAAGGGGTGGTCTCTGGGAGGGAAGATGATGGGGCTTCTGGGGAGCTGGCAGATTTCTTGACCTGGGTGGTTACGTGGATGTGTGCTTGATAATAAACCATTGAGCTGTACGTTTTGTTTTGTGTGCATTTCTGAATATATTTTACATTGTGTAATTTAAAATGGAGCAACATATATATACATGCTTGTATGGAAAGGTACAAAAAAGGAAAATTTTAACAGTTTTTCTTTCCTCTGAGGAGAGAGGCTATGAACTAGTGGGGGCTTATATTCTTTTTCCTTATGCTTTTCGTAAGTACATTAAAATGTCAAAAATACATAAAATATTTCCTCGCACTGTTCGTAAGGAAAATCCACAAATTTTCATCATAAATGCATGGATGAGAAAGCAAAGAAGGGGTTCTCCAGCTGCAGGTACTGAAGCAAGGACTAGGGATCTAAGCAGAAGACAGAAGAGGCAATGGCTTGTGTGTCTACGTGAGAGAGAGAGTGTGTGTGTGTCTGTGTGAGAGTGTGTATGTATGTCTATGTGAGTGTATGTGTCTGTGAGAGTGTGTCTCTATGTGAGTGAGAGTGTGTCTATGCGAGAGTGTGTGTGTCTATGTGTGTGTTTATGCGAGTGTATCTATATGAGTGTATGTGTCTATGCGAGAGTGTATGTGAGAGTGTCTATGTGAGTGTGTGTATGTGAGAGTGTGTTTGAGTGCATGCATATGTGTGTGTGCCTATGTGTGTCTATATGAGTGTGTCTATGTGAGTGTGTGTGTTTGAACTCTGTGTGTATGTATAAGAGTTTGTGTGAGTGGGTGTGTGTGTGTGTGTAGTGGAATGGGGGACAGGAAGATGAGGCAGAGAGGGCTTCAGAGAGGCTGGAAGCCTGAGAAAGATTTACCCCACCATCGCTGGCTTTGAAGGGATGGACAGGGCCATGAGCCTGGAGATACCAGCAGCCTTTAGAGCTGAGAATGACCCTCTGATAACAGCCAGCACGGAAAGGGGGATCTCAGTCCTGCAACCACACGGCACTGAGCTCTGCCAACAATGTGGCATGAACCTAGAAACAGATTATTCTCAGATCCTCCAGGTTAGAGCCCTGCCAGCCCACATCCTGACTTTGGCCTTGTGAGAACCAGTTGAGCACACCCAGTCTTCTGACCGCCAGAACTGTCAGATAATACACAGGTGTTATTTTAGCCCATTAAGTTTGTGGTAATTGCTGTGACAATAATAGAAAATTAATACAGTCAAGGGCAGTGGAAGTGATTTCTCAGCCTAAGGGAGTCCAGCTGGAAGGAAGGTAAAATGGAGGGTGAGAGAGTTGCCCGAGGCCTTTTTCTTTGTGTTGCTTTTCTCACTGATGTTTATATTTTGGGTGGCAAGCTGCTTCCGAGGAGTTGTTTTTGTTTTTCAATTTGATTAAAATGTTCATTTGTTTATATCATAAAGTTGGTAGTAAATTTTATATTTACATAGCAAATTAATATTTATAATATACAATGTCCCTGAACAGGCATAACAAATGTTCTTGGAGTTGTTTTTTAAATTTAAAAACTTTTTTTGAGATGGGGTCTCACTATGTTGTTCAGGCTGATCTCAAACTCCAGGGTTTGAGTGATCGTCCCACTTCAGCCTCCCAAAGTGCTGGGATTACAGGCATGAGTTACCATGACTGGCTGGAATTATTTTGTTTTTAAAATAAGATACATTTAATAAATAATCCATATCCCCAAAAGATACATTCTGAAGAGGTGTGAAAGTTAGAGGGGAAAGGCTTTCATCCTTTTTTTTTTTTTTTTTTTGAGACTGGGTCTCCGTATGTTGCCCAGGCTGCTCTTAAACTCCGGGGCTTCCTGAGAAGCTGGGACTACAGGTGCGGGCCACTGCCTCAGGCTTCAGCTTGTTTTTTATATATCCCGACTCATCATTCTTTTCCAATCATAAAATTATGATTCTTATTGTAGTTGTAAATTTTAATTCACTTTTAATGGCAACATATTAACAGATTCCTATTGAGCAAATTTTCAAGATTATAAATTGTATGTGGAAGGAAGCAGCATTTCAAGCTGACAAATGGATCCACAGGTAATTCGATGTCTCCTAAATTAAGCTTGTGACGATTAAACCAATAAACTAGCGATGAGAAAACTATTGACAAAGTACAACCAGAGAACTCATCTCAGTGCTGGAATCTGTACCTTAAGAAAAAGGATGATTACGGGCCGGGCGCGGTGGCTCACGCCTGTAATCCCAGCACTTTGGGAGGCCAAGGCGGGAGGATCACGAGGTCAGGAGATCAAGACCTTCCTGGCTAACACGGTGAAACCCTGTCTCCACTAAAAATACAAAAAATTAGGTGGGCGTGGTGGCGGGCGCCTGTAGTCCCAGCTACTCGGGAGGCTGAGGCAGGAGAATGGCGTGAACCCGGGAGGCGGAGATTGCACCACTGCACTCCAGCCTGGGCGACAGAGCGAGACTCCGTCTCAAATAAAAAACAAAACAAAACAAAACAAAACAAAGAAAAAGGATGATTACTTGAAGTGGTACAAATGACAACCAGGTACCAAGAAAACAGTGAGTTTGGGCAAGTGTAATTTTTTAGAACTCACAGTATATCTAGAATGGGATGAAAGGGAAGAAGATATAGGATAGTCTCATTCATATAGAAAGTTATCCTAAAATCATGTAACAAAGAGGTTATAAAAACCATAAAATCATCACGAAAAATGACAGCCACTAGCCCTGAATGCTGATGTAGAAAGGACATTGATGAGAATAAACCTTCTGTGCCTTCAGGCTTTGGCAGATAGCTGGGTCTCCCAAAATGTAAGCAAGGACTGAAACGTAAATTGAAATTACTGCAAAGAAATAAAAATAATTTTGACGCTTAAGGGAAGCTTGCTTTTTGAGAAATTCAGGCAATCATCTATACAAACTATCAGGAAAACTGGATAATGCAAAAAGGCTTTAAGTAAAGGACATCATTTGAGTAAATAGGCAGATGTGGTATTTAGTAAACCTAGTGCCTGAAAGTACAGAATTTCTGAAATAGGAGATGATGGAAATGTTTACCAAAAGTACGAGATTGATGGATGCTGGTGAAATGTAAAAATATTCCATACAATTTCACAGGTGTATTTTCTTCTCATTCTTAGGGTGAGGCTATTTAATAATATTTTCCCAAGTGCAATCAGACAGTTAACATCTAGGGACTGCTTGTTTGCTGTGACTGGTGCTGAGAAGAGCAGTTCTCTAAATAAAGGGTCATCATTTTTTAAATTTCAGAAAGTCTGGTGAAACACATACCAAAAAATCTGCTTCACTTTATTTCCCATCATCTGCTTTCTCCCATAGGTCTTTTTTGGCTGATTATCTCCCTATTTTATTTCTGTTTTACTGCCTTTAATTATCTCATTTTGAGTCCCTGGCATTTTGTTTTGTTATATCAAAATGTCACGTGAATAGGCTCTGAGTCATTTGCGCAAGCTGGGGAGAAAGCGGAGAGGGATCTGCTCCCAGCTGGACATCCCTCTGAAGTCTCCTGCCCCCCGCTGACCCCCACCATCTCCCTGGCCACCCAGAATCATCACGGTCCGGGTCCTGGGTTGGCTGATGCTCAGCTCCCCTGCACTGGAAAACTCTTCCTAAAACTTTATTGAGAGAGAAAAAAGATGACTTGGAAAAAATAGAAAGTCATACTATGATCTGCTGGGCGCGGTGGCCACGCCTGTAATCCCAGCACTTCGGGAGGGCGAGGTGGGCAGATCACTTGAGGCCAGGAGTTTAAGACCAGCCTGGCCAACATGGTGAAAACCAGTCTCTACTAAAAATACAAAAATTAGCCAGGTGTGGTGGCGGGCGCCTGTAATCCCAGCTGCTCTGGAGGCTGAGGCAGGAGAATCAGTTGAACCTGGGAGGCAGAAGTTGCAGTGAGCCAAGATCACACCACTCACACCACTGCACTCCAGCCTGGGCAACACAGCCAGACCTGTCTCAAAAAAAAAAAAAAAAAGTTATACTATGATCATGGCTGAAAGAGTGGCTATAAAGAAGTGAATTTTTTCCATATTAGTTTTTAGTTATAACAAAATTAAAAGTGAAAATTAGAATCTGATATACTATTGGTCAAAATAATTTATATTTAGCATTTAGTAGATATTTAATATTTAGTATATAAATATTATACCTTATATATACTTTTAGCATATAAAGTATTATAGTAAATAAAATATTACCCAATGTACAATTTAAAAGTAAAGGAATATCAAAGGAAAATATCAAGAAAACTGCAGGATTAGATAATGTGGTGTTAATAGAACACAAGATATTTGGGTCAATTAGACAGAATGGATAGGTCAGAATTTGATCCTATTACATATAATTGAATATACAATAAAAGAACCATTTCAGATCAATGGAGAGGAGGGGAAAGTATACAATCAATACCTTTACACTAAGGGAATAGCATTTTGAAAAGAATACATCCCACCTCATACCTCCCTAAAATCAATTCCAGAGGATTGAAGTGTCACATTAAAAAAAGTCTAACTGTAAAAATTAGCAAAAAAAATATTTTCTAGGGAAAAAGAGGCAATCACAACTTTCTAAACTGAGAAAATATGTCATAAATATACATATTTGATTATAGAAAATGAAAACTTTCTATGCATAAGAACCTTATGGAAATTTAAAGGTCAATCAAGAAGTGACAAAATATTTGTAGCAAATATATCAAAACATTAATGTATTTATTAGTAAAGAAGTCTTACAAATTGAAAAACATAGTAGAGTCCAGTAGATATTGGACAAGGGACATAAAAAGACAATTTCAAAATAAATGTAAATGTAAACAAATACCTGGGAAAATATTAAACTTAATTTGTAGTCATTGAAATGGAAATAAAAGTAGGTGTTAGTTTCACTCATTACATTTGCAAAATAAAGAGTGTGACAATATTCAATGCTGGTGAGAGTGCAGGGAACTCTCATACAATGTTGGCAATGTTGTAAATGGGTACAATCCTTTGGGGAAGTATTTGATATTGTTCATTGGGAGCCATAAAATTGTAACTTAAGAATCTTTTTTGTTCGGGCGTGGTGGCTCACACCTGTAATCCCAGCACTTTGGGAGGCTGAGGCGGGCGGATCACCTGAGGTCGGGAGTTCTAGACCAGCCTGACCAACATGGAGAAACCCCGTTTCTACTAAAAATACAAAATTAGCCAGGTATGGTGGCACACGCCTGTAATCCCAGCTACTCATGAGGCCAAGGCAGGAGAATAGCTTGAATACTGGAGGCGGAGGCTACGGTGAGCCAAGATCATGCCATTGCACTCCAGCCTGGGCAACAAGAGGGAATCTCCCTCTCAAAAATAATAATAATAATAATTTTTTGGATAATTTTTAAATTGAGGTATAATTTACATCTAGCAAAATGCTTAAGTCTTAAGTGTCCAGTTTGAAGAGTTTTGATAGATGCACACTCATGCAATTCACAAGCTAATTAAGATATAGAACACTTTCACTATCTAAAAAAAATACCCCTGTGCCAGCCCAATAACCCTCACATCCTCCTCCCACCTCCTACCATTTTTCTGATTTCTTTTGCCATAGATGAATTTTGCTGCTCAAGAACTTCATACAAATGGAATCATACAGAATGTAGTCTTTCGTGTCTGGCTTCTTTTTCCTTTTTTTTTTTTTTTTTTAAAGATTTATTCATTTTATTGCTTGTATTAGTAGTTCATTCCTTTTTATTGCCAAGTAGTTATGTATAATATTGTATGGCTCTACCTTAATTTCTTCATCCATTGACCTGTTGATGGACATTTGGGTTATGTCTAATTTTTGGCTGTTATGAAAAAGCTTCTGCAAACAATCTTTTATTTATTTATTTATTTATTCATTCATTCTTCCTTTTTTCATTTTCTTTGAACAACCTTTTAAAACAATTTTTTTCTATTGTGGTAAAATACATATAACATAAAACGTTTACCACAAAAAATGATAACGGAGGTGATAGATATGTTAATTACCTTGATTTAATCATTCCAAGTGGTATACATATATCAAAACATCACATTGTACTCCATAAATATATAAAATTATGATTTGTCAATTAAAAATAATATTAATAAAAATAAATGACAAAATTAGCCATTTTAACCATTTTAAATGTACAATCCAGTGGCATTAATTATACTCACAAGATTGTGGAATCATCTATTTGGAACTATCGATTTCCAAAACCATTCTCATCATCCCAAATGGAAAGTCTAACCAGTGGGCACTAAATCCTTCATTTCCCACTCCTTCCAGCCCTGGGTAACCTCTAATCTACTTTCTGTCCCTATGAATTTGTTTATTCTATAAATTTTATGTAAGTGGAATCATACAATGTTTATCCTTTTGTGTTTGGCTTACTTCGCTTGGCATAATTATTTCAAGGTTCATTCATGTTGTAGTATGTATCAGAACTGTGTTCCCTTTTTAGGCTGAATCATATTCCATTGTATATGTAGAGCACATTTTGTTTATGCACTTTTTAAAATTTTAATTTTAATTTTTCTTAGAGACAGGCTCTCACTCTGTCATCCAGGCTGGAGTGCAGTGGCATGACCTTGGCTCACTGCAGCCTCGACTTCCTGGGCTCAAGCAATCCTCTCACCTCAGCCTCCTGAGTAGCTGGGAGTACAGGCACATGCCACCATGCTCAGCTAATTCTTAACTTTTTCTGTAGAGCTGGGGTCTACTATGTTGCTCAGGGTGGCCTCAAACTCCTGGCCTCAAGCCATCTTCCCACCTTGGCCTCCCAAAGTGCTGGGATTACAGGTGTGAGCCACTATGCCCGGCTTGTTTATCCATTTATTTGTCAATGGACACCTGGGCTCTTTCCATCTTTTGGCTACTGTGAATAATGCTTCTATGAACATTGATGTACAAGTATCTGTTTCAATCTACTTTTATTTCTTTTGGGTGTCTACCTAGGAGTGGAATTGCTGGGTTACATGTCTGTGAACATTCTTGTATAAATCTGTGTATGTAGAGGTGTTTTCATTTAGTTTGGGTAAATACATAGAAGTGAAATTGTTGAGTCACAGGGCAGGTGTACGCTCAACTTTCTGAAAAACCGTCAATCCAATTTTCAGTTATTAGTGTTTTATATTCCCACCAACAATGCTTAAGAGTACCAGTTGCTCCACAGACACATCAGCATTTGGGTTTTCTGTCTTTTTAATTTTAGTCATGTTGATGCATCATCTCAGTATAGTTTTAATATAGAATTTCTTGGCCAGACGCAGTGGCTCATGCGTGTAATCCCAACACTTTGGGAGGCTGAGGTGGGTGAATCACTTGAGATCAGCAGTTCAAGACCAGCCTGGACCAAGATGGTGAAACCCCATCTCTACCAAAAATACAAAAATTAGCCAGGTTTGGTGGTGTGTGCCTGTAATCCCAGCTACTCAGGAGGCTGAGGCAGGAGAATTGCTTGAAGCCGGGAGACAGAGGTGGCAGTGAGCCGAGATCACGCCACTGCACTCCAGCCTGGGCGACAGAGTGAGGATCCATCTCAAAAAAAAAAAAAAGGAATTTCTTTGTGATTTACGATGTTGAGCAGGTTTTCAAATGTTTTGGTCATTCTTATCTTCCTTTGCGAATTACCTGTTCAAATATTTTGCCCATTTAAAAAATTGGATTGCTTTATTATTATTATTGCAGTAGCAGTTGATATAATAAGGAGTCCGTAAACAGACCCACAGTCAATTGATATTCAACCAACGTGCCAAAGCAATTCAATGGGAAAAGAAAAATCTTTTCAAGAAATTGATATGAAGAAACAAAACCTCAACCCAGCTCACACTATACATTAATTTGAGATGAGTCATAGACCTAAATGTCAAAGTTAAAATTATAAAAGTTCTAGAAAAAAACATAGAGGTGATTTTTATGATAGCGTAAGTGAAGATTTCCTGAAGAAGATACAGCAGGCAATATTTCTTTTCTTTTCTTTTTTTTGAGACGGAGTCTCGCTCTGTCGCCAGGCTGGAGTGCAGTGGCGCGATCTCGGCTCACTGCAAGCTCCGCAGAAGGCAATATTTCACAGAGGAATTCTTTGTGGGCCTGGGCCTGACTTGCAATGGGCCAGTTCCTGGGGTACCATGGGTGGGAATTGGGTAAAACTTACCCCAGGTTCTTATCACACGGGACCCCAGAGGCCTGGGTGGAGGCTTGTGACTAACTACATGAGCTTTGCCACGTACTCCTCAATACCTCTGACAAGGACTTACTGCAGTGTTTGGTCTCACCAAGTTTCCCACAATAAAGAGACATGAGTCACCTTTCAAGACCCTTTACCCCCAAGAATGTGGTCTTCACACATGAGACCAAGGTCTACAAGTGGTCAGGAGAGAGGGGGTCTGCTCAGATGGGGGAGTAGTGCCTGAGCTGGCCTCAAGAGGGTTAAGTGGCCCTGCACTGAAAACCTGGACACTGAGTTAGGGTAGGGCTGGGGGAAAACTTGGGCTTTGGAGTCGTAGGGTCTGGGTTCAAATCCACAGACCATTCCCTTCCTAGCTGTGTGTTGGTGGGTAATTCACTGGATCTTTCTGAGTCCTGGTTTCCTCATCTGAGGTAAAACGAGTTTGCCGGTTGGTCTGAGAGCTGTTCTAGGCATGGTGGGGAGACCCTGACAGGCAGAGGCAGCCCTGCTCTCAAGCAGTTGATTTACAGCTGGGGAAACAAGACAGCCACAAATGCAATACCTCAAACTCAACTTCTCACCAGAAAGCTCCTTTTCCTAATTTTCACAGCCAGTCCCTCAGCCTCCTGGGCCCCAAATACTAGTAAAACCTTTGCCTCCTCTCTCTTCTTTCTTTCTTGTAATCATATAGGTACAAAGTCCTACCAATTCTTCCTGAAATATGTTTCCTTATCAAAAAGTCCTGCAAAGCCGTGCGTGGTTGCTCATGCCTATAATCCCAGCACTTTGGAGGCTGGGAGGATCGCTTGAGTCCAGGAGTTCGAGACCAGCCTGGACAACATATGGAGACCCATCTCTACCAAAAATTTTAAAATCAGCAGGGGTGGTAGTGGCAAGCACCTGTGGTCTCATCTACTTGGGAGGCTGAGGTGGGGGGATTGTTGGAGCCTGGGCGGTTGAGGCTGCAGTGATCTGTGATTGCACCACTGCACTCTAGCCTGAGGTACAGAGCAAGAACTTGTATCAGAAAAAAAAAAAAAAAGTCCTGCGGTAGCTGACACTGCCATTGCCTATACGATTCCCATTCCCTCATCCTCCCTAGCAGGATATCAATTTTGTTCGAAGTGTCAATGAAGGCCAGGTGCGGTGGCTGATGCCTGTAATCCTAACACTTTGGGAGGCCGAGGCAGGCGGATCACCTGAGGTCAGGAGTTCAAGACCAGCCTGGCCAACATGGTGAAACCCTGTCTCTACTAAAAACACACAAATTAGCAGGGCATGGTGGCGTGCACCTGTAATCCCAGCTACTCAGGAGGCTGAGACAGGAGAATCACTTGAACCCGGAGGTGGAGGTTGCAATCAGCCAAGATCACACCACTGCACTTCAGCTTGGGTGACAAGAGTGAAACTCTGTCTCAAAAAAGAAAAACAAAACAAAAACAAACAACAACAACAAAAAGCAAAGTGTCAGTGAAGGTCCAGCAAAAGACTCCCTTCCTATTGCCCTTTGCAGCCAGGGTCATCATGTGACACAGTTCAGATCAATGAGATGGAGGCTGAGGGTCCCTGGGAAAGATGTTTTTCCTATACAGGTACCACCTCTTTCAGCTTCACTCTTTCCATTTTCCACGTGAACAGGCCTTGTAGCCTGGAGGAGCTACAGCTGCCTTTTTGAGATGCTGAGGCACCCTGTCTGAAGAAGGCCCTCACATCACTCAACTTGACTACTGGGTGAGCCCTTGGAGAGGCTTCCCAGCCTCTGCTCTTCAAGCCGAAGTACCACAGGGGACACGAGTCCCAGAGTTACAGGACCCCAGCTATGGTTCATGTGTAAAGGGAACCATTAGGCAACCAGGGGAAATGATGAAGAAGATCTACATTTACAAATGTGGAAAGATGTTCGTGGTATATTGTTAAATTAAAAAGCTGTTTAAAAATAGTTTTTGGGTCAAGTGAGATGACTCACTTATACTTTTAGTATAAGTATGTCCCATGCAATATCTGGAACGTACTTGTACTAAGGGGTTTCTCCCTCCATCGGCACATCCCAGGCATCCTGGCAGCTGCTGGCCTCCAGCAACCCCACATTCTAGTTGTGTGGGAGTGGGGTGTGGCATGGACCCTGTGGGCTACCACTGCCCTGAGCTGCTTCTTCACACACTGGTATTTGTATCTGTGGTAAACCCAGTGACACGGGGGAGATGACATACAAAAAGGGCAGGACCTGAGAAAGATTAAGCTGCAGGCTCCCTGCCCATAAAACAGGGTGTGAAAGGCATCTCAGCGGCTGCCCCACCATGGCTACCTGGGCCCTCCTGCTCCTTGCAGCCATGCTCCTGGGCAACCCAGGTAAGGCCTTCCCCTCGGGATCGATCCTGATGGCCCACCCAGCCTCGCACTCTCAGGCTGGCTGAACCTGGAGCTTGGACTCTGTGGGCACCCAGGTGCCCCTGCCTCCCCCCGGCCTTCTCCCCCGTCATGGAGGCCTGGCCTCCCCTCAGAGCCAGGCTTAGTCCAGTGTGCTGCCCAGCCTGTCACTGGCCTGGCCAAGGAGGAGAGACAGGCCAGGGATTCTGGTCCTAACTCTACTGGCCACACTGTGTGGCCTGAGACCCCCCTTTCCCTCCCAAGCCCCTGCCTCCGCATCTGCGTGGTGAAGGCCATTGGCCCTCATCGGTGGATCTGCGTTTCCTCGGGCCTACACTGTCTAGGATTGTGCGGGGCTGGTGAGAGAACAAGATCTCTTCTGTGTTCAAGGCAGACTTCCTGCCCCCTGCACCCTGCTCTCTCCCAGGCCTTGAGGTCAGTGTGAGCCCCAAGGGCAAGAACACTTCTGGAAGGGAGAGTGGATTTGGCTGGGCCATCTGGATGGAAGGTAAAAAAAGAAAATCCCTTGAAAGGAGATTGAGGGAAGTTTCTAGACAAACCGACCCCCAAATCTGTGTTGCTGGGGGAACAGAGGAGAAGAGAGAGTCTCGCCCTCCTGGCTTTCTAGAAGGAACGTGAGAACACGTGTTTGTGCTGAGAGTGGGTCAGAGCGGCTCCAGGGCAAAGCATGTGGACAGGTATCCTGGCCCCCTGCAAGGCCCAGCTCCTGTCCTAGGCCCTGGTCACCTCCTGGACTCCCACCAGCCAGGAGAACGGGCTTTCCCTCTCCTTCCGCCTGCGGAGGGGAAGCTGAAGTCTGGTCTTCCTCAGGTCTGGTCTTCTCTCGTCTGAGCCCTGAGTACTACGACCTGGCAAGAGCCCACCTGCGTGATGAGGAGAAATCCTGCCCGTGCCTGGCCCAGGAGGGCCCCCAGGTACGTGTTGGCTCTCTGCTCACCTGCCACAGTCCCTCTCCTTTCCCTCCTCCCTGGTGGCTCCTGGGGTGAGGTCTGGAGCTCTCTAATGGTCAGGAGGTGGGAGTGGAGGCTGGGCTGTTTCTGACGATGCTGGTTTTGTTGAATTCATGTCTGGCCAGGAGGGCTACAGGTATCTGGCAGACTCCTCCAGGAGGATCCTCTGGGGTCTCACCCTCCAAGGAGCCTGGGGCTGCAGAACCCAAATAGGCAGACTCCCCTGGGAGTTCCTCAATAGGAGAGGGGCAAGTGCAGGGCTGGGAAAGTACTGGGGGTGTGGGAGGCTGTTTCTGGGGTGTCTCAGAGCCTCTAAGACAAGCAAAAGGGTGGGCAGGGGCCAGGCAGCCAGTTCAGGCCTTCAGTGTATCCACGCTCTGGGAAGAGATCACGGACATTCCTGCCGGCCTCAGAAACACAAAGGGCCCCTTTCCTGGGCACTTTCACGCGCTCCCAGAGTGTCTGAGAGACCATCATAAGGGCTTTCTTTCCTGACAGGGTGACCTGTTGACCAAAACACAGGAGCTGGGCCGTGACTACAGGACCTGTCTGACGATAGTCCAAAAACTGAAGAAGATGGTGGATAAGCCCACCCAGGTGAGGCCAAGGGGCTACAGAGCCTCCTGTCTGCTGCTCAATGGAGGGGCCAGCCTGTGACCAGGTCGGGGATCGGGGAGCCCGGGGGCACCTTGCACAGTGATCCTGGGGGAGGGCTTCCTAGAAGGGAATCTGTGAGTCCCCGTGTGTCTGTGGATGAATTTCAGAGAACTTGTGAAATTGTGACTCTCTGGAACTGTGTAAGTCAGACGGCAGAGTATACATGGTTTTCATCATGTATCCTCAAAGAGGGCTTGTCCCAGAGAAGTTAGGAATCTTCCCCTAAAGCCCTAACATTTGTGTCCAAGGCAGAGTTTGAGAAGCTAGTTCCCCAAGAGGCCTGGGTCAGGACTGATAAATCCCAGATCTGCTACTTCCAAGCTGCATGGCCTTGGGCAAGTCACTTCCACTTTCTGAGCCTCTGTTATCTTATCTTTGAAATGTGATGGATAATAGTCCCTATCTTGCAAGTTGTCAAACCCTTTTTTTTTTTTTTTCCTTGAGATAGGATCTTACTCTGAGACCCAGGCTGGAGTGCACTGGTGTGATCTTGGCTCACTGCAACCTCTGCCTCCCTGGCCCAAGCAATTCTCCTGTCTAAGCCTCCTGAGTACCTGGGGCTCCAGGTGTGCGCCACCATGCCCAGCTAATTTTTGTACTTTTGTAGAAACAGGGTCTCACTGTGTTGCCCAGGCTGGTCTCCAACTTCTGAGCTGAAGCAATCCACCTGCCTTGGCCTCCCAAAGTGTGGGATTACAGGCATGAGCCACTGCACCTGGCTGCTGAAGCTTTTTAAAAGAGCTGAGGGCTGGGATGTACTTAGCTCCACGTCCAGCACTGAGTAAATGCTTAACGAATGACTGTGTTACTACCAAGAATTATTGTTTCACTCTCCCTCCTTCCCTCTCCTCTGCTGCCCCAAACTACTCAGCATCCTGGCACTGCAGGCTCGCACTTAGCCCTGGATACCCAGATTCATCCTCCTCCCCTGGGATGGCATAGAAGAGACTTTAAAACCAAATGAGCCAAGACTCCAAGCTCTGACCACACCTCCCACCCCACCAGTCTTCTCTATGCACCCCCTCTATCTGGAGCCCCCAGCCAGGTCCTGGACCCAGGTAGCTACATGGCAGAGCATTTAATGTGTGCCTGGCAGCCATGGGCACCATTCTCCACACAGAAGGCAGGGGACAGGTGCACAAGGCGCTGAGACCCCAGCAGGGCTAACTGTCCTTGTCTCAGGAGCCCTACCTGGCCAGTCTTGGGCCAGGCCTTGGGGACTGGGAGTAGGGGCTGAGCCCCGTCTGTACAGTCTCTGGCCCCATGGGCACCAGGTGCCAGCTCCTCGCACCCAGTACTCCCATTGCTAGGGCTGCTGGAACCTGCAGGGTGGCAGAGCTGGGCAGGACTCACCCTATAACCATGTCCACTGTGGTGCTGCTGCTGCAGAGAAGTGTTTCCAATGCTGCGACCCGGGTGTGTAGGACGGGGAGGTCACGATGGCGCGACGTCTGCAGAAATTTCATGAGGAGGTATCAGTCTAGAGTTACCCAGGGCCTCGTGGCCGGAGAAACTGCCCAGCAGATCTGTGAGGACCTCAGGTTGTGTATACCTTCTACAGGTGAGTGCAGAGGTGACAGCAGGGATACCTCCTGAGGGTTGGAGACAGCTTCCCCCAGGATATATCAAAGCTGCCTCCTTACTCCCCCATCTCCCAGCTTGGGAAAGTGTGGAGAATTGAGCAGATGGACTTTAGCTAGAAATGTTTGAGAAATACTGATTAGAGCTTGGGCTTCAGACACAGGTGGTCGTGGAGTAAAATCTGGTCTCCATCTCTCCCTGGCTGTGTGACCTTAAGCAAATAACTTGACCTCTCTGAGCTTCAGTTTCTTCATCTGTGAAGGGGAGATAGCAATCCTGATTTTTGAGATTGGAATGAGAATTGAAGGAGGTCACCGTGTGTGTGGACCTGACCCTGGGGAAATGTCCTCAGACTGAGGCTATTCAAGGTCATCAGACCCTCAGTCAAACTCCAATCCCAGCCCAGCACAGGCCCCTGGGGTCGGGAGCTGGGGCCATATCCTCCCCCACAATCCTGGGCCCTGAGATCTGGGCTAGGGAACCCTTCAGGCAGGGGAGCATGAGGCCTTTCCCTCCATGGCTGCCCAGGCTGTGCCTGGAGAGAACAGATCTCGGCTGTAGGAAATGGGGCCAGAAAGGGGCCTCGGTGATTGGCTCTGGCAGCTCAGCTGGCACTTGCCAATGCTCTGGGATTTTATGCTGGCAGATCGGGGGTCCCCACCATTTCCTGTCATTGGAGCTTGTGGCTTTTCTATTCAAGGCCCCACAACCTGCTCAGGCTGCCGACTGGCTTCCAGGATGTGCCTCTGGGTGTGTTCAGTAGGGTCAGGTGGCTCTGGGACCTTAAGCAAGTAACATTCTGAGTGCCTGCTTCTCCTTGAGGACCCACCACATCTGCCCACAGCTGGCTGTTCTCTCCTCTCCAGGTCCCCTCTGAGCCCTCTCACCTTGTCCTGTGGAAGAAGCACAGGCTCCTGTCCTCAGATCCCGGGAACCTCAGCAACCTCTGCCGGCTCCTCGCTTCCTCGATCCAGAATCCACTCTCCAGTCTCCCTCCCCTGACTCCCTCTGCTGTCCTCCCCTCTCACGAGAATAAAGTGTCAAGCAAGATTTTAGCCGCAGCTGCTTCTTCTTTGGTGGATTTGAGGGGTGGGTGTCAGTGGCATGCTGGGGTGAGCTGTGTAGTCCTTCAATAAATGTCTGTCGTGTGTCCCATACACTGTTGTAGATGTTATGGATTTAGTGGTGAACGAGACAACCTTAACAGCATTCACACAGTTAGTCGTGAAATGCTTACTGAGCACTCACCACAGCCATGCGTTATTCAGAAAGGCCAAGGCACACAGTGGCGATGTCCCCAGAAGCTCTCAGACCAGTGGGATAGACCAGCAGGGTTAGAGGTGTTTTTGTTTTGTTTTTGGTGAAAAGGAACAGAAACCCATCCTCTTGCTTCTTGCGACAGGCAGCCTTCCTTTGCGGTTTCGGGGGAGTGTATCTTTTAGGGCCCTTTTGGTTGCAAGCAACAGAAGTCTCAGCCCATTCTGGCCTAATCAAAAAAGATAATTTACTGGTTCAAATAATTAACCAGTCCACGGGTATGTTCAGGCACAGAATGATCCAGAAATGTGTGGCGTCAGCAGAGCCCCAGTCCTGTTTTATTGCAATTTTTCGTTCTCCCGACCTCTGTATATTGAAATTGTCTTCAGGTTCGCTTCTCTCTTGGCAGCAGAAATGGCTTCATCAGGTCCACACTTCACCTCTTTACAGTGCCTCCATCAGAGGGAGAGAGAGCTCCCTTGGAAAGAAATAGGAAGCTTCTTTCCCAGAAGGCCTATCAGCTATCTCCTCAGTTCTCATTGGCCAGTTCTCACAGGTCATTTGCCCACCCTCAGACCAATCACTGTGTCCTGGAGAATAATGGGGTACACTGATTGGCTTAAGCTAAGCAGGGCACACCCCTGGAGCTGAGGTGGGGTCCATCTCAACCCAATCACTTGGTTGACAATAAACATGAAAATCTGGGCTACTGTTGGTGGGAAGAGGGAAAAATGGATGCTGGCCACCCAAGGAGTATGGTGTGTTATTCTGGGTTCAATCAAAGAAGCTGTTCAAGGGGACTACCGATGGCCAAATCTGGGGCTATTTGAGCCTCAGAATAGATGATGACAAGAACAGATCGTAATCCATTGAATAAAGCAGAATCCATGAATTCATACAAATACAAATAATACATGAATAAATAAACAAGGGAAAAGGAAACGTGCTACCTTACAATACAATTACAGTTAATAAATGTAGACATAGTTGCAAAGTATATCCTACTAACATATTTGGTATAGTGAGTATATCATATACTAACTTGATTTTTTAAAAGTGTTTATTTATTTATTTATTTATTCTTTAGAGACAGAGTCTCACTTTGTTTCCCAGGCTGGAGTGCAGTGGCCCTTCTCAGGCATGATCTTAGCTCACTGTAGCCTCAAACTCCTGGCCTCAAGGGATACTTCCACCTAGGCCTCCAGAGTAGCTGGGACTACAGGTGTGCAGAACTGCGCCTGGCTCACTAATTTGATATTAATTAATACATTCCATTATTAGTTAACCTGACAGTGGAGAAGCCTGTCAGCTGATGAAAGTTACTCCCACCTCCCATGGGGCAAGTCAATATCATGGGCCTCATAATATAATGCTCTGAGAGAAATATAATACTACTTTTCCATTGTTCCTGCCGAAATGCAAAAATCATGAGGAAACATCAGAGCAACTCAAACTGACATTTTACAAAATACTTAGCATATCCTTTTTTTAAAAATTTTTTAAAAATTTTTTATTTTAGACTGAGTCTGGCTCTGTCACCCAGGCTGGAGTGCAGTGGCACGATCTGGGCTCACTGCAATCTCCGCCTCCTGGGTTCAAGTGATTCTCCTGCCTCAGCCTCTGAAGTAGCTTGGGATTACAGGTATGTATCACCACAGCTGGCTAATTTTGTATTTTTTATTAGAGAAGGGGTTTCACCATGTTGGCCAGGCTGGTCTCAAACTCCTGACCTCAAGTAATCTGCCTGCCTTGGCCTCTCAAAGTGCTGGGATTACAGGCGGGAGCCACTGCACTCTAGCCTGTCCTCTTCAAAAATGCCAAGGTCTTGAAAGACAAGTAAAGATTGAAGAACTGTTCCAGATAGAAGGAAACTAAAGAGACATGACAACAAATTGCGACACATGATCCTGATTTGGATCCAGACCTATAAAGAACATAATTGGGGCAATTTATAAAATGTGACTGGAATCTGTGATGGTAATATTCTGTTAATGTTAATTCCTGATTTTGATGGTTGTACTATGGTTATGTACGGCAGTGTCCTTGTTAGAAAATATACACTAAGGTATTCAAAGAGTAATAGGTCATCATATCTGCAATTACAATTTCTGAAATGATTCAGAAAAAAAGGGAATACATACGCAAAGAATGAGTGTGATAAGGTATATACCACATACATGCAATGTGGTAAGGTGTTAACAGTGGAGAATCCTGTTTAAGGGTAAATAGGGGCTCCTGTTTACACTGGGAGGTTTGGAAGGTGTAATCTCCAAACTCCATGGCAAGTTGCAAGAATGCAACTTTCAAACTTCATGTTGAAATGTGATCCCTGGCCGGGCACAGTGGCTCATGCCTGTAATCCCAGCATTTTGGGAGTCCTAGGTGGGTGGATCACCTGAGGTTGGGAGTTCAAGACCAGCCTTACCAACATGCAGAAACCCCATCGCTACTAAAAATACAAAGTTAGCCAGGCGTGGCGGCACATGCCTGTAATCCCAGCTACTCGGGAGGCTGAGGCAGGAGAATCACTTGAACCTGGGAGGCCGAGATTGCGCCATTGCGCTCCAGCCTGGGCAATGAGGACGAAACTCCATCTCAAAAAAAAAAAAAAAAAGACATGTGATCCCCAATATTGGAGGTGGGACCTAGTGGGAGGTGTATGAGTCAGGGAGGAGGATCCCTCATGAATGGCTTGGTGCCATTCTTGTGGTAATGAGTGAGTTCTTGCTCTATTAGTTTCTGTGAGAGCTGCTTGTTAAACCTCCTCTCTCTCTTTTTTCTCACTATGTGATCTCTGCACACACTTGCTCCCTTTCTCTTCTGCCATAAGTGGAAACACCTTTTTATTGAGACGGAGTCTCGCTCAGTCCCCCAGGCTGGAGTGCAGTGGCTGCTGCAACCTCTACCTCCCAGGTTCCTGGGTCCAAGTGATTCCCCTGCTGTTGAGACTATTATCATGAAGAGATGTTAAATTTTGTCAAATGATAGTTCTGTGCTATTGAGAGGATCATGTGTTTTTCATTTTTAATTTTACTGATATGATGAATTTTATTACTTGACTTTTGGTTGCTGATTTGCCTTGCATTTCTGGATAAATCTTACCTGGTCATGGTATATAATTGTTTTTATGTGTTGCAGGATTCAGCCTGCTAGAATTTTTTTTGAAAATTTTTGTATCCATATTCAAAAGAGATATTGGTCTGTAGTTTTTTTTTTTCTTTTGATGTTTTCATCTGGTTTCACCTGGTTTTGGCATCAGGGCATCCTCTTCTAGTTTTTGGAAGAGTTTCTGAAGAATTGGTATTAATTCTTTAAATATTTGGTAGAATTCACCAATGAAGACATCTGGCTTGGTATTTTCTTTGTGAGTCATTGTTTTGATGACTAATTCAACCTATTTATTATAGGTCTATTCAGATTTTCTGTTACTCTTGCATCAGTTTCAGTCATTTGTGTCTTTGTAGGAATGTGCCCATTTCATTCTAAGTTGTCTAATGCATTAGCATAATTAATTAGCATAATAGTATAATCCTTTTTCTCTCTGTAAGGTCAGTTGTAATTTCCCCTCCTTCATTTCTGATTCTAGTAATTTGCAGCATCTCTCTTTTTATTGTGGTCAATCTAACTAAAGACTTGCTTTTTCAAAGAACCAACTTTTGATTTCATCTCGTATTCTCAAATATTGTTTCTAGTCTCCATTTTAATAATTTCCACATTTCCACTCTAATTTTTTAAGTATCTCTTTTTTTCTGCTTGCTTTAGGTTTAATTTGCTCTTCTTTCTCATGTCTTTTTTTTTTTTCCATTGTAACCTTGAACTCCTGGGCTCAAGCAATCTTCCTGCCTCAGACTCCCAAGTAGCTAGGACTACAGGCACAGGCCACCATGCTCAGCTAATTTACTTTTCTTTTTTTTAGAGATAGATCTCGCTATGTTGCCCAGGCTGGGTTTGAACTCCTGGCATCAAATGATCTTCCTGCGTTGGCCTCTCAAAGTGCTGAGACTACAGATGTGAGCCACTGCACCCAGCCTTTTTCCATTGTCTTAAAATGGGATTTCTGAGACGAAGATTTCAAATCTTCCTCTTTTTCATTATAGGCATTTACAGCTACAAATTTCCCTTTTGGCACAGCTTAAGCTACAACCCGTAAGTTTTGGTGTGCTGTGGTTTCATTTTCTTTCACCTCAAGGTATTTTCTAATTTCCCTCTTGATTTTTCCTTTAATCCATTGGTTATTTAGGAGTGTGTTGTTTAATTTTCACATATTTGTGAGTTCCCCAAATTTGTTTCTGTTACTGATTATTAGTTTTATTCTGTTGTGGTCAGGGAACATATTTTGTATTCTTTCTATCCTTTTTAATTTATTGACGTTTGTTTTATGGGCTACCACATAGTCTATCCTGGAGGTGTGTTTCCCCACTGCTATCTGGACTCATCTGCACTCCACTGTTTCTGATGAGGAGGCACCTGTTAATAATTGGGGGTTCCCTTGTAAGTGATGAATTGTTTTTCTTTTGCTGCTGTCAAGATTTTCTCCCTGTATTTGGCTTTCAGCTTTTCTTTCTGTCTCTCTCTCTTTCTTTCTCCCCTTCCTTCTTCCTTTCCTTCCTTCCTTCCTTTTCTTTCTTTCTTTCCTTCCTTCCCTCCCTCCCTCCCTCCCTCCCACCTTCCTTCCTTCCTTCCTTCCTTCCTTTCTTCCTTCCTTTCTTCCTTCCTTCCTTCCTTCAACAGAGTCTTGCTCAGTCACCCAGGCTGGAGTGCAGTGGCACCATCTCAGCTCACTGCAACCTCCACCTCCTGGGTTCAACCGATTCTCCTGCCTCAGCCTCCCAAGTAGCTGGGATTACAGGCCCCCACCATTATGCCCAGCTAATTATTTTTTGTATTTTTAGTAGAGACGAGGTTTCATCATGTTGGCCAGGCTGGTCTCAAACTCTTAACCTCAGGTGATCCACCCACCTTGAACTCCCAAAGTGCTGGGATTACAGGCGTGAGCCACTAGGCCCGGCGGCTTTCAGCATTTCTAATGTGATATATTTATTTGTGGATCTCTTTGCATGTATCCTATTTAGAGTTTATTGAGCTTCCTGGGTATGTAGATTGTTTTTCAATAAATTCGTGACATTTTCAGCCATTATTTCTTCAACTATTTTTTTCTGTTTTGTTCTTTGTCTCCTTCTCTTCTGTATTCTGTTCTGCATATGTTGGCGTGCTTATGGTGTACCAGTCCTCTGAGGCTCTGTTTATTTTTCTTCATTCTATTTTCTCTCTGTTCTTTGGATTGCATAATCTCTATTGATTTATTAATATCTTCAAGTTGGCTAATTCTTTCTTCTGATTGTTCAGATTTACTGTTGAGCTCCACTAGTGAATTTTTCATTTTAGTAATTGTACTTTTCTTCTTCTTCTTTTTTTTTTTTTTTGAGATGGAGTTTTGCTCTGGTTGCCCAGGCTGGAGTGCAGTGGCGCAAGTTTGGCTCACTGCAACCTCTGCTTCCTGGGTTCAAGCAATTCTCCTGCCTCAGCCTCCCGAGTAGCTGAGATTACAGGCGCGTACCACCAAGCCTAATTTTTGTATTTTTAGTAGAGATGGGGTTTTGCCATGTTGGCCAGGCTGGTCTCGAACTCCTGACCTCAGGTGATCTGACTGCCTCGACCTCCCAGTGTGCTGGGATTACAAGTGTGAGGCACCGTGCCCCACTAGTTATTGTACTTTTCAACTCCAGAATTTCCATTTGGTTCTTTTTAAGAATAATTCTATCTCTGTATTAATATTTCTATTTGATGAGACATTATCATCATATCTTTCTTTACTTCTTCAATCACAGTTTTCTTTAGTTATTTCTGAACATATTTATAATGGTTGCTAGGAAATCTTTGTTAAATCTGATATCTGGTTGCTTTCACAGGCAGTTTCTGTTCCTGTTTTTTTTTTGTGTGTGTGTGTATGGATCACTCTTTTATTTCTTTTTATAGCTCTTAAGTTTCTCTGGGAAACTGGGCTTTTTAGACAATATATTGTCACATATCTGGCTACCGGTCATCCCCCTGCCCCTACCCAAGCTTGATACTGTTATTTACTTGTTTTGTTGTTTGGTGACTGGTTGGATTATTTTAGTGAATTCCCCCACCTGCCACAGTGTGAAGCCTCTGATGTTGCACCTTAAGGAGCGTTGCCTTGAGTGTACCCACAGTCATCCTGTAATGACAGTGGTTTTGGCGGGGCTCTCTTATCTATTTCTTTCTCTGACCACAGCTATCCGTTAAACTACGCTAATTCCTGGCTGATTGCTCTGTTGTTTTCAACAATGCCTTTTATGGAAAAACAAACCATGTTTTTCCTCTGCTCTTACACCAACACAACAACAATCAACACAGAAGACTTCTCTGACTCCTAAATACGTGGCTGTTTCTCCCCACCAGCAAGCAAGCAGTCAGTTCCGCAGTGGACACCAGCTAGGTGTCCTCCAACTCAATTCTGACGCTATTTATCTGGAGACAGTGTCAGATCCCACAGGTTGGGGGCTCAGTCCCCATAATTGCCTTGGCAGATTTGGGATTTGAATCCAGGCAGTCTTAGCTGTGAACCACCACACAAATCCACCTTTCTCCAAAGAATGGAGGCCTGAGCTCCCTTGTAACTTGGGGTAAATAATCTGGGCACATATCCTTGAGGAATAGCAGGACCAGAATGCTCTGCACAGGACTGGAAATGGCTGGGGGGAGGAAAACCAAGTCCCTGACAGTGTTGACCATTTCCTTCATCCTGTGAGGCAATGGGCTTGACCCTGCAATGTTCCCAGCACAAGTCTGAGGAGTGATGCAATAGAGAGTGGGTGAGTTGAGTAACCACTTGAAATTCCACTCCTCTCTTCCCTTTTCATAACAGGTGTCCTAACTTTCTGCCAAGCACACTCAGGTTTTCCATGTTCTGCTTAGAAGTTACCAACTGGCTGTTGGTTAGGCCTAGCAAATTATGTAGACTTCTTTTCGGCTAAGAATCATAGCAAGTTTATTCCCTCAGGGTAGGAAGGTCATATTTTTTCTTTAGGCTCCACCTTGGTCTTCCCTCGGAAGGGGAAATAGGAATTCTTTCTTCCTCAGGATGAGCTCGTATAAGGCCAGGCTCATTGATGATAAGAAGCAGAAATGGACTCAGCCTAAATTAAGACAAGGGAAGTGACAGGGCGGCCATGGCTGCCACAGGATGGAAGGGAAGGACTAGAACAGAGCTTAAACAGACAGGGGCCAGGCAGCTCAGATGGTTTTGGAAGCAGGGACGGTTCCACAGTCTTGCCTAGGTGCCATTACTGGGATGAATGAGCTTCCACCACTCCTTCTGTCCTTGTGTTTCTTACTCCATAGTCACATTCCTAGGAAAGCAAGTCCAAGCTTAGTTCTCATGCCTGCCTTTGGTTGCTGTAAGATGGCGAGAGGAAAGTCAGGCAGCGGCAGGGCACCTGGAAGACCCTTTTGTCTTAGGAATGGGATGGCGGATGCTGGGTTTACTCTCCACCAAGACTGTACAAAGTAGGTGCCAGATAATTCTCCAAAAGAAGATAGGCAGAGGAATAGGCAGTGCCAAATTCCCAGCACAGCTTGTGCTGGCAGGTGGGTACTGTCACTGTGGTACTTCCAAATAGGAAGAGATGTCTCTGACAGAATCAGGAACTGGATGGAGATTTACCCGTAGAAAAATGGTGACCTAAGTGAGATATGCTTTCCCCTTGCTCAGGCCGAAAACCCTGGGGTTCTTGCAACAGACTTCCAGCACGCCCCCCGTGGGTGCCTCTTGCCCTCTCCTGCCACTCATGGGAGCAGGACTGGTAGTATGAGGACACTAACAGGGGAAGTGACTGCCGTCATCTTGATTTCCTGTGTCTGAGCCTCTTATTCTGTGGTTAGATGGACACAAGGTCCCACAGTGGGGCCCCATTGCCCCCCTCTCACCCCCCTTTTTAGCCATGTTGAGTGGGTCTCTGTTTCTTGCTTCAAATGGAGCCTCTTGCTTCTCCAGCCCCAGATAGAGAGCCTGCACGCATGACTTTGTGCGTCTTTGTAAGCCCCACCAGGCCCTGGGTCGGGGAGATCTGAGTGTGAAGGGGCAGAGCCCGAGAACCTGCCCAGCTCCTTGCCTGGCTTGGGACCTCAATAAGCTCTGTCCACCCTCCACCCCAGGGATGACATTCCAAGTCCTGGGGGACCTGAGACCCACCCACCAGGAGCAGGTGTCCTGCGGCCTGGACCAGGTTTGGGCAGATTTGCTTGAATTCACTGTGGGTATTTCAAAAGTGTGCTTAGGGATGGGGCATTTCTTTTCTTTTTTTAAAGTTGTGGATTATTTCTCACATTTTGTATGAGGATCCTAATTCCGAAGTTGTTTTCTTTCTCCAACATGCTTGGGTCGTCTCATAAGGAACCCGCCTTAAAGGCAACGACACATATGCTGCCACCTAGTGGAGGAAAATGATCAGCTTCTACAACTGCGTAAAGTCACGAATCACTTAACCACAGAAATACAGATACGGTCTGAGAAACGCGTCTTTAGGTGATTTCATCGTTGTGCAAACATCATAGAGTGTACTCACACAAGCCTAGATAGTATCACACAAACCTAGATGGTATAGTCTACTTCACACCTAGGCTATATGGTATAGCCTATTTCACTGAGGCTACAACCCCCTACAGGGTGTTACTGTACTGATACCCTAGGCAATTGTAACATGCTAGTAAGTATTTGTGTCTAAACATATCTAAACATAGAAAAGGTACAGTAAAAATATGGTATCATAATCTTATGAAACCACTGTCATATATGTAGTCCATCTTTGACTGAAACGTCATTGTGTGGCACATAACTATGTGGAAAGAGAAATTGTATGGAAAGCTTCAGCGCTTCCAACCTCTTTCTTGTTTCCCTCACATCAACTGATATATGGGTCAACTTTTTATTAAAACAATTGGGTACTCATAGAAAATTTCACTTTATTTCCTAAACAATAGCTCATAAAAATGTGTACCATTTATTTAGGGTTTCCTATGTGCTAAACACTTTACGTACGTTCCCTCAATCCTCACTGCACTCCTATGAGCTACACATTGTTATTATTCCTATTTTGCAGATAAGGAAGGTGAGACTCAGAAAGATTAAATAACTTCCAACTTCCAGAGTTTACACACTTAACCAAGTCTGTCTTGCTTCACCTTTAACCTTAACAACATTTATTGACTAAAATTACACAAACATAAAAAAGGCATCCAAAATCCTGAAACTATCTCAAGTGCATTCCACAATTAATCAAATAAGTAAATATGTGGCAGAGAGTGAGAACCAGGTTTTTCACTGTTGAAAAAGCATAACAAATATGGAAAGGGGGAAGGTTAGAATACCCCCTATGGAGCTGGATTAGAATCAGAGGAATTGGTGTGAATGGATGGTTTATATACGTAGGTAGATATAGAAACTGTTATAGGTATATATATTAGGTAGATATAAAAACAGTTATAGTTATAGATATAACTATATATACATACACATACATATATAACTATAACAGTTTATCTACTATATATATGTGTTATAGGTATATATATTAGGTATATATATCAGCCATTAACTTCAGTGTTCATAGATGATTCTGTGGCCGGCAAGAACCATCAATGAACACTGAAGTTAATGGCTGCAAATGTGATGAGAAACAAAATATTTATATAGTCTCAAAGCCTCTTCACAAGAGACTTATTAATTGCAAAGGGAACAATAGCATAATAACTGTGCAGTGGACCAGTCTGGTAGGTACCACCTTTTCCAAGTGATCAAAGTTAAGATCACCAGGAACAAGATGTACCAGCATCCTGTGCCTCCTGCTGTGATGTACTGAGAAGGACTCACTGTCCCTTCTGTGGTGTTCTTGCCAAAAATGCGTAACTACAATCTAATAATGAGTAAACACTATACACACCCAAAGTGAGGAACATTCTACAAAATAATTGGCCACCACTCTTCAAAAGTGGCACCATCATGAAAGACAAAGACTGAGGAAGCTGTCCCAGATTGAATGAGACAACTCAGTGCAATGCAGGATCCTGGAACAGAAAAAGAACATTTGTGGGACAGTTGACAAAGTTTGAATAAAGTCTGGAGATCAGTTCACAGTATTGTATCAGTGTTCCTATCCTGGTTGTGAGAATTAGGATAATTATACGGTGCAGTGGTGCAGCTTTTTTTGGAAAGCTGGGTGAAGGGTATATAGTATTCTTTGTACCACTTTTGCAGTGTTTTCAAAGTCTAATATTATTTCAAAGCTAAAAACTAAAACAAGCTTACAATAAAAAATATGTAAGTAAAAATCCTTTAAAAAGACATGACAAAGTGTGTCAGATATTAGATTATCAAAAGCTAGGAACTCTCTGGGGCCAGAGCTCAAATTCTCTTGTTTTCAGTCTCTTTATCAAATGAAAACTTCTGTCTGCCTTCTACCTTTAGCATGACACAGAAGTAGAAAGAAGGGAAGTGTTTGGGCAAATGTTGAGCAACACACACACAGCAAATGCTCATTTGATGTTTTGGCTGAATCGTAGAACACAGTAGACTGTCTAAACCCTCTGTTCCTGTTCTGGAATGTTCTGATCATAGCTGCTGGCTTATGTCTATCTTATAGCGATCCCCAAAGCTGCACCCGGCGTGGTCCTGAGGATCACAGGACTTAGCATTTCCTGCTTCCACAATGCTGGCCCTTAAGGGATATACTTAGGGATCCAGAGGAAGCAGATTGTATCTGTTGAGTGCTTGAAATAATAATAGTGATGATGATTGATGATAATGATGATGATGATGATGATATCTAAGCTATCACATGCCAGGCACTGTTCCAAATGCTTCAATGCTTAAACCATCCCTGGGAGGAAGGGTCTGTTACTGCACACATTTACAGAGTGAGTGCATCGCTTAGGCTCTCTCGCTTCTCTACATGGCCCGTAAGTAGCGGAGCTGGGCTCTGACCCCACGCAGACTGCCTCTGGAGCCCACCTTCTGATGAATGAGAATGCACATGGGGCAGTGGGCTGAGTCATGGGACACATGCAAGGTGAGTTGGGGATTAGCCTCAACCCCTTTTGGCTTTGATAGAAATCCTTCTCAGAGACTCTCGGAACAGAGTGGTGGTAAAGCACCACCTGGGGCCTGTGGGAGGCCATTTTGGACCCAGTTCTCAGTTTCCAGGGCTGTAGATGTCCCTGGATGGGGCCAGCGCCTGGGGTCCCCCCACCACCCCACACCATACCAACTCTTGTTATTAGCCATTTATCTAGCCACTTAGCACTTTCTCTTGGAAGTGCCACGCTTTGGGACACTTGGAGGTTCTGACACGGGAGTTCCTGATAGTCTGCTTCTGGGTAGAGATAATCCTGATGACTGAGGTGCCTGAAACCCCTCCTGCTGCTGAGCTGAGCCCCGAGGTAGGACAAACACCCCTCTGGGCAAGTACAGAATGGAAACTGAAATAGAAATAAACTCCAACAAAAGCAAACTTCCTGGGGTTTTCCTCCTGCCTCCTCACACACACACCTCTGAAAGGTGTGTGTCTCAGAAGCAATGGCCTGGACCAGGAGTCCTGACCTTGCTGTGTGACTTTGAGCAAGGCCGGGCCCTCTTTAGGCTTCGGTGAACTCAGCTGTGAGTGAGGGGTAGGATTTGATGATTTCCAGCGTCTCTGCTTCCAGTGCCTTCACGTTATGGCACCCAGGGCTTGTGACAAGAGCAGAAGGAAGCCAGGCCCATTCCTGGTGGACTTGAAGGTGTTAGCTCTTTGTTCCCTGGAAGAGTGTGGCCACGGCATTAGGGAGGGCTTGCCACTGCTCTGTCCACACACAATTAGGGCTTAGGTGACTCAGAAGCGAACACACCATGTGTTAAAATAAGAGTTGGTGTTTCTGAGAAGGGAAGTCCAGGAGCTGACCAGGATGGGATTAGCTGTTGATAAGGGGCCCAGCATTGTTCTAGCTCTCCCCTGAGGCCCACACCACATCCTAGAAGAGAAGCCAGGTCCCTCGGCCCTACCAGGGCTGGGACAGTCGGGGCACAGCTGCAGGAGACGCCCTGGGAGGCTGTCTGGGCTGCGGCAGGAGGAGGCAGGGCAGGGCAGTGCAGTGGTTGGGAGGTGGCCACTCTGCCTCTGTTGAGTTTTCTGGCTTTGTCACTTGACGTTGATTCTCCCCCAGGGCCAGAGTGGGGTCAAGTGGGGACCATGGAGGAGGACATGAGATCCTAACAGGCGACCTCAAACTGCTGTACAAGCCCAGCAACCCTGACCGCTCCCCAACCCACAACCAGCAAAGGTCAAGGCCAGTGCCAAGGAGTGCGGGGAGGGCGGCGTGGGGGACTCTCCAGTTTAGACTCTTCAGTCTCGAAAAACAAAGGCTGACAGGAATGTGAGGAAACCACTGTTTACTCTGTTTTCAAGGGTGTTCCACTGAAGTGTGTCCCGAGATGTTTCCAGAAGGAGGATGACGGGGGTGGTGCTGAAGAGGCTCTGCCATGGGAACCGGAGCCGGAGATGCCGGCCAGAACTCTGGGTTCTCTGGAAGTGGTGGGAGGAAACCCGCAGGAGGGAAGAGGCCATCTCTCCTTTAACTCCTAGGGGAACAGACCGCAGGGGCTGAGGGTGCTAGCCCTTTCTGAAGCTGAGAGGGAGCCGGAAAGGAAGGGACTCAGGGGATCTCATGGGAGCCAGAAGGGCCCAGACTTAGGATCCGAAATTGTGCCTATGAGAGTGGTGAGCATTGGAGACTCTCCCAGGGGTTGGTTGGTGGCAGGCGACATGAATCTGTGAATGCTGGCTTAGCTTTAGAGGGACTGAGGGTGAGGATGTCACAGAGCCCAAGGGCAGGATTCAGAGCCCAGCCTCCAGGAGGACAAGAATGGGGACATTCCTTGGGGACAAAGTTGGGCTGTCAGTCACTGTCTCAGACCTTCTCTCCGGCCTGTCTGGTTGCCCGTCTCCGCTGTGCGCCTGCAGACCCTGCCTGATCATTGCTGCTCATGGTTTCAAAATGTGTTTCCTCAGATGGTGGCCCCAGGCCCTGAGCCTTGTGATCTTCTGGATATAGAGCTCATGCAGCCAGCTAACCAGAGACCCTGTGCCTCAGCCCCAGGCCCTGAGCCTTGTGATCTTCTGGATATAGAGCTCATGCAGCCAGCTAACCAGAGACCCTGTGCCTCAGCCCCAGGCCCTGAGCCTTGTGATCTTCTGGATATAGAGCTCATGCAGCCAGCTAACCAGAGACCCTGTGCCTCAGCCCCAGGCCCTGAGCCTTGTGATCTTCTGGATATAGAGCTCATGCAGCCAGCTAACCAGAGACCCTGTGTCTCAGCCCCAGATCCTAGAAAGAGAATGTGATTGTTCCAGACTGGCCGGGGATTCGCCCCCTAGTTTAGCGGGCTTGGCCGCGCGGTAGGCCCACAGGAACAACGCAGGGGCCCTCCACTTCCCCTCCAGCTGTGGGCAAGGGCAGTTCTTGCGTCCCAAAGAGGGAACCTAAAGAAAAAAGGGAAATATGGGAGGCAGGAGACTGGGTGGAACCAGAAGTGGAGGATGGGGCCACGGAGACCTCCTGAAGCTGGGCTCGCAGGGAGTTCAGGGGAGAGCCGGAAGGAGTGGGGTCGGATTAGGGACAACACAAGGACCCACACCCACGAGCTGTACAGTTCATTCCTAGATAACGACGACTGGTTTGGGCTTTTATAAACTAAAATTTCCCCTGAAGATAATCTATAACCCAACTGCCACTGATACAGTGAAAAAGTCTGGCTTCTCTAGGAAGCCATTTAGCTCAAGGTAACCTCAAGAAGAGAAACAGAGAGGTTTAGGAGTGACAAAGTTTTCATGGCCAAGATGGAAATGTCCTGCCTAGAAAGAGGCCATAAGGAAAAAGTCTAGAAGTGTATATGTGTGTGAACCTGGACCCCACCGCACCCCAGTGAAATCAGAATCTCGGGGGGGTGGGACTGGCCAGGTGATTCCCATATGCACCCAGGATTTCAAATCACTGGCCTAGGAACAGCTGACAGGTCATTCCCCTTTTCTCCATGACAGGAGCTCAGATGTTTGGAGATTGCCAATAGAAGTCAATGTGGCAGAGCTTGCTCTGTTTCCTGGGCCGTGGGCTCTGGGAACTGGCATCTCAGAGCCTCATGGCCCGAGAAGCTGTGTAGCTACCCCTGTTCCTATTGGTGAAGCCACCCAGCACCCTTAGTAGAGCAGCTCTGTCCTATCCCCACTGGGTGTTCAGGCAGTAAAGATGGGGGGTTGTGCTCAAAGAGCCACAACCATCCTGGTTTTCTGGAACTATCCCAGTTTCAGTACTGAATGTCCTGTGTCCCAGGAAACCCTACAGTCTGTGTAAACTGGGGCATTGGTCACACAGTGGCACTCAGCTGAGGGTCAGGAGAGCCCAGCTGACGTCTTTCAGCCCTGACACAGGCCCCACACCCACGTTCCACAGCGGCTCCTGGCCTGGGAGCTCCAAGCCTGGCATCATTCTCGGCGCTGGGCTCTCCCTTGTCCTGGAGAATGTTGACTTTTCTCACACCCACACATACACATGCACAAGCAAGAAGGAAAAAAAATGCAGGCATTGTTCAGACTTATAGCAGGTTATATTCTAGGAAAAGGTGGTGTAAGTCAAAAAGATAAAAATTGAATCCATTTTCCCACAGAAACAATACCTTGATGAGAAATCCTGAGCCAGGGAAAGAAGTCTATAAAAAGTTCTGTCCTGGTCACAAAAAATTTCCCTAAACCCCTCTAAATATCTCTGTTAGGTTAATACTAGGCAAAATGGTCTCCTAGAGAAATCAGCCCCCTAACATAATTAACTGTAAATTAAAACCTCTACCCTCTGCAGTGTGAGTGCTCTCAAATGCATATACCTCAAAGGAAAAGAGCAAATCAGTACTCAGCCATGGGCAGTGTTATTTTATTTGTTGAAACGATTCCACATGTGAAGGGCCACTCAAGCTAGAGTGGTGGTTCTCAACCTTGGCTGGGCCTTGGAGTCACGGGAGCTGTTGCACCTGCTGGTACTTGGTCCCGACCCTGGACAAGCTGATGAACTGCAGTGTGGCTTGGACACAGGGAGTTTTCGAAGCTCCACAAGTGATCCCAGTGTGCTGCCAGGGCAGGGCACCACTGGGACAGAGGAGGCTACAAGGCCTGGAAGAAGCACCTGGAGGAGCTGATGTGTGGTGGCTATACCTGGGGCTGAGAGCCAACGAGATCTGCTGGGAAGGTGGGGGCGTGGAGGAAAAGCTGCCTGAGCTCTGGGGTCCAGGCCTAGGGTCTTGAGTGCTGGAACATTGAGACACATGCTAACTGAAAATGAACCCTTAGCAGTCATCCAAGTCAATCCTGTCATTTTGCAGATGGGGAAATAGATCTAGAGAGGTGAAGGGATATGCCCAAGTCCCCCAGTGTTTAGAAGGAAAATTAAACATAGGTAGGCTGAGTGCGGTGGCTCACCCCTGTAAGCCTAGCACTTTGGGAGGCCGAGGCAGGCGGATCCCTTGAGCCCTGGAGTTCAAGACCAGCCTGGCCAACGTGGTGAAACCCTGTCTCTACAAAAAAAATACAAAAATTAGCTGGGCGTGGTGGCATGTGCCTGTAGTCCTAGCTACTCAAGAGGCTGAGGTGGGAGGATCACTTGAGCCGGGGAGGTCGAGACTGCAGTGAGCCATGATCACACCACTGCACCCCAGCCTGAGTGACAGAGTGAGACCCTGTCTCAAAAAACCAAAACCAAACCAAAACAAAACAAAACAAAACAAAACTAGGTATTTTGATTCCTTGTCCTGTATGGTAAGTCCTTACTTAACATTGTCAATAGGCTCCTGGAAACTGCAACTTCAAGTGAAATGGCATACAGTGGGTCCTCAAATAGTGTCATTTCATTCACTATCATTTTGTTATAACGTTAATAAGAAAAAAAATTCGTTTCACTATACGTTCTTTTGCTTCAAGTTGCAATTTCCAAGAACCTATGGACAGCGTTAAGTAAGAACTTCCTGTACTGTTCGCATTGTGGTGGTTTTAAACTATGCCCGAAAATTCTTTGATACTCCTCCCTTCAAAAGGTGAAGCTTAATTCCCCTCCCCTTGAGTTTGGTCTGGACTTAGTGACTCATTTCTTTTTAAATGTTTGATTGTTTATTTATTTATTTATTTTAGAGTCAGTGTCTTGGTCTGTCACCCGGGCTGGAGTGCAGTGGTGCAATCATAGCTCGCTGCAGCCTCGACCTCCTAGGTTTAAGTGATCCTCCTGCCTCAGCCTCCTGAGCAGCTGGGACTACAGGTATGCACCACGCTGTCTGGTTAATTTTAAAATTTTTTGTGGAGATGAAATCTTGCTATGCTGCCCAGGCTGGTCTTGAACTCCCGACCTCAAGCAATTCTCCTGCCTCGGCCTCCCAAGTTGCTTGGATTACAGGTGTGAGCCATTGTGTCTGGCCAGTGACTCACTTCTGAAGACAGAATACAGGGGAAGTGATGGTATGTGACTTCAGAGATCAGATCATAAATGGCATTGTAGCTTCTGCCTTGTTTTCTCTCTTGTGTCATTCACTCTGGGGAAAGTCAGCTGACACTCGTGAGGATGCTCAAGTGGCCTTGTGGAGAGGCCCACGTGGTGATGGGCTGAGGCCTCTCTCCAGCAGCCTCAAGTGGGCACCATCTTGGAAGCAGACCCTTTCAACCCAGGCAAGCCTTTGGAGGACTGTAGTCCTGGCTGACGTCTTGACTGCAATCTCATGGGAATCCCTGAGCCAGAACCATTCAACTAAGTCACTCTTAATTATAATTCTTGACCTGCAGAAACAGAGAAAAAAAATAAAAGTTTATTGTTTTAGGCAGCTAAGTTTTGGGGCAGTTTGTTACACAGCAATTGATAATGAATACACATACCACCCTAAAATATAATCTTTCAGAGTCAATGACATCCACAAACTCGAGTATAGTGGGAGAATATGAATGAAAAGAATAGAAGGTGTAGCAACATATTCCTTCTAAGGAAGAGTAAGGCTGGAGGGGTAGGAAAATTACTCTCCACTAATCCTTTCTGTTTATGGAGACTGGTGGGGAATGGAGAAAAGAAAGATGCAAGCTTCAAGGCGCCTGGCAGTTTTTCACTCCGCTGATGCTTACAGCCTAGAGTAGATGGCTTTTGTCTTAGCAGAGCTCAGGAAGCAGACCTGATACTGAGGAATGGTGGAGAAACAGGACTGAGCAACTTTTAAGAATCATGTGTCTAATGTGTAATAATATCATTTGTGTTGGTGTGTGACAAAACTCTCCTGGTAACTTCTAAGCCTCCTGTGAAGTCCACTGCACACACAGAGGCCTTGAGGAGCCCTAAAAAGGGGGTCAGGTTTCCAGCATGGGTCCATGCTGAACTGGGGGTGGGGATTGAGTAAGGAGAGGCCCATGTGAGGCTGGGGGCTGAGTGGAAGCTGGAGCTCAGAGCCAGAGAGAGCAGGGAGCTCCTTATGCAGCCGCATGGGTCAGGGGAGGTCAGGACACAGAAGCCATTCTGCATCTTGACAGCCTCAACCTGAATCCTGGGTGTGGGGGAAGAAGTGACAGGCATGGGAGTTCTTAGAAGTCGGCCATGCACCTGCATCTGATGAAGCGCCACGTCCGTTCTTACTAACCCCTGAGAACAATCACTTCTGCTTCCCTTCTGCCTTCCAAGTCCTGTGCAAGATCCTCTTGTTGGCAAACTCTAACCTGGGAGCATGAGGAAGAGGACTGCGGGGAACGGTTTCCAGCCCTACGTAGACATGGTGGTGGTGACGTGTTGACACATGGGGGCTCCGCTTCGGACTTCGCAATGAATAAGGCCAGGGAACTGCAGCTGATGGCTGGGTCATCCGAGAGACCTTCAATCTTTACTTTCTATAATGACAGAGCAAACCATTCTATTTGCTATTTACTTTCCTGATGGTATCTTCAAGAAACTTCTGGAAATAGGTCTTTGTGTCAACCAGAAACTGCTGGTCAGAGGATAAGTTCTGGAGTTTTCTTGTAGAGCATGGAGACTGCAGTTAATAATAACATATCATATACTTGAAGATTGCTGAGAGTAGATTCTAAACATTATTATTTATTTATTTTCTTAGTTTTTTCGCCCCACTTCAATAAGCTAGTCGAAGACAGTAGATTTTAAATGTTCTCACCACAAAAAATGGTTAAGTATGTGGGATGATAAATATGTTTGATTTACTCATTCCACAGTGTGTACGTATATCAAAGTATCATGTTGTAAACTATAAATAAATATCATTTCTTATTTGTCAATTAAAAGTGTAACACACACATATGCATGCACACTATATATAAATACATCTTTTAAAACTGCTGGTCAGGAATCAGACGGCCTCCACGGGTGGTGTCACAGGGCTGCCCCCCGCAGCCTCCCTCATGGTTCTGAGCCCTCCTCAGTCACTCTTTTGTTTAATGCTTTAATCCCTGCTTTAAGTAGGAAGCTTCCCTTCAGCTCATGGGAGGCCCTTATCTTACCGGTGGTCAAATAGATATGGGAAACATTGCCTGCTCTGTTTTTGGTGATTGGCGGTGCACGTGAGTATATTAAAGACTCTAAAAACGCATTTTTCAGAGCATGTCTATGACAGCTTGCAGTGTTGGATGTGAATGGCTTCTTCAATGCCAATGTGCAATTAAACGGGAGGAACAGAGATGCTGTCTTGGGAAGTACAGACACAGGGAGAAAAGAGTCATGAGGCTGGCTAGTGACGAAGACAACTCAAGAAGACTTTGTGTACACTTGCCACGTTACGTCACGCAAGATAGGAGTTGTCAATAATTTCCAAATTAATATATTGCACAAAAGGCCTGGGAGTTATTGTTGCTGTCGACAGCACAGTGTTGGTGAGTGCCCCTCCCTAGCATGTAAGATAACATCTGTCTCGGCCTCTGTAATTAAGAACAGATGCGAATCCATTTCAACCTTTCCATGCTCTAGGAGGAAAGGGCTGCCATGCAAATGAGTCAAGCAGGCAAGTGTGCACTACAAATCTTTTCACTTCGGAAGGGCAAATATTGATTTCAAACTTCCTAGAAGTACCTGTTTGAAGCCCTGTCAGTAGCCCAACAGATTCAGAAAAGATATCCTTCCCCGCTTTAGACACCCGACCACCACTTGCCAGAGAACAGTCATAGATGTTCAAATTCCCCATCACGACCATGTGAAGGGGCCACTAGAGCTTGCAGTGCACTTGCGACACCTATGGGCATGGAATCTCCATATTTTCAAGACATACCACGGGTGGTTCATGTTCTGAGGGTTGTCTGATGGAGGACATTCTATCAGCTTTTACTTGGATCTATTGAATGTCCTTTGACGACAAACACTATTCTCCAAAAAATTTCCACTTTTTATTCTCTCTTAATTCCTTTCTCTCCTCTGTCTGCTGTCATCTGATTGATAAAAATCCTACTAGCTGCCTGCCCTGTCCTGTCCTATTCATAGGGACAGCCACCTACCTCTGTGGGCTTCTCTTCTCCCTCTCCCAGCTGCCTGTCCTGTCCTGGTCCCTTTTTTTTTTTTTTTTTTGAGACAGTGTCTCACTCTGTTGCCCAGGCTGGAGTGCAGTGGCGTGGTCTTGGCTCACTGCAAGCTCCTCCTCCCGGGTTCACGCCATTCTCCTGCCTCAGCCTCCCACGTAGCTGGGACTACAGGCGCCCGCCATCACACCTGGCTAATTTTTTTGTATTTTTAGCAGAGACAGGGTTTCACCGTGTTAGCCAGGATGGTCTCCATCTCCTGACCTCGTGATCTGCCCGCCTAGGCCTCCCAAAGTGCTGGGATTACAGGCGTGAGCCACCTTGCCTGGCCTGTCCTGGTCCCTTGAGGTGGCTTTCCTCCCTGAATCTGCTCCTGTACAGTCCTTATGGTCCCCTGATTTGCATCTTTGCTCCTTCCTCCCCAGGCTGTGGGAACCTCCAAGAGAAGGGAGACGGAGAGCCCTGCTCAGAACAAGTGGCCTATGAAGCTGTGGCTGGGTCCCCAGGGTCCTCGGCCTTCCTTGTTCATGGAGGGGGTGTCCTGTGGGTGTGGGGACAGTGGGCTCAGGTGGTCGGGCCAGCAGTGAGGTCTGGCGAGTGAGCTGGTCAAGCAGGCAGAGTAACCAGAGGTGAAGATGAACGCCATGGATTTGGGCACGCAAGAGCTGGCTCCTGGGAAAATCAGCTAGGGCTGGCAGCTTAAGACAGAAAGGTTCTCCTAAGTCCAGGGAAGGGGGTCAAAGTCCACAAAGCAAGGACCTTGCCCTCACCCTCCCAGTAAGTGACACATAGATTAGGTCAGATACTTGAGCGGGGCTGTGAGACTTAGGCACATCCCACGTGTGGCAGATACTGATGGGGTGAGACGCTGAACCTGGAATGGAGCTCTAAATTTGAATTCCAGTTCAGCAGTAAACTCACCACATGACCTTGGAAGAGACCGTGCACCTCCCTGAGCCACAGAGCCCTTTACTGCAAGCTGAGGATAACACCCGTCCTCTGCACCCCAGAAGTGTGTTGGGAGGAGAAAAGGTTAGAAGCCTGGGGGTTCCTTGTAAGCAGTGATGAATGGAGGGGTCTGTGAAGGGTGGCTGAAAATCAGGGTGCTCCAGGCCAGGGGCAGGGATCCTGGCAGTGGAGTGGGAGAGAGATTCAAGAACAGAGTCTCTCCAGGTTTTGCCATCTGTAGAGGTCAGAAGCACCCTGCCTTGACCTTGGGCTATTTCTAGAGAGCTGGCCAGGCATCTCTCATGATGGCAGCAGCTGGCTGCCTCTCCTCTGGTGCTGGCTGCCTGCTCCTTGGCTCTGGCTGGACCTGCTCCAGGTTGAGGTCTCACCAGTTGAGCTGTCAGAGCCAAGGTAGGACAGAACCCAGGCTGAGCCCTCTGGAGAACCCGCAGTATCTCAGAGGCACTTTAGCTTCTGAAGCGAGGAGAAAGCCTTGCAAGTTTAGTCCACGGTAGCCTGGAAGAAGCCGTCTCACTGGGGAGTTGGAGTTGGTCAATATTTCCTACCCCCATCACCACCACAACTTTACAATTGCTTCAGGCATTAATTACCCTTTGCAACAGCCTTCTCATCAAGTCACTTCTCCATTCAACAAATTCTTAGTAAGGGCCGATGTGGCCCCCATAGAGCTTACAACTGAGTGCATCGACAAGAAAATAAACATGAAAAAAATATAATTCTGACTTGTGGTAAGAGCTCATAAGGAAGTGAACTGGGTGCAGTGTAGTTGGGTGGTAAGGGAAGGGGCTCTCTGGAGAAATACCACTGAAGCTGAGGCTCGAAGGATGAGAAGGGGCCAGCTAAGTGAATAGTGGGGGGATAGGAAGGTGTTCCAGGCAGAGGGAACAACACATGCAAAAGCTTAATGGCAGGAGAGGGCTCAGGGCCTTAGAGATATAAAGGAGGTGAGGGGGACTAGACTGTAATGAGTGAGGAAGACAGAGTGGGAGACCAGTCAGAGAGACAGGCAGGGGCTAGATTGGGCAGGGCCTTTTAGGCCAGGGGAAGGAGCTGGGATTGTCTTCCAAGTACAATGGGAAATGCTAAAGGGTTTTAAGGAGAGAGTGATGGCATCTAATTTGCACCGTGAAAGGTTACTTTGCTCTGTGGAGAGACAGAAGAATAGAAGTAGGAAGACTCTGAAGTAGTTTGGGTGACTTAGACTATGATAATGTAGCAGACAGGATAAGCTAGGTTGTGCTGCAGTAACAGACAGCCCCCATTTCAATGGCTTAACATAACAAAGATTTATTTCTCTGTCATGCATCAGCAGAAGGGCTCTGTTGATCTTACTCACTCAGGAATCCAGGTATGGGTCTCATCTGGACATGATGTCCATAATCCCCATGAAAGGAGACAGGAAGTATATTGGTTCTTTAAATTACCACCAGAAGTGACAGATATCTCTTCACATGTCATTGGCCAAACAGGTCACAGAGGCAAGCCTAACTTCATATCAAGTGGGAGAGTGCCATCATGCCACAAACCCAGAAAAACTGTGTCACACTAATGACCACCACAGACCAGGAGAGTGAAGACAGAGAGAAGCAAATGAATCCAAGGTACATTTTGGAAGCGTCAGCTGAACAATTACAAGGGTCATATATTTAGACAGGAGAACTTTATTTCTCCTAAAGAATTGTAGCTTGCAGGGTACCCATTCTGACAAGCTGGGAAGTGTAGCCTTGGGTCAGAAGCTGAGAACAGGCACTTTGAGGCTGGGAAGACTAAGACAGGGATTTATACTGAATGGGATGGCCAAATATAAGCATATTATGTGCAACTGAGGATCATGCCTCTCTGCGGGTCCCATGTTAAAAAAATGGTAGCATTAGCATGATCCAAGGGTAGAGGTTTTGGTTCTCTGGTGTCAAAAGGTAAAGCAGAGGACATGAAAACCCTCACTGTGCATCCTTACAGGTTGGTTTCAACCTGGCTGGTTGAATTCAAGGGCACAGCAAGTCTTTTGAAAGGCTGGTCACTGTTTAGCCCTTAGGGAAGAAAGCCTTGTGGTGGTTAGTGAAGAAGGGCGGATAAGGAAGCCTGTCTCACCTCTGGTTGCATCGTGGCTGGGAATTCAGTTTCCAAGGTTTCTCTGAGGTCCTTTAGACCGAGAAGGGATCTATTCACTTAGTTGGGGCTGGATTTCATTTTTATTTCTCAGAAGTAAAAGTGACAGGCCTTCCTGATGAGTTGTATGTAGAGCAGGGGGAGGAGATAGGAGAGTCTGATGATTCCCAGGTTCCTCAGGGCCTGGTGCTTGGTGGTCCCATTTGCTAGAGCAGGGGCTGGAACGAAAGGCATGGAGCTGGACATGCGCCAGTGTGGAAACTGGATTATGTAAATCTGGAGTTTGGGAAAGGGGGTTCGGGCTGGAGGTACAAATTTGGGTGTCATCAAATATAGATAGTGATGAGTGCTTCAGGAATGGATGGCTCTTGGGCCTTAGAATTCAGACTGAAACTTACACCACTGGCTTCCCTGGTTGTCCATCCTTTGAACTCGGACTGAATTACACCACTGACTTTTCTGGTTCTCCAGCTTATGGACAGCAGATGGTGGGACTCTTTGGCCTCCATAATCACATGAGCCTCTTCCTATAATAAATTTCCTTACATATATGTAATATATGTGTGTGTCCTGTTGATTCTGTTTCTCTGGAGAACCCTGACTAATAATACACTATTTCCTCCCAAAACTTTTTTTTTTTTAATACCAGTTTGCATTTCCACCAACAATATTTAAGAGTCCTCTTTTCCCATCCTTCACTAATACTGAAAAATCTTTCCGGCTGGGCGTGGCTCATGCCTATAATCTCAGCACTGTGGGAGGCCGAGGCAAGTGGATCACATGAGGCCAGGCATTTGAGACCAGCCTGGCCAACATGGCGAAACCCCTCCTCTACTAAAAATACAAGAATTAATGTGGCATGGTGGCGCACACCTGTAATCCCAGCTTCTTGGGAGGCTGAGGCAGGAGAATCACTTGAACCCGGAAGGTGGAGGTTGCAGTGAGCCGAGATCATGCTGCTGCACCCCAGCCTTGGTGGCAGAGCAAGACTCTGTCTCAAAAAAAAAAAAAAAAGAAAAAAGAAAAATATTTCTGAATCCTTGTGGCTGTTGCTCTAAAGTTCAGCACAGTGGAAGCGCAGAGACTCGGAAGCAGGCTGACTTTGGCTGCAATCCTGGCTTCTGCTTGTTTCTAGTTTTGGGCCTTCTAGTGGGCAACTTACGTAACCTCTGTGAGCCTTGTTTTTCATAGCTGCAGAGTGGGATTAATGATTGTATTAATTAAAATCCTTTCAGTGGCAATTACCAGAACGACCACTGGCTAGCTTACTGGGCCTTTATTAGAAGGGCCTGGGGGTGCCTCATGGCTTCTGAGGCAGGGCAGGGCCACCTAACTTCAGCAGGGCCCGAAAGGCCAGATCCAGGCGGTCAGCAGCAGATTCAAGGACTTCCCCTGTAGAGCTGGGCTGCTCAAATTCTGTGGTTGGAGGACCAACTCTTTAAAAACTTCAAATGTTATATTCCAGTGCTTTTGGAGATGCCATAAAATTCAATGACTGGAAAAATGAAATTAAAAAACATGCACAAAACAAACCCCATTTTAAATTATTGGGTCTAACAGACATAAAGTTACTTTGTCAAATTGCTATAAGAGTTTCTAAAAGCTTACTCAATTTCTGTGCTTACCTGGTTGAAGACTGATGACAAACACTTCAGCATCTTCCCTAGCCTGAGATGACACTTGGGGCAGCACTGTTCACCCTAGAGCATTGCTAAAAGCAAGCTCACTTCCAAGTCTTTGCTCTCAGGTCAATATTCCACATTCTTGGAGGGAGAATCTGATTGCCACTGACTGTGTCAGATCTCAGAGGAGACAGAGCCATAGAGTATGTGCATCGCTTTGGGAAGACATTTTCATCTGTGGCCAGCCAAACCTGTTGAACACCCCATGTAATTTCCCACATTGTGACTATTGCCTTCTTTGTGTAGAATCTAGAAATCTACGTTTCCCAGTTTCTCTGGCTACTCACAGCATTTAGGTTTATGTTCATTCATGCTTGAGATTTTGACTCAAGAGTGGGTATGAAGCAGAGATGGGGCTTGGGGTGGTGATTTTGCTAACATGGGGAAGCCAGCGTAACTGAGATTTTGGGGTGCCAGCAAGACCAGCTCCATATCAGGCCAATTCAGTGGGGTCATAGGAGGCTCCTGGAAGCCCACCTAAAGCCTATTTCTCCAGCTGTCTAATGATTTTTGAGCTTTCTTTCTTTGCTTTTACGAGACAGGGTCTCGCTCTGTTGCCCAGGCTGGAGTGCAGTGGTGTGATCATAGTTCACTGCAGCCTCAAACTCCTGGGCTCAAGCAATCCTCCCACCTCCCTCCTGAGTAACTGAGACTACAGGTGTGCACAACCACACCTGGCTACTTTAAAGTGGAGATGGGGGTCTCACTATGTTGCCCAGGCTGGTCTCCAACTCTTGGCCTCAAGTGATCTTCTTGCCTCAGCCTCCTGGTTTCCTGACCTTTCTAATAATTTTAACTATATCCCTTTCTCTTTTGGATTCTGTTGTCTTCAGCCATGAACCTTGACCCATACAGGCCCATCCCCTTGCTGCTCAGTGCTCTCAATGACATTTCACAATGATGTGTCTTGCTGTAGGGATTCCATCCATTTTTCTGGGCACATGCAGGCTCTTTCAATCTGGAAATGTACATCTTTCAGTTCTGAGTAATTTTCTTAGATTTTTTTTTATTAGTTCCTTCCTTTTTCTTTTTCTGATCTCTTTGAAATCACTCTTCAGAAAGAGCAATTTGGATGTTGGACTTCCTATTTTGGTTTCTCTGATTTTCCATCATTTTTTCTTTTTGTTATACACTTTCAGGGAAATTTCCTCAATTTTATCTTCCACACTTCCTGTCGAGTTTTTCATTGCTGCTGTCATTTTTTTCCCCCACTGTTAAAAGCTTTAAGACATTCTCTCAGTGAGCCTTTAAAAACAGTATCTTGCTCCTATTTGGTGGAGACAGTAGCTTTTCTCCTGTCTCTGAAGATAGTAAATAAATATTATCAACATTAGTAACTGTCCTCTCGTCTCTCTCGTACACATTGTCTGTTCCTGGGTGTTTCTCATTCTGTTGGTTGGTGTCTCTGGCCCTGATGAGAGAGGTATTCCACTGGTGCTAGGTAGCTCTCGGCCATCTGCTTGCAATTAGAGTGAAGATCAGCCTCTGAGCCTGAGGAGGGGGCTTGTTAGCTTCAAGTCCAAGGCAGGGCAATGCTGGGCCACTGGGCCACTTACTGCAGGAAAGCCAGATGTCAAGGGCTTTAGAGCTTTCCTCTTGGGCTTCTCAGGGGTATAAGCCGGATGCTTTGGGTTAAGCTACACTTAGGTTTGTCCAAGCACACTTTCCAGTATGCTGGGCTTCCCCAGAGCTTCCTCATCTCCTGCCTGGAGGCAAGGACCCAGCTGCTGTTGCCCTGGGTGGCTCAGCATGCAGCAGGCAGCAAAACTCCTTGTTTCTCTTCTGCAGCTCACACCCTCGCCTGTGCCAGCTGACCTCCAGCCGCGGAGACCCTCAATTTCCCCCTTTCCAGAGAAGACAGGTTGGGTCTCAGCTGGGTGGGGAGGACAGCTCCCTGGTGTTGCAGAGGAAGGGAGAGCATCTGGGGTGCTGGTGGCCTCCCACACAGCTTTCCCCTCACCCTCCTCCATTCAGGCCCCCTTTGCCTTGACCTTAGAAGTTCCAGGGGCTGCCAGTTCCTGAGCCCCTGAGGATTCTGCAGTGCAGATCTGTATTCTTCTCAGCTTTCCCCACCTCAGCATCAGCTCTTCCTGGGTTCTGTTAAACTAGTCCCCATGCATTCATCTGCTTTCAGCTTCCAAAGTTTGGTTGCAATGCCCTCTCTTATGTTTTCCCCATCCTTTTGGTTTATATATGCATTTTCTCAATCTCTTTACTATAATGCTGGTGGGGTTTCAGGAGGGAGAAAAGTTGAATGTGTGGGCTCAACCTGACATCTTGACCTGGAAACTCCCAATCAGCTTTTTAGTATCATCCCCTTAAATAGAAGATAACAGCCAAAGGTCAGTGAATGATTGAGGAAAGCCTGTATGTGAATATCAAGAGAAAAAGCCAAGCCAAACAAAAGCAGAACAAGCTCCAGGGAAAGGAAAACAAGGAAGGGAACTAGAGGAACACTTCAAAAATGTATGGTAGCAACAACTTATTTATGGGATGGTCAGTATATACGGTTTTAGTTTGGAAATGGATAACCAGAGAACTCGAGGGACAAGTAATCTTTTAAAAAAGCAAAGACACATAAAGATGCACATAAAAGAATGTTTATCACAACATGGTTTCTAATAGTAGAAGATGTATACAACTTAAATGTCTAAGAATAAAGGAACATTTTAATAAGTTATAGTATATAATTATAGTGGAATACCGTGCAGCCATTCAAAGCGAGGTGGTAGATGCTGGTGTGGTGGTGTGTGCCCATAGCTGGACTATAGTGCCAGCTACTCTGGAGGCTGAGGTGGGAGGATTGCTTGAGCCCAGGAGTTTGAGACCAGCCTGGGCAACAGAGCCAGACCCTATTGCTTAAAAAAAAGATGTGATAGAAATGAATTTATACAAATGGGGCCAGGTGTGGTGGCTCACGTCTATAGTTTCAGCACTTTGGGAGGCTGAGGTAGGAGGATTGCTTGAGCCCAGGAGTTTGAGACCAGCTTTGGCAACATAGTGAGACCTTGTCTCTACTGAAAAAAAAAAATTAATTGGTCATGGTGGCATACACCTGTAGTTCTAGCTACTTGGGAAGCTGAGGCTGGAGAATCACTTGAGCCTGGGAGATTGAGGCTGCAGTGAGGCATGATTGCACCACTGCACTCCAGCCTGGGTGACAGAGTGAGACTCTGTCTCAAAATAATAACAATAATAATGGAAAATTACTCACAGTATATCACCAAAAATTAGAGTACAGAATCAAAATATTTACAGTAAAATCTCATTTTGGAAAAAATATGCACAGAAAAGTGTACAACTCCAATTAAAATACAAAGACTGTCAGACTGGATTTTATTTTATTTTATTTTATTTTTTGAGATGGAGTCTTGCTCTTGTCGCCCAGGCTGGAGTGCAATGGCGCGATCTCGGCTCACTGCAACCTCCACCTCCCAGGTTCAAACGATTCTCCTGCCTCAGCTTTCCTAGTAGCTGGGATTACAGCTAATTTTTTTTTGTATTTTCAGTAGAGACAGGGTTTCACCATGTTGGCCAGGCTGGTATCCTGACCTGAGGTGATCCACCTGCCTCGGCCTCCCAAAGTGATGGCATTATAGGCGTAAGCCATCGCGCCGGGCCCAGACTGTATTTTAGTACCCTTATATGCAGATAAAAATCTGGAAAACGATGTATCAAGAATATTAATAGTAGTTACCTGGAGGTAGTGGACTTATAGGTGAGCATTATTTTGTTCTTTGTACTTTTCTGTATTTTGTTAAATATTTTTCAAAATGCTTGTATTACTTTATAATTAGTATTCAGTGGTTTTTTTTGTGTTGCTTCTCATATTTATTCCATTTGATCTAATAATTTGTTTTCCAGAGAAAATAGTCATAGCAGATCAGATACATTACCTAAAATGTTTTAATTACATTGTAATTTAGAATCACAAAAGGATGGGAAACAAGCAAGCAAGCTAATAACTGAAAGCCCGAGATGTGTTAAATGGATTATTTTACATTTCTGTGTTGGAACACTCAGCCATTACAACAATACATGTGATAGAATATTTTTGATAAATAGCATATATCGGTGCAGATAGGTATGAGCTCAGTGTGCTTTGAAATAACTAAATATAGGTTAGATATATTTATGGAAAAAAACTTAAAGGAAGCATATGAAACTATTGTAAGTGGTTGTCTCAGGGTAATGGGATCCCCTACCTAAGCATGATTTCTGGGAGGGTTGAGATGGGGTCTCTCGTTCGCCATTCTATTCCCTGCTGCTTTAAGTATCTCTTGAATGAGTGCATGTATTACAGATGCTTTTGACTTTCTTCTTTTTACTTTCCTGTATATTCCAAAATTTCTACCATAAACATGTTTGTTTTTATAATCATAATACATTTTAAAACTTTAAATGAGGAAATGGGTAAATAAAAGGGAAAATATGGGAAAGTGGGAGGGTGCAAAAAATGTATCCTCCTCTGAATTGACTCCACTCCCCTGTGAGTGACAGGAGCCGGCGTTCTCCACGAGACCCTGTCTGCATCAGTCCATCTCCCCCACCCCACGCTAGGTCTGCCACCACCTCTCTGCGCTGGCAAATAATCTGCACTCAAAGGAAATAATTATGAGGCCCATGGTGGCCTCAATACCCGCAAGACCAAAGCCTGTGACAAGCGCAATGCTCCAAGCCTGGCCCAGGGAAGCAGAATGGAACTGCCACAGCCCCCACCAACCCAGATCCACCTACTCCAGGAAACCGGCCCAGTGCCAGGGCTTTGCGCCTGGGGTGGCCTAACATTTCCGCCCAAACTTGGGCCAATTTGAGAAGGTGGAGGGTGAGGTGTTTGGGGAAGGAGTGTGTTCCTGTTGCTCGTTGCCATCACCACCTGGAGGAGGAGAATGGAGTCGATCCAATGGAAGACGAAACTTTCTTTCTTTCTTTTCTTATTTTTCTCATTTGGGGAAAACACAGGGGTCTGCACCTCCGGGGTGCAATGGTGAGCCTCGCACTGGGAAAACCACCTTTGTGATCATGGTATCTCCCCTGTCAGGTAAGCATGAGCATAAACTTTGTGTACCCCTCCCATTTTCCCTTTTCTTTACACATTTCCTTGTTTAAAGTTTTAAAATTTATTGTGATTGTAAAAATAAACATGTTTATTGTAGAAATTTTAGAATAAAATTTCTGCCCACAGGAAGCCTGTGTCCCTGAACCCTTCTCCCGGGCCAAGATTGGACTGTTTGAGGAAGATGGAAAAAGTGCTCTGTGAGCAGGATTATGAAATGACAGGGAGGACGTGAGGGGCTTTCGAAACCCTGGGAAGGAAGATGCCCACGTGAATGGAAAGTAGAAAGAAGAAAGTCAAAAGCACCTGTAATACATTCACTCATTCAGCAGATACTTAGGAGCAGTCCCCAGGTCCTGGGAATAGAAGGGTGGACGAGAGGGTCACCCAGATTCTCCTCATTATAATAATAGCAATAGCTACCCCTCTGGGTCCTTGTATGTGCCAGGTCTTTACTATGTGTTAAGCAATTTTCATTTATTATCTCCCTTGATCTGTACAAAACCCATGAGGGAGGATTCATATTAAAATCTCTGTTTTACAGATGAGAAAACTGAGGCTTGGAATGGTGAAGGAGGTCACTGAAAGTCACACTGTGAGTTAAACTGCAAAGCTGTGAATGGAAAACCCCCTAAGGCCCTGCTCTTAGCTCCTCTTGGTTCCCTGTTGCAAAGAGGCATTCCCCAGGCAGCTGTGAGGTGGAAATCTCTGTCTTCAGGCTTGCGGCTGAGAAGTTTCCCAGAGACGAGAAGCTGGAGCCTTTGGAGACCCCACTCGGCTGAGGTCCCGGGACCACGAGGGGGCAGCAGAGGTCTGCTGCGCTGGCGGGAGGCTCTGTCCCCGGCTGACTGCAGGCTCCGGGCAGCTGTCCTGAGTTAAAACCTGAACCTCGGGTGGCCGAGAATAGCAAGGGGCTGTCATTCACGTGGGCATCTTCCTTCCCAGGGTTTCGAAAGCCCCTCACGTCATCCCTGTCATTTCATAATCCTGCTCACAGAGCACTTTTTCCATCTTCCTCAAACAGGTCTGATCTTGGCCCGGGAGAAGGGTTCAGGGACACAGGATTCCTGTGAGCAGTGTGTTAGATGCTGGGCTGGTCACTGGGGCCACGGAGATTAAAAAAAAAAATCCTCTATAAAACCCAGGACTTGCCCCCAAGGGAGACTGGCACCTAAATAAGTAACCGAGGTACACGATGCAAAGTGCAATAATAGACGGACATCTGCGATTCGGAGGCAGCACGAAGTGGGAGAAAGAGGGGCGGAATTAGAAGCCAGGGATTTGGCTTAAAGGTGGCCCGAGGTGTGCAGCTGCCTGCAAATGCCATCCTTCATGTGAGCTGAGGCACAGGAAGAGGCTGAGAAGTCCGGTCTAGAGGGATGTTGGGTAAATGGTCCCAGGTTGAAAAATATTAGATGCTGAAGGAATGTCAGATGGTCTCGAAATTGTGAGGTTTGCCTCTGAGTCCCAGGCAGGATGTGGGCTGGGATAGCTGAGGCAGGCCGAACCTAGGCTCAGGAAGATGGTGAGAGATTGTAAAAATAAACAGGTTTATTGTAGAAATTTTAGGGGTGGGGTTAGGAGGTCATTAGGAGGTCCAGGGTCAGGGTCAGTGGGCTTCAGGACCTGGCAAAGCCAGAGGGCATGAGAGCCAGCCTTGCCTACCCACTCCGGGCTGGGCCCACAGCTGCCACGACCCTTTGTCCCCAAGGGTGACAGGAGAGCTTGCACCAGCCCAGATGCTTCCTTCTCCAAAGACATGGACGGAGGGTCTCAGGCTTATACCAGCCAGGATTATTCCAGTGGGATTCCAGCTCTCCTCCTAGCCATGTCCTTCCCGCAAAAGTTTGAAGCGGGTCTGGCTGGGTGAGGTAACTCCTTGACAAACTGGACTCATTTTTGGCTGATGACCTGTGTGGTCCCTGAAGCTCTGTCCTCACCCAAGATTGGCCCAGAGGGGAGTGGAGGTGGAAGGGGAAGGCCAGGCATGGCTGCGGCACTCCATTTGCCCCCAGCAGCCTGGCGGTCTTCACTTGTGCTCACCCCACAGGCATTGTGGACACAGGTGTGTCACCAAAGGGCCATGAGGCTCCTGTGTCACGTGGGACACCCCTGCCTTGCCAATCTTTAATTTATTATTATTATTATTTTTCCGAGAAGGAATTTTGCTCTTGTCGCCCAGGCTGGAGTGCAGTGGCGTAATCTCGGCACTGCAACCTCCGCCTCCCAGGTTCAAGTGATTCTCCTGTCTCAGCCTCCTGAGTAGCGGGATTACAGGTGCCCACCACCACGCCTGGCTAATTTTTGTATTTTTAGTAGAGACGGGTTTCACCATGTTGGCCAGGCTGGTCTCGAACTCCTGACCTCAGGTGATCCATCTGCCTCGGCCTCCCAAAGTGCTGGGATTACAGGAGTGAGCCACTGCACCCGGCCATTAATTTTTTTCCCAGGCAGTCTCCCTCTGGGCAGGTGAGTCCCAGGTGGCAGTGTCCGGCAGCCATCCTCGGACTTCTTCCCCGCAGCATGGCCAAGGGCAAGGGAGAGGGAAGGGACGCAGGCCAGGGCATGACATACAGTGGCCCAACGTAGGAAAAACATTTTTTTTTGACCTCTCATTCATTTTCTTAAAAGTTCACATGCCTTTCACCTTCTTTTTAGTGCCTCCTGGCAAGTTTTATCATTAAAAACAATCTTTTTTAATGACTTGCATTTCCATTTAAAGCGATTTGTGTGACTGGTTTATTTGCTTAGTCTTAAGGTGATGTCACTGCAACAGGCACCATGGATTTAAGGATATATAAATCCTTACGTATCCTTTTTTCTTTTTTTGAGAAGCAAAAAACATGATCTCATTAGATGTTAAAATGTTAAAATTAGATATTAAATGTTAAAATATGGGGAAAATGCAGATCTTAGAACGAGGGAAATTCTTGTTGGTAATTTTCATCCTCCCAAAAAACTTCAGAATAAAATTGGTTCTCCCTGAAGATGTGTGACATTTGTACTTGGCTTCATGTCCTTATCCTGCAGTGTTGGGGGGCACAGGGTGAAGTCACGCTTGTTGTGAGCTGGCCCTGTATTTTCCCAGAGAGAATTCTTTCTGGCTACCCAGAATGTTCAAGGGCTGGAGTTCCAGTTAATTGAACCATTCTGGGTCAACAGCCGCTCTTGACAGATTTGAATTTTCAGCATTTGGAGTTAGAAATCTTTCTTAAGAATGTAATCTCATCAACAAGCATTCAGTGAGTACCGAATATGGACCTGTTTCTCTGCTTTTATGTTGTTGTCTCCAGAACATTCAGGGATCCTCATTCAAGCAGTTGACAATTTCATGGAGTTCCTCAAGGCCTTTGTAACTGACACCAGTTTTCTAGAACTGGAAATGAGAGAAAGGAGAGATGGGGCTGCATGAGACGATTCTGTGGGCGTGCTGTACTTTTTTGCCAAGCACTTTGTCACCTGTCATCTCATTTGTTTCTTACAACAATGCTGTGAATATTATTACCAGGCTCTGACGGGTGAAGCAGCTTGCACCTTGCCTGGCACCATGTGTCTGGGTGGGTGCAGAAGGGAATTTCCTCCAGGCTCCCAGGCCTCCCTCTTCCTCATTAGGCTTCTTGGGTGGGGGAAACATCTGGGCAGCTTTGGTTTCATTGGTTTGTTCTAAGAAAACTCAATTGCTTTTTTTTTTTTTTTGAGACAGAGTCTCGCTCTGTCACCCAGGCTGGAGTGCAGTGGCGCGATCTCGGCTCACTGCAAGCTCCGCCTCCTGGGTTCACGCCATTCTCCTGCCTCAGCCTCCCGAGTAGCTGGGACTACAGGCGCCCACCACCACGCCCAGCTAATTTTTTTGTATTTTTAGTAGAGACGGGGTTTCACCGTGTTAGCCAGGATGGTCTCATCTCCTGACCTCGTGATCCGCCTGCCTCGGCCTCCCAAAGTGCTGGGATTACAGGCTTGAGCCACTGCGCCCGGCCTCGATTGCTTTTTTTTTTTTGCAACTTTTCCCCCACACTGAAGACCAACCCCCATATAACTCCAAGACACAGAAGAGAGAGCGGGAAAGAGACCTCTGTGGCTTGGGGTTGCATGTGGGCCTATGATAAAGGCCTATGTAAGTATATTCAACCAATAACAATCTGTTATTATTTGGCCCTGGCCAAATAGTTATAACTAATATTTGTTTGAGCCCCAGCTGTGTGCTCAGCACTGGGCAAAGAAGTGACTATGTGTCTACAGAGGACCCAGTCAGGCCTGCTCAGCCTGAGCTCTGCCATGCCTCCTTGGCCTGCCCTGAGGTCCTCCTGGTCAGGGAGCTGGATGTGTGGGCTGTGAGGCCATCTGCTAGCACAGTGGTGTTAGCTCAGTGGGGTGGCAGGGCTGCTGGAACCCAAGGATGGCACTGATGAATCTGTTTGGGGAGAGGGTGGGGCCCCTGGAGAGGACATTTCACAGAGGAGGTGACATTTTAGTGGTCCTCTGAAGAGTGAAAGGAATTCTCCACGTAGACAGAGGGTGTTCCTGGCAGAGCAAAACTCAAAGAACATAGAGGATGGGATGGGTTATGAAAGTCCACATGTGTGCGTGTGTGCATGAGAGAGAGAGAGAGAGAGAGAGAGAGAGAGACTCCTATCTGCATTCATCTCTCTCTCCATGGTCTCTGGCTTCCCCCTCAACACCCTTCCCCAGCACTCCTGGCCTAGCCCTGGGCTTGGCAGGCCTCTCCCTGCTCCCTCTGGGCTCAGAGTTTCTGCCCTTCCACCCCACAAGTGCTTCTCTGTTCCCTCAGCCTCTACTGGCTTTCAGTTTGTCCTTTGAAAAAAAGCCGCCTTTGAATTTGTTCTTCCAAAGCCTGCCCTATGCTCGGCCTCCAGAAGGATGGACACTTGATCCCATCCATGGCTGGCCACAGGGCGTGGCCTTCGGAGCAGCTGCAAGGATAGTGTTGACTCCAGATGGAAAGTGTCTGGAGAATTCTGACCTGACATCACACCATCACGAACTGCACAGGCAGTCAGTGATCTGGGGGTGCCCAGGTGAAGCTGTTCCCAGCCTGGCTTCTTGTCAAAAGCTGGCTTTGAGTTGGAGTCCAGAACAAAAGCGTGGCCCAGGGAGAGGCCAGCTTCTCTGAGAGCAGCCTGGAGGCAAACGGGCGTCCTTCATATATTCCCTGTGATGTGAGCCCAGTGGAGGCCCTGCACTCACGGTACTGGCTGCAAGCGGGGCCCGGTATTGGCCTCTCTTGACTCTCCTGCCCACCCTGGGGCCTTGGCCATCTCTCCCCTCCCCGCTGGGCCTCCACTCCCAAAGGTTCTAAGTCCCCACATGTGGCCTCATGCAGCTCAGCCCTTCTGCCCTGCTGAGCCCTACTTAGCCAGGTGAAGAGCTGGGGTTATCCCAGCCACATGCTGGAGGATGAAAGGGGAGCGCCTCGCCACAGCTGACACCGGCACCCTGGGCCCCATCCCAGGACTCATCTTCAAGGCACCATCTGTCGCCTGTGTGGGCTAAGCAGGGACAGAGGGTTGGCACGGGGGCCCAGAGGGCAGGGCTAGGAGGGGAAGTCACAGGGGCCTGCACAGTGGTTTTCACCAAGTCTCTGTGGCGAGTGAATCCTCTTTGGCTTCTCTTCTCCTGCCACCATCTCCCACCCCAGGCAAAGTCTGTATCTGAGGCTGAAGAAGAAAGAGTTAGACCTGGCCAGCTCCTAGCAGGCTGGCGTCAGCTTCCTGACATCTAAGAGCATCCCCTTCTGGGGAAGCCAGAGGGCACAGCCAGATGGTCTGTAGCCCAGGGAAGAATCCAGTTCCAGGCACCACAGCGGTCACTGCAGAATCATGAGACAGGAGCTGGACACCGGGCATTGGGCCACAGGACAGGCTGCCTGAGGTTGGCACCCTGCTGGCTCTCTGCCTCCTCCCTGGGTGCAGGCTATCCTCAGAGCACAGAGCTGGACACAGCGGGAGGCTCCCCTGGGTAGGAGCAAATCCCCAGCAGGCCAGGGCCTTTGGGACAGGGACACATTCACAGGGACCAGGGAGCAGGAAGGCTCTCTGCACTCTTGGTGTCTGTGCCCATCACCTGCCATTTTGGAAGAAGCTAGTGGGTTGGAGAGAAGAGAGAAGGGGAAGGCGAGGGGCTTTGGGGATTGGGAGAAAAAAAAAGGAGTGGGAGGAAGGAGGAAAAAGAGAAAAGAGAATAATATAAAGAAGAGAGAGGAGGAGAAAGAAAAGGAGGAGAGGGGAGAGAAAGGGCTGGGCTACAGGTAACACAGACCCCAACATAACAGTGGCTCAAACAAAGAAGATGTAAGTTTCACTTAGATAACAATCATAAGTAGGAGGTCCAGGGCTGCTGCGGGAGCCCAGGAACCTTCTCCTTCCATTATTTTCAGGGTGTCAGCCTCATCGTCATGATCAAACATGCCCACCCCCAAACACAACAGTCTATTTCAAGCAGCAGGGTAGAGGAAGGGCACTGTACCCCACTTTATGGCCCAGCGCAGGAGCTGACACACCCCTTCCCCTGCCTCTCAATGGCCAGAATACACTCCCCATAGCTGCCCCCAACTGCAGGGGAGACTGGGAAATGCAGCCTTGGTTTTGAGCATCCACGTGTCCAGAATAAAAATCTCAATGCAAAAGGAGACAATAGATATTGGGGCCGAGGAAAGTATAGAGGAAGAGAAGCTCTTGGAAGGAGAAGAGGGAACAGGAAGGGAAGTGGGGTAGGCTCTCTGGAGTAGTTTGCGCCCTTGCCAGACCTGACCCCCAGCATGCCTGGCCCCCACTCCTGGGTGACTGGGTCTGAGGGGTCTATCATAAACAAGTTCCTTGAGGGCCAGAAGCCCTTCCCTTTCCCCAGAGATCAATGAACCTGCCACTGGGTGCCAGACCTGAAGTGGCTCTGGATTCCTTTGTGAAGGTCTCTGGAAAAAGATCTGCATCTAACAAAAGGAAAGAAGACAAAGTGCAGGGTTCTACTTTCCTACTTAGCCAAGAAGAGGCTCCAGACAGCCTTGTGATCCTGAAGAAGGACGTGATAAGTCATATTGAGTCATATTCTGCAGGATGCCAGGAAGGAACTTGTCTGGTTTTCTTCAAGGTATATAAAGGAACATAAAACTATCTTGATATGTGGGACTACCTCACATATCAATTAGTTTGCACTGGGCCACCCATAACAGAAAACCCAATTAGAACGTTCAGTAAGAGCATTTGTTATTGCTCAAAACAAGAAGTGCAGAGGAGGGCAGTTCCAGGATCAGTCAACCCAACAGCTCCATGATGTCTGGGCTCTGTCTCCATCTCCTAGGAATTCTCATAGTTTTTCCTTTGGGTTGTTATGTGGCAGCCTGACCTACAAGCATTATGTCCTTCTAAAATTGCTTTCAAAGGAAGTATTCTCCCCACCACTGTCATTTAATCTGGAAGGAAAACCTTTTCCAGAACCTCTCCACCAGAATTCCCCTTATCTTGGCCAAACTGTGTCACAATTGCTGGTAAGAGCAAATGAGATTACCCCTTCCCATGGGAGGGATTGTTTAGGACAATCCTGATTCATGATGGGGGAGCCACCTTCTCTGAGCACACTGCAGCTGGATCATGAACAAAGACAAATTCTGTTATCAAAATCATAGGAAGCAATGATTGTTGGTTTGGCCAAGAGCAGACATTAACAATCAATCTTAACTCTCTCATACAGTCATTACAAATCAAGCAAAGTTGGCACATGAGATAAAGCATATGTATTATCTCAGTCTTAGATAATGGGAAGTAAGGAAGCCGTAATTCAAGGCATCTTTAGTGACCCAGTTATCGTGTCATTGTCTCATGGAGTGCTTTTAAATTTGTCTGCAGACAGGGTGCGGTGTCTCACACCTGTAATCCCGACACTTTGGGAGGCTGAGGCAGGAGGATCACTTGAGGCCAAGAGTTTGAGACCAGCTTGGATAACACAGCAAGACACTATCTCTACAAAAAAAAAAAAAAAAAAAAATTAAAATAGCTGGGCATGGTGGTGTATGCCTGTGGTCCCTGCTACTTGGGAGGCTGAGGTGGGGGCATCACTTGAGCCCAGGAGTTTGAGGCTGCAGTGAGCTATGATCACGCCACTGCACTCCAGCTTGGGCAACAGAACAAGACTCTGTCTCTATAAACAAAAAATAAATAACATTTTTAAAAATTAAAAAAATATGTCCACAAATTCTTTGACATTCCTCCCTACAAAAGGTGGCAGCTAATTCCCCTCCTCTTGAATATGGGCTGGACTAGTGATTCATTTCTAAGGAATAGAAAGTAGCAGAATGATACTGTATGAGTTTTGAGACTATGTCCTAAAAGGCAGGATAGCTTTCACCCTGCTCTTTCTTGGACCACTTGCTGTGAGGGAGGCCAGCCACCATGCCATGAGGAAGCTCCAGCAGTCCTATGAAAAGACCACATGAGGAGGAACTGAGATCTCAGTTCCTGGCAACAGCCATGTGAAGGAGCCATTTGGAAGTGGATTTCCAGCCCCAGGCAAGCCTTCTGATGACTGTAGCACTGGCTGACATCTTGACTGCAACCCCATGAGACACCCCGCGCCAGAACCCCCAGCTAAACCACTTGCAAATTCCCTTCCCACAGAAACTCCCCACAGATGATAAATGTTTGTTGTTTGGAGCCACCAAATTTTGGGGTAATTTGTGCAGCCAGAGCTCACACTGTCACTAGGGTGAGGCAAATGGCACAACATCTAAGGAGATGCTCCCTTTCAGGGCTATGACAGTTCAGGGTCCACACATGACCCTGAGACGGAATGTCTTCTTAAATTCTGTTCCCTAGGCTCCTCGCTTGCCTCAGCCCCGCCCCAACCCTGTGTCTAGCAGCAGATATACCTCCACGGCCTTTTTCCCTCTTCTGAACATTCTCCAGCTTATGTTGGGAATCCACGCAGTTCATTTTTTTCCTCTTTCTCCTCTTGAGACAGAGTCTTGCTCTGCTGCCCAAGCTGGAGTGTTGTGGTGGAATTACGGCTCAGTGTAGCCTTGACCTCCTGAGCTCAAGGGATCCTCCCACCTCAGCCTCCTGAGTAGCTGGGACTACAGGTGTGTGCCACCATGCTCAGCTAATTTATTTTATTTTATTTTATTTTATTTTACTTTTTGTAGAGACAGCATCTTGCTATGTTGCCCAGGCTGGTTTTGAACCCCCAGGCTGGAGCAATCCTCCTGGCTCCCAAAGTGCTGGGATTACAGGCATGAGCCACTGCGCCCGGCTTTCATGTAGTTCTGAAGAAATTGGCTTCGGAACTGCATGGTTCTGGTTCCAAGGTGGAGCATGTGACTACGCCAGTCAGCACATTCCATTACCCTTTGGTCAGAGTGATTGGATCAGTGTGGCATGTGGCCCAGTCCTGTCCAATCAGAGTAGGTGGTGTCAGGCTTTATTGCTAGCAACATGGGGACAAATATGAACCCACTTTTCTGATGTTAGCAAGATAAGTGAAACTGTGCAGACTTCTGGCAGCCTTTTTGGGACCTCCAAGGGGAGCCAGTTCAGGGATAAAACTGATATCAGGAAACAGGGAAACTGGGTCCTTGGTGACATTGTTCAGCTGTTAGATTAACCTGAAGCCAGCCTCATCTCTGGACTTTTCAGCCCAGCAAGGTAAAAATTTCCCTTTTAAAATTTAAACCAGTGTGAGTCTGGTTTTCTGCTACAGGCAAAGGAAAGCACAAATGTGATGTTAAACACACGGAGGAGACCCCACATCAGTCACTCCCGCAGATGCTGCCAAGGATCCAGCTGCTCCACACTGTGCCGAGTGCATATCCAGATGTTCTGTCAAAGTGCTCTTGTTTCAGCCAGATGTTTAGTATCTTGTAGATGGAAGGTTAACTTGATTTAGTGCTTAAATGCAAACATCCTTCCCTCTCTCTCACCCACTCCCTAGGCCTGGTATCTGCCCACTCATAGCCCCTGCCATGTGGCTGTGCCCCATCCACATCCTGGGGCAGGCGCTATGTGTTGTATCTTGTAATAGCACCCCCTCGCTTGTCCTCATCCTCTCTAGCCATTTGGGCCAGGGATTGGGATCCAGCCCAGAGGGCCAGTCTAGAAGCAATAACCGATGTGTAGCTTGGCATGAAGAGATGCGCTGGGGCAGTCAGTCTTTCTTTGTCTCTCTGAGGTAAGAGATCTTGAAGAATGAGGCAGTTACAGGTAAAGCCACAAAGCAGAGATAGGCCCTAGAAGAACGTCAGGCAAGTGGAAGTGACGTGGAAGCAGAGATGAGGAGCAGGTGATGGCTACAAGGAAAGAAGAGCTATCCTAGAGTCCGGGGAAAGAATGAGAAGAGGATGGAGCAGATTCAGAGGGAAGCAGACTCCCGGAGAGAGGGGATGAGCCACTGAGAAGGAGATAGAGAGCAATCAGACAGGGCAGGCTAGGTTCTGCTGTGGAAACAACCCCAAATATCAGGGGCTAAGCCCAACAAGAGTTTCTTCTTGACCACGCATGACCTGTCCATCACAGGTCAGCAGGGAAGGCTCCGTGCACCATAGTCACATGGGAACGTAGGCTGATAGAGGCTGATGCGTGCTTCCACAGTTGCAGAGGCAGGTGAAGGAAGTTTAGCCAATTGTACACTGGCCCTTAAGGCTTCTGTCTAGAGTGACACATGCCCCTTCTGCTTACAATTCATTGACTAAAGCAAATCTCATGGCTGTGCCTAATTTTAAAGATGGAAGAGTCGTGCAATGCTACTGTCTGTGTGGAAAGAGGAGAAACAGGAATATCTGTGACCAGCTTTATTGACTGCCACAGAGTAGGGAGCTGGTCCCTAGAGCTGCCTCAGATCCCACAGGCTAAAATTTCATGTGGCCCTGCCATCCTGTGATCCTGGTTTATACTTACACAATGTTCCTCTTACCCCACACATGCTTCACAGTGCCCACCATCCTCCACGTACATTTGTGTATTTCTTGCAGCTTAAGACATCCCTCCCTAGACTTCTTCCTTCTTTTGAATGCTCCTTTCCCAACTGGGGGCTCCCTCCTTCAAACGGTCTAATGCGGCACAAATTCCTTTGTGTCTTTGTTTTGCAGCAAGGTGGGAGGATCTACAAACCCTTTTACTGGGGAATATCAGAGAAGACTGCCAGAAATTCTACTTGTACACATAAAGACCTTGTAGGTTCCCCTGGCAGACACTGTTAATAATACAAATCTATATGGTATTCTAGTGCTCACTATTTGCTAAGCACTGTGCTAAGAACTTTGAATTATCTCATTTAAAATACTTTTGGCTGGGTGCAGTGGCTCATGCTTGTAATCCCAGCACTTTGGAATGCAGAGGTAGGAGGATCGCTTGAGACCAGGAGTTTGAGACCAGCCTGGGCAATATAGCAAGACCCCCATCTCTAAAAAAAATTAAAATATTAGCCAGGCGTGGTGGTGTGCACCTGTAGTCCCAGCTACTTGGGAGGCTGCAGTGGGAGGACCACTTGAGCTCACTAGTTGGAGGTTGCAGTGAGCTGTGATTGTGGCACTGTACTAGAGCCTGGGTGACAGAATGATACCCTAACTCTAAAAGAAGAAAAATAAAATAAAATCCTTAAAACCTCACTTTGCAGATGAAGAAGCTACGGCATAGAGAGGTAAGCAACTCTCTCGGTGCACCTCATATTCCAGTACACACCCAAGAGAGATGGTGGGCTTTTGGGGCTGATGGACCAGCCCTGGAGACTGAGGTTAATCTCTGGGGAGGGAAGTAAAAGGAAGGAGGCCGCTTCAGGTGGGCAGAGCTTACCTCCAAGGAAGAGACAACCTGGGATCCAGGAGAAACACACTTAATGGGGCAGAGTGTGGTGTCCTTCAGATGCACTTGGCCCAGACTCAAGTTATTCGAGAAGATTGAGAAACAAAAAGAAAAGAAGCTGTCTCTGGTTGAGCACGTATAGTGCCCAAACTGTGGTCTCTAAGTATCTTTTCTCACTGAAGGGAACCAAGGCTTCTTGGAGAATTGCCTGTTTCCAGGTCTGGGGCAACAAATACACAAGATGAGCCCAGAACATCCTGAACCAGAAAGCGAGAAAGTGACCAAACACCACGAGGGGCATGTCAAAAGGACTCAGGTGCCAACTTGAAGGAGCTCCCACTGGATAAAATGGGATTATTTGTGCATCCCAAAACAAACCAAAACAAACATACAAAAATCCTGCAATGAGCTGAAACACATCAAATATTGTAAAATCCAAGAATTCAAAATGACAACAAAAAAGAACCAAGTCACTATTCTGAGAACTGATCAATTAAGGAAACACGTTTTTTTAAAAACTGTCTTTGGGGCCTCCCAGATACACAGCGAATTTGAGGGTTAGTTGGAAGGCACCCCATGTTCTCTCCAAGATTCTTTTACTGGCTTTCTCCAGGCCTGAATTTCCACCATTAGAGACTCATTTCTTTGGGTTTACAAAGTTTCGGAATCAAAGTCAAAATACCCTTGGGAAAGGTTTGTTGACTACTGTCCTTGAAGATCGTGGTAAAGGGAAAGTGGAAAGTCCTGTGGTTCCTAGGGTCTGGATAGATAGTGCTACAGCCAGAGAAGAGGAGCCAGGAAGGTCAAAGGATTTGGCAACATCAGCTCGGGCAGGGATTCTTCAACCTGAATGTGCAGGAGAATCCCATGGCTGGCCATCTAAAGTTCAGCTCCTCAGTGGCCCAATCACATGGGTTCTGATCCAGCAGGTAGAAAGAATGGAAGAAAGGTACATTTTATTACATACTCCAGGTGATTAGGACACAGGCGGTCCTGCCATCGCCCTCTGGGGGACACTGGATCTTCCTTCTTGGACTGTGTACCTTCCTGCTCCAGAGCCCCTGACCATCAAGCTGAGCACCGACAGCCACTGCAGACTCCATCAGGCCCTCTCTCTGGGATCTCTTCGGTACTGCCAGCTCCCTTAAAGGTGCCAGGCTCTTCCCTGTATGGAGAAGCTGGCACCATAGAGAAGCGACCCAGCCACACAGGTCCTGGTGCCAGCTCTGAGCTGCCTGCTCTCGTCCTGTCTCACGGCTTCCCAAGCTGACGGACCTGCCTGGCTTCTCATGTGACTGCCCACTCACTCCTGGCCTGATGCTTGACAACACGTCTGGGACTCTCCTGGGCCAAGGACCCTACATCTCAGCCCAGGTCCCGCATGCTCTCTCAGTCCTGGGATCCCTGTCTCCTTTCCCATGCCACCTCCCAGCATCCTTGTTCCTGGGCAGGAGGTGCTTTGCAGCCCTGCTCCTCAGCTCTGTGACCCAGCCAGATTGGTGGCCAACTGCCCTCACTCTGGGGTCAGCTAACCACCTCTCTGTCCTCCTCCTCACCCTGCCACCTCACCTAGTCCCTTCCACCTCCATGGACTTCCCCTGGGGCCTCCCTCCCCACATCACAACCCTCCTTTGCTGAGATGAGCCCCACATCCCATGAGCTCATCCTTTCTTAGCAATGCTCCTCGGACCACCTCTTCCCCATGGACTGAGCCCCAGCTGGGGGCTGACCTTCGGCATCAAACGCCTGGCCCTTGACTCACAGCTCCCCTGTTCTGACACCCGGCCTTTGCCTGACCCCATGGGCAGGCCTGGGCGCCAGCCTTGCCCCCCCTGGCTGGCCCGTCCCCCTGCCGCCTGAGCCTGGGTTATGACATCTTTCCACTGAGCAGCTCTTATTTTGAGAAGGCAAACACGGCGGCGCCCACAGGCATGTGCACACGCCAGCACACGCACACACATACCCTGTCCATCCCCGGACTCCTCGCGCACTGGGGTTAAAATGTGGCTGGCCATGTTTATTTTTCTTCCTCTAATTTCCCCTTTGGAACAAACAACAGTCCTGTAACCCCGATCACCCTCCCCTTTCAGATCTGTGGTCTCCCACCACCCTTCTCCCGGGTCCTCCCCTCGCAGCTGTGAATGAGAACAGAGTAAGTCTTTTAGCGGGAGGCAGCAGCCTGAATGAATTGATCACAGCCTCAAAGCCAGCAGGATGGGGGGATGGTGAGCATGTGTGTTTGCTTCTTAAACGCTATTTGTACACCCTGAAGCTTCTATTTTTCCATGTGACTTGGAGCAAATGCCTTCCCCCAGCCCTCCATCCTTTTAAAATTTATTTCATTTCATTTTTGGTCCAATGCATTTTGTTTTCTGTTTTCTACAAGGGAGCCCGAATCAGGGCCTCAGAAAAACAAGGCCGAGCTGCCAACTGGAAATGTTTGCTCTGGGGGCGAGTTCGGAGGCTGGCGTCAGGCGGGGCAAGATCCGTGCCAGTGGAATGTGATTTGGGGAGGAAGCTGCAGGTCACTCAATCGCTGGCAGCCAGCCCGGGAGCAACTGGATGCTTTCTGGGCTGTGTGTGTGTGTGTGTGTGTGTGTGTGTGTGTGTGTGTGTGTGTATGTAGAGTTTTTTCCCTCATGCAAACAGAGCTCTGGAGACATGGAGACAGAAGCATTAGGAACAAATGAGACAGGGGGTTGGAAAATCAGGGGATCTGGGGGAATAAGGTGGGCTGGGGCGGGGAGAGGGTGCCAGGAGCTTGAGCAGCCATGTTATTCAGCATGTGCTGTGTGTTCAGCTCTGAGCTGGGAGCCTGCAGGAGCAAGGAGGGCTGCAAACCACATCAGCCCCCAGTGATCTGTGGGTTCTTTGGAGAAACAAGGCTTTCAGTATAGAACACTGGCAGGTGAGCCTGGAAGTTCCCAAGAGCGGAGTGTGTTCCTCTGGGCTGAGTGTGTCCAGGGAAGGCTTCCTGAAGGAGGTGTGGTAGGATCAGAGCCCTGAAGCATGTATGGTACTGCACTGAGAGGAGAGGAGAGACGTTCAAGGTGCAGTTATTAGCTGCCATCTGCCAAGCCCTGTGCTCAGCCCTTTACATTGATAATCTCCCTTTAATCCTCACAACAACCCTATGAGGGCCAGTAATCTTTCTATCCTAGCTTTGCAAACAAGGAAACTGAGGCCCGGTGAGATCAAGGAACTCAGCCAAACTCCCAGCTTGTAGGTGGTGAGCCAAGGGTCAATTCGGGACCATCCTTGTCCAAAGCCTGGGCTCTGTCCACCACCGCTGAGGGCCACTTTTCACTTAGCCGAGTTCCTTGTGGAAGGGCTTGTTTTCCCTGCCCCACTCAAAAGAGGATTGTTGAATTCAAGATGGGGAATGTTGGGGACCTAAGATGCCAGGGTAGACTTCCAGGGGGCAGTGTGACAAACGCTCCGAAGCCAGAGAGATAAACTACCTTGTTTCCTTGTTCCCAGGAGGTAGTGGCTGGGCCCCTTGGCAGTCCCCCCAGGGTTCATATCAGGTCAGCCCTCTCCTGCAGCCTACCCCCCTTACCAATGACCCACGCCACCCTCACACTCCCCCACACACCCCCATCACATGTCAAGTTCTTTGCCACCCCAAAGTGAAGGTCCGCCCACTTCCAGGAGTCCTCAGAAGTTATCTGTGTTGTTCTGAGTCACGCACGAAACTCAGTGAACCAGACAGAATGGATTTTCCCCAGGCAGCCACCACAACCCTGGAGTTGGAATCAGGAGACCTGAGCCAACTGAGTGGGGGGCAATTGGTTAAAGTCAACAGTCTACCTCCTGTGTGATATCAAGTGAGCCATGTCCATTCTTGAGCCTCAGTTTCCTCAGTTTTAAAATGAGGAGTGGCCTGAATGGTTTTTGAGCTGTCACAGATGGAAGGAGAGGCTCTAAGGCAGTGGAACTATCTGCAGGTGTTGGAAGGGTCAGTCAGGAAGACTTTCTCGAGGTGTTCAGCCCACTGCAGAAGGATTCTCTGGCAGAGGAAGCAGGATCTGTCACGGGCTCAAAAGGGGAAAGGAAAGAAGCCAGGCTGGAAGGGCAGGAGGAGATGATGGTGAGGGAGGTAGAGTCCTGGCCAGGGTGGCTAGAACACCTTGACTCAAGCTTGTCTGGTAGTAATCAGACGGCCAGTGATCCATCTGATTAGAACAACTTTGTTGACCACTTGGGAGTTCTATTGTCTTGAGCTCAGATAGTTGGTTAGCCTCCCCCATGAACTCTTTTTGGCCAAACTGAGCACTAACGTTAGGTAGACACTGGCTTGGGGCTTACCTGGGCCTGATACATCACCTACATTGGTTGAACTGACCAGTCGATTCCACGAGACAACTAATTTTACCGATTATTTCCAGGAAACAGGCAGTTTATAGCATTAACTAAAATCAGCAGTTGTTCTGGCTTTTTGGAGACAGTCTTTGGATCTGACATCTTCAGTCCTCAGAGACATTCAGGCTACCTGCCACTGACCAACAGTAGTCAGATTCCTGAGAAGGCTGGGAAAAACCCTACCAACAACGGGCGTCAGGACTCAGTCTCTCTCATCAAAAAAAAAAAAAAAAAAAAAAAAAGGCAGGATCGAACTAGACCAGGAGTGGCAAACACATGGTGTGAATCCTGCCACTCCTTTTCTTTCATCCATGGCAGACATTGCTAATCAATTATAGCACTCATTCCCAAAGGGACCCAGATGCAGCCTCAGGATCCTTTTCAACACAGAGCTTCAGGCAGCCTCTACCAATCAATTAGATTTGGCATGCGTGATAAAAAGCATTTGTCCTCTGGACTAGATGATCTCCAAGCCTCCCTCCAGCTGTGCTGATCTAGAATTGCAACTGATTAGGCATCTTGAGGACTCAGCCTGGGGACCACCAGGTCTACAGCTGTCCCTGGGGCATCCAGGTCTGTGGGGCTGCCCTCGAGCTGGTGCCTTATTAATTTTCCTCACTGCTAATAAATGTGCATTGCGTCAGCTCTGTTCTGCCCCCTCATGTTCTCTGGCTGCTGCCATCAGTGGGGACTTTTTCAGAGAGCTGCAAAAATAGTTTTTTGTTGTTGTTGTTTGAGGAGCCTACACAGAAGCAGCAGCCAAGGCTTTTTTGCTTCCTTTCTTTTCTGAGGGAATGGGGAAATGCGGAGGGAAGACCTCACAATGAAGGAATGTGCTCCTTGGGGAACTGAAAGTTGTTTTCCTTAAAGAAGAAGAAGATGAAGAAGAAGTCAGCACACTCTAACTTCACATCTAGCCGCAAAGCACATCTGCAGGGATTGCTAACAGCTCCCAGGAGATCGCTGGCTCAAGCCAAGCCTGGTTAGGCTGTTGACAACTAGGTCCTGATGAGCAGAGCCCTAATGAGCAGCTTGCTCACTGTCTGCCCTCCCGGCTCATCCCTCGTTGATGTTCATTGGGCTCATCGAGGCCCTGGGAGACAGTTTTTCTTGCCTGCGATGGATGTTAGGCATGCAGGGGAGCTCACTTTCTCACGGGTGAATGTTTCACTTTTCCCCACTGCTGTGCTCTGGGGTTTTTAAGAGGCTTAAGACAAATCCTAAGACACTAGGGATGGGAAGAGCTTGAGATCTGTGGGTTCCAGCTCCCCCTCTCTTTTCTCCGTTTACAGATGAAGAGGCTGAGGCTTGCGGTGGGGCGGGAGGGGGAAGATAGAGGACAGGGGAGGCAGATGCCGAAGGGTACCGAGCTGGTCCTGGGAAGAGAATGCATCTCTCAACTTCCAGACCACTAAGTCAGAGGTGCAGAAAACTCAGAGAGTGTCCAGCCCAGAGCTTCTTGAACTTGAGTAACATATGCCCTCGTCCCAAAAGGAAACACATTGTCCCAGAACCCTAAGATCAGAATTATGCTCTTGTACTTTATGTTTTTAATTCTTATATAACTATAAGCCCAAAACAAATTAATAAATGAATACAAGCAAAACTACAAAGGTGATCAAAATTCACTTTAACAAACAGGTTAATATGATGAATAATATTGTTTTGCAGAAACAGAATCTCACAGGGCACAGGAGAGGAGCAGAGCACCAGCAGGGGACCCTAACCTTCTTCCTGCATCCATCAGAGCCTTCAGAATGAAGAATCTGGGGGACAGGAGGATGTCAGGGGGAGGGAAGAGGAGCAAGAGAAGGCAGGGACAAGTCAGATGCCAGGCAGAGGAAGCCGAGAGCCTGGAGACTTGGCTGCTCCAAGGCAGCGCACTTATCCTCTTGGGGCCGACCATGTTTCTTCCTTAGGCAGGGCTCCTTGAGGCTGAAATCATCCCTAACAGACCCTCAACGGTCAGGACAGTGTCATGTCACCTGCCAGTGGGAACCTCACTGGGCTCTGCCCACACCCAAGCACTGCTCCTACCTGCCACTTCCTGTCTCCTTCAAGTGGGGACACAGAACAAGCACACTGCACAAGTAAAGCATAGAGCATGTCATAAGGTGAAATGGCTGGTGGCTCCAGCTGGAAACGGGTGGTAAGGGGAGGCCTCAGTGACCAAGTGACATAATGGCAAAGGTTTGGAGGAGGAGAGGAAGCAAGCCATAGGCATTTCTCAGGGAGGTGGTCTGCCCGGCCAAATCCCACCATCTTTCCAGCCTGGTTTAAATGCCTCTTCTTCCAGGAAGTCCCCCAGAGCTGTTTGGCTACACTCTGAATTCCTACAGCTTTTTCCTTAGTGTCTATCACTTCGTACTGGTTCAGACTTGCATTATCTTTCCTACTGGACTCGGAGTTCCTTGAGGTGGGCACTGTGTCTCCTCTTACTAGAATGTCAGCTCCACAGGGTAGAGGTTTTGCTCTATTCACTGCTGCATAACCCCAGGCTTAGCAGGTGCTCTACAGAGGGTAGCGAAGGCTTATGGTGGATAAAGGAAGGGATGAGGATGGTCTCTTTGCAGGACGTGAGCTCTTGATGGCAGAAACCTCACCAAACTTATCTTTCTTCTTTTTTTTTTTTTTTTTTTTGAGATGGAGTCTCGCTCTGTCACCCAGGCTGGAGGACAATGACGTGATCTTGGCTCACTGCAACCTCCGCCTCCCAGGTTCAAGCGATTCTCCTGCCTCAGACTTCCAAGTAGCTGGGATTATAAGTGTGTGCCACCACAACTGGCTAACTTTTTGTATTTTTGGTAGAGACAGGGTTTCGCCATGTTGGCCAGGCTGGTCTCAGACTCCTGGCCTCAAGGGATCTACCTGCCTCAGCCTCTCAAAGTGCTGTGATTACAGGAGTGCGCCACCGTGCCCAGTCACCAAACTTATCTTTCTAACCAGCCCCATTACAGTGCCCGGCTCAGCTCGAGTTCTGTCCAGTGTAAGAATGACTGTTGACTTGAATCCATTGCTCCCAACTCAATTGATCAGGTTGGGGAACCCAATGCCAGAGAAAAGATTGTGGATTCAAGACAACCACAAGTTCTTGGCAGTCAGGGCAGCTGTGCCTTTGACATGACCAACTCTGTCTCTGGATCCACTGTTTTTTTCTGGTCAAAGCAGCTGACTAAATAGCTGAGCAGGTCTTGGTCCAAACAGAGGAGTGGACCTTCATTCACTCAGTAAGTACTTATTGAGTGTCTACTGTGTACTAGGGATTGTTCTAGCGGCTGGGATATAGCAGTAAACAAGGCAGGCAAAAATCCCTGACCTCATGGAACTGACCTTCTAGTGTATGGGAGACAGAAACCAAGCAACCAGTGATATCTATAGTATGGCAGATGATGGTAAATGCCATTGAAAATAAAGCAAGGAAGAGGTAGATAATACTGAAGGGGAAGGGTACAAACTTCATAGAGTGTGATTAGGGACAGCCTCACTGAGAAGGGGACATAGAAACACCAGAAAGGGGTGAGGAAGTGAACCCTGAGGCTACCCGAGCTAAGGGCATTTCAGGCACAGTAAACAGCCAATGCAAAGGCCCTGAGGTGGGAGCCTGCTGGGTAGGTTCAAGGAATGGCAGGGAGCCCTGTGTGGTGAGAGCAGAGTATATGGGCTAGGGCGGGGGATGAGGTTAGAGAGGAAATGGGGGACCAGATGTCAACTTTTGCTCCTACTCGAATGTTTCAGTTCTCTATTTCTGTATAAGAAACCACCCCAAAATGTAGTGGCTTAACACAACCATTTAATATTCTTTCTCATGTTTCTGTTAGTTGACTGGGTTCAGCCGGGTGGTTCTTTAGTGGGTTCCCCCATGGGGCTGCAGCCAGCTAGAGGCTGGGGCTGGAGGCACCCATAAGGTTCTGCTGAGAGCCTTCTTCACTCATATGTCTGGCACTGTGTTGCTTTCTATGTGGCCTCTCTCTTCAGCAGAACCCACCGGGGTTTCTCACTTAGCAACTAAAGGCTTCCAACTGGCCGGAAGCCTAAACAGCCAGTCTCCATAAAGCACAGCAGCACTTCTGCAGGGCTCCATTAGCCAGAGCAGTCACAGGCCAGCCCAGGTTCCCAGCAATGGAGGGACAGACTCCACCTCTCCATGCATGCAGGGAGGGAAGGAATTCATAGCAGCCACGAACATCCGAGCAAAAGAATTCAAGCGGAGGTTTTAAGCAGAGAAATGACATATGTCCTGCTTTAACAGGACACCTGGCCAATGGTGTGGAGATATGTCATGCCAGCCTCCTCCTGTTTTTTGTTGACAACCCTCGTGACCTTTTTCCCTCCCCACTCTCCCTTTCCACTCTGACCAAGAGTCAGGACTAAACCCTACCCCCTGGGCACTGCCCTCTGCACATGTGTTAAGAAGGTACACAGAGCATGTGCTGAGATGGTGCACACAGCGGGTCTCAGGGAGAGAGTGCCCTTATCTGGCATCTGCCCAGCCCCAAAGACTCGGTTTTCCATAATTGGGATGGCCACTTGAATAGAGGAAGGTAGAAGGAAGATTGCAGGAGAGTCTGAAAGAGCTTCCTGCCTGGATGCCTCATCACTGTCCTCTGGATCCAATGTCCTGCTGGTTAATGGTGGCAGTGCTAGCACTGTGAATGGGAGGCGGGGAGGAACTCTGGATTCTTCTTATTCCCCTGGTTGGCCCTTTCTGGAGCTGCTGTGAGTACCACCCCAGGGGGGCACCATTCATGCTGTGTCTGTTTCCACTAGGAGAGTTTCCTCATGGCAGTCTAGTTTCCACTCTTCCTCCCTTTCTCTAACGGGTGCCACACCTACTTTGGAACAATCTGAACAGCCATAAATAGGGACTCCAGATTCAGGAATGCAGAGCTTCATGTAGCAAGCATCCAAGGTTCCATCCTATCCGGCCAAGAAGCAGCTAATCACTGGCCTGCAGGGCTGTCCTGTCTGCACTCGGGTGGTGTGTGCACCAAGGAACTGCTGGGCAGATTCCACTTGCAAGGAGGGAGGGCTCCAGTGCCTGGATACCAAGATCTGGGCTCTATATGCCCTTGCCATCTGACCCTGACTAGAAGGAGCTAGAAGTGCACTGTGCTGGACCAAGGGAGGCCAGTGGCTCCAGCTGAGAGGTTGACAGCAAGAAGCCCACCAGGCTGGCAGCACAGCAGGAAGAGCTGGCTTACACAGGCCAGCCCTATAGGTGGCCCAGTTATCACCTCCCAGATGCTAGTCACTGAGCTCTCAGGAGGCAGCGGACACAGTGGTTCAGAGCTTGGGTTTTGGGGTCAGTTGGCCTGGGTTCAAATCCCATGACTGTTCTTTTTTTTTTTTTTTTTTTGAGACGGAGTCTCGCTCTGTTGCCCAAGCTGGGGTGCAGTGGCGTGATCTCGGCTCACTGCAAGCTCCGCCTCCTGGGTTCACGCCATTCTCCTGCCTCAGCCTCCCGAGTAGCTGGGACTACAGGCGCCCGCCACCATGCCCGGCTAATTTTTTTGTATTTTTAGCAGAGACGGGGTTTCATTGTGTTAGCCAGGATGGTCTCGATCTCCTGACCTTGTGAACCACCAGCCTCGGCCTCCCAAAGTGTTGGGATTACAGGCGTGAGCCACCGCACCCAGTGACTGTTCTTTCTGTTGGCAAGATTATTTTTTTCCCCACTAAGAGCCTTAGTCTTCTTATCTGTAGAGTGGGTTTACTTCCCTGGGTGATGATAAGGATTAGTGAGATAGAGTTTGTATGCACTCCTTGCATGGCAGTATTAAAGAATTAACGATTGCCTGACTTTCTAATATCTGTTCCCAGTGGCCTGACCCCTAAGCTCTTGCTTTGCCTTCCCTTTTTATCTTTATTCCTTTTCCCTAGACCAGCCATCCAAAGGGGTATGGAATCTTCCAGTGACAACATCCCTCGATCCCAGGGTCACCTCAAATGGTTAATTCAGTGGGCGATGTTTTTAATGAAGGGCATAGGGTGTCGTCTGCATTGTACCATCCAAAGGTGTGAGTAGGGCCAAATGGAGCCTTGGGAGACTTTTTATCCTGGAAAGTCTATGAATTCATGAAATCCACATTACTGTCATTACAGGGCCACCACAATGGGCAAAAGTTCCTCATGGGGAGACCGCAGTGTTGTGTGCAGTCCCAATAGTGTGATACCACCAGGGGGTGCTGCCCAGCTGGTCTCTGCCCCAATTCTCAGCAAGGCTGAGGAAGGCAGAAGTGAGAGCCCTTGGAAGACAGGTTTGACCCCTAGGCTGGTGGGGCGTGGGCAGCCAGCCTGGACCTGGAAGGTCTGCAACCTGGCAGGCTGACAATGGCAATAGCAGGGACTCCACATCAATCGGCCTCTTTACAATTTGTCGCCTGTTCCCACACACACCATTCCATCTCAAGACTCAAGAGATGATGCCCAGATAGTGAACAGAGGCTCAGAGAAGTCAGGGAGCTGCTCAAGGTCACACACCTGGTACGTGACAAGGTGAAGATCCCTCTGGGCTTGCCTGTTGCCAACTCTGGGGCCCTGGCATTTGGCCAGCGGGAGAGGCAGCATGTTGAGGAGAAAGAGCCTGTCTGGAAGCCTGTAGCCCGGCTTGGAGCCCTGCTCTACCTCCACCCTGCATGGCTGATCATTCCTATCCAATCCCTTCGCCTCCTCCTGCCCCATGGGATCTCGGTGACCTTCTCCTCTATTTGGGGGGAAGTTGGCACGGGGCTTAGGATCAGTATGAGTGGATCCTTTGGTATTCAGCCAAGATGTGATTTTCCCAGACACAGCTTGGCCTCTTTAAGGACAAAATTCAGTCCTGCTAGAGACTTCTCACACAACCTCACCAGCCACGGGCACCCCAGTCTTCAGCTACACCCAAGTCTGGGATGCAAGGGGGCCTTAGCAGCTGGCTGACCCAGGATGCCCAAGGTCACCATTCCCTAGACTCTAGGCATCATGCCACATGCTGCACATGCTGCGTCTTTGAGTCCTTGCAGCCGTGTGAGGCACGGTATCATTACTCCCGTTTTACAGAGGAAGCTACTGAAGCTCAGAGAGTACCTGAGCAGCCCTGGAGAAGGAGTGTCACTTTTCCTCCATCTCTGCCACTGACTGGCTGGATGCACAGGAGGACTGGGTCTCCAGACAGGAGTGTAAAGGGCACGAGGGTTGCTTGTCCTTATCAGAGGTTTCCTGAGCACCAGCCTTTAGAGACAGGGAGGAAGGCAAGAGTGCGCCTTTGAGGAACGCACAAGCCCAGGAGTTCCAACAGGGCTGCAGTGGAGGCTAAGTTGCAGCAGGACTTTTGAGCAAGCATGCACACAGGCCAGCAAGAGCAATTGGAGGCTATGGTGAGCAGGGAAGGTTCGCGGGAGGAGGGGGACCGGAGCTGTTCATCGAAGGGTGAGGAAGAGTGTGCGTTGCAAAGGGGAGCCGTGGGAGACCTGGGAGCAAAGGCCAGAACTTTAGGGTTCGAGGCTGAGCAGGGAAACGACAGGAGAATGAGGGCTCCTCTTTGGCAGCACACACCTGGTCTCCAGGACAGAGATAAGGTGCAGGAATATGCAGGTGTCCAGGGAAGACGATGTCTCCGGGAGCACATGCTTTATGATGCTGGCACCCACCTTGGTGGCAAAATGAGATTTTGCATTTACTATATTCAGAAAACTGCATGCCTCAGTGTGTGTGTGTGTGTGTGTCTATGTTTGAAGTCTTATGTCAAAGTCCTTTGACATCCATCTCTTTGTCCTTTCCCAGCTACCCTGAGAAGGTTGGCTGGAAATATCCTCAAAGACAGAAAAGAGTGACGGTGGGAGGAAACGTCTTGCTCGTGGTCATGGGGTTCCGTCGTTGACAAACCAAGGCTCAACCGGGGCTGCTGGCTGGAGCTCCATGCTCCTGCCCCCAAAGCTATGCCCAGATCCCCATCCCACCTCCCAGCACCCTGCGTGCCATCTGCCTCCTCCACCCCTAGGCATTCTCCCATGGAGGAGAGAAGCACTCCACTCTGTGTGAGCCCTTGTGTTTTCATCAGAGTTCAAGGCCAGGGTCAAGGGTCCATCTTCTCCCAAACCACCTTGCTGGCTTTTAGTGTCCACCTTCCTTAAGGAGTAACAGTCACAGAGAAGGGACCAGCAAGGAGTGAAGCCCTGTTCTGAGCCTCGGAAGGGAGCGGCTGGGAAGCAGTCCTCTGGCAAGGACATCTGAGGGCCTACTAGTTTGACCCCTTCTTTCCAGAATCTCCAGTGGAATGGCACTGATGACTGAGGGTCTGGGGGGTCTACCTCTGCCCCTTGCCAATAACCGTGGGCACCTGCAAAGCTCTCACCTGGTGCCAGGCACTGCTCTGAGTGCCTTGCGCATACACGCTTTTCACACCGCCTGGGGAGGAAGGTACGATTATGACCCTCGTTTTACAGGTGAGGAAAGGGAGGCACAGAGAGGTTAAGTGACTTTCCCAAGGTCATTCAGTGAGTGGCAGAGCTGGGGTTTGAGCCCAGGAAATCTGCCTCAAGTAGCTGTTTTGCCTCAATAAATAATACTAACAACAACCACAGCTACCATTTGACGACCCGTTCCTATGTGCCTAGTGCTTTAATTCCTCAGAGCAATGCTGTGACTTAGGCGTTGTTCTCCGAATTTCTCATTTCACAGATGAGTAAATCCCGGTTTAGCAGGGCGCCTGGAGTGAGGTGACTGCGGAGGCTCGCAGACGTTAGGTCTGCCTAAATCCGAAGCTTCCACCCTCCTCTGCCTCTGTGACTTGCTGCGTGACTTTGGAGCTTTCGGAAACTCAGTTTCCCTGTCTTAAGCCCTCTGCTCCTCTTGCTTTCCCGCTCCAGCAAGTGAGAGTGGACTGGGTTGCCGTGCCGGGCGGGTGTGGGTCGCCGGGCAACTCCGGAGTCTCCCCTTCCCCATCGGCCCCCAGCAGAAGTCCCAGCTCCCGGCGTTTTCTGTCTCGTGGCGAGTTGGGGCGGAGGGAGCGGCGGGAAGGTGCCGGGTGGGCAAGGTCGGAGCTGCGTCACCGAGAGGCCGGCAAGGCCAGGGAGAAAAGGCCCCGCTGTGATTTGGGGAAGGGCCGGGGGCCCATAAGTCACGTGCTCGGGGCGGTTGTGCAGGAGCGGACTGTCCTCTGGGAACATAGAAGCGCCCCCGACTAGAGTAGGGGCGGGGAGGGAGCGCCGGAGGAGGCAGGTTCTGGGCCAAGGGGATGGGGGTGGGGGGGAGGTAGGGAGCCCGCGGACAAAGGAGGCGGCCGGCGGCCCAGCTGTTTTGAAAAATGCTTCCTGTTTCTTTAAAGGCGCTCGCGGCTCGGGCGGCCCGGGCTGGGGAGGCGGTGGCGGCGGGAGCTGCCTCCTCTCCGGGCGGCGGCGCTGACTGATCTCGCGAACTGGGCTTCTGTGTAAACTGAGGCTAAACAAACACAGATGGAGCGCAGCGGGCGTTCTCCAGAAATGCTGGCAAGGAGGCAGCGACTTCAGATGACACTCTGAGCGCTCCGGGAACGGACAGCCCGGCGGCTTCCCGAAGCCGGCGGCGCAGCTGCCCGGGGCGAGGGGGAGAAAGGGAGAGAGGGAGGGGGAGGGCGGGCGAAGCGGGAGAGCCAGAGACTCCTCGGCGCTGAGCGCGGCGGCGGCCCGGGCAGCCCCACGCCCCTGCCTCGCGCGCCGCCCGCGCCATGAAGCACATCCCGGTCCTCGAGGACGGGCCGTGGAAGACCGTGTGCGTGAAGGAGCTGAACGGCCTTAAGAAGCTCAAGCGGAAAGGCAAGGAGCCGGCGCGGCGCGCGAACGGCTATAAAACTTTCCGACTGGACTTGGAAGCGCCCGAGCCCCGCGCCGTAGCCACCAACGGGCTGCGGGACAGGACCCATCGGCTGCAGCCGGTCCCGGTACCGGTGCCGGTGCCAGTCCCAGTGGCGCCGGCCGTTCCCCCAAGAGGGGGCACGGACACAGCCGGGGAGCGCGGGGGCTCTCGGGCGCCCGAGGTCTCCGACGCGCGGAAACGCTGCTTCGCCCTAGGCGCAGTGGGGCCAGGACTCCCCACGCCGCCGCCGCCGCCGCCTCCTGCGCCCCAGAGCCAGGCACCTGGGGGCCCAGAGGCACAGCCTTTCCGGGAGCCGGGTCTGCGTCCTCGCATCTTGCTGTGCGCACCGCCCGCGCGCCCCGCGCCGTCAGCACCCCCAGCACCGCCAGCGCCCCCGGAGTCCACTGTGCGCCCTGCGCCCCCGACGCGCCCCGGGGAAAGTTCCTACTCGTCAATTTCACACGTAATTTACAATAACCACCAGGATTCCTCCGCGTCGCCTAGGAAACGACCGGGCGAAGCGACTGCCGCCTCCTCCGAGATCAAAGCCCTGCAGCAGACCCGGAGGCTCCTGGCGAACGCCAGGGAGCGGACGCGGGTGCACACCATCAGCGCAGCCTTCGAGGCGCTCAGGAAGCAGGTACCCGCTCGCCGCCGCACGCCCTCACTGCGCCGGGGGACGACTGCGGGAATGGGTGGGCGAGTGGCCGGGGCGGGATAGAGGTGTGTTTAAGGGGCAAGCTGCCCCGCCCGGTCCGACCCTGGTGCCCAGACAGGTGTGGGCAGTCCTAGGGTATGGATCATAGTTTTCAAAGTGGCTATAAGAGTTGGTTATCTCTGGCCCGAGCACCCCCCGCCCTCAACCCCCGCCTCGGGGGTAACGCTGTCTGCGCTTCTGACTTCAGCCTCCATAGTTCACTTTTATGGCAGCGAGTATTTGCCTGCCGGAGTCCCCTGGGCGCGGTGCGGAGTGGAGAGGGGAAATGTGGGAATCTGTCAGCGGAGGAAGGGGGGAGCCTTCTCCAGTTGGTGGTGGCAAGGTCCGGAACGCTGCGGTGGGACAGTCCGGGGGAGTTGTCAGCCCCTCTTCAGGCCCCAGCGGTGATGCCCCGAACACTCAGGTTGCTTCCGGGCTATGCACTCCTTGCCCTGGCATCCTCAAGAACCCGCGCTACAAGCCTGTGCCCTCTCCCCAGGGGTGGGCTCAGGAATCGGCTGGTGGGAGTCTTTCTAGCAGATCCCTTCCTTTCACCCGTGGTGAAGCAGGCAGCTCTGCCGAGGGGACTGCCTAGGTTGGGGATTCCCTCTGGAGCATCTTCAGAGCCTAGTTCTGGGGTGGGTCCGGGACTTTTTAGTTTGGGGCTGGTGCGGGCTGCCCTCACCAGACAGTGCCCCTGCGCAGGTAGCGGAAGAATACTTAACCCAAGAATTACCCGTGGTGGGGCGGGACAATCGCTTGGGCTTCTAGGCTTCTTATTTTCTTAGCGAGAAGGAGCTCTAGGAAGGAGGTGGTGAGTTCTCTCCCACCCCCACACAGGGCGTGGGGAAGGGTTAGGGTAGATGTGGCTGGTTTGAAGGGTGTTTTTTTTTTCTTTTTATTTGCATACTCTGCAGCTGACTTGCTGTGTGACTCCAGGAATGTTGCTCAACTTCTCTGGGCTTTATCCAGCAACAAAACATTTCAGAAACCATGATCTTCTTTTTGGATCACTCTCCTCTTCCTGCTGGGGGTTGGGGTGGGGTGGGGCAGTAGTGCCTGTGTCCATCCATGGAAAGGAAATTGAATCCTTGGAGGAAAGAGGCCCTATGACTTTTGAGCCAAAGTGTCTTGCTTGGGCTTGGGGAAAGTGGTCAGTGAGGTGGGGTGGGGGTGGGGGTGGGGGACGGGTGGCTGTCACAGACCAGGCTGGGCCTCTGCCCTCATCCACACCAGCTGGAACCCTGGGCGGTGGGTCCAGTGGAGCAGTCAGTCCCACCCTGAGCCAGCAGCTCTGTGTCTGCATCGCTGGGTAGAGGTGGCGGTGCGTGGGGGATCCTGCAACCCACTCCCCAGGACAGAAGGATAACAGAAGGGCAGAGAGATGCCTGTCCACCTGCCCACCTTGCCACTAGGGAAGCCCCTCCTAGACTGGGGAGGCACGTGCCCAGAGCCTCATAGCTGTTGAGTAGCAGGTCAGGGCTGGCACCTAGGGGCTTTGACTGCAGGTTCTGGGCCCTTGTGCTCCTCTATTGCCTCTGTATGCTGAGAGAATACTCATCTGAGTGCTTTGTTACATCTCATGTGCCCACTGACTTTTACTTCATTCAACAATCAATTCCATCTCATTTGATCTAAACATAATCCCTGTCGAAATTGGATTAACTCATTTTATAGTATGGAACACTGAGGCCCAGAGATGGAAGGAGACTTGTCCAAGGTCACCTAGTGGGTTAGGGAAGATAACAGCAGTTTCTGGAATGCCCTCCTGGCCAAATGCTTCCCACAGTGCCATCTGTATCAGCGTCATGTGCCACCCCCCCAGCCCCCAGCCTGTGATGTTTGTTAACAATCAAGGCAGGGTGCACACTTGGCAGACCCTTTGAGATGAGATTGTTCATCCTGGTCTCCTTTTACTTCCCCCCTTACCGTGGGAAGTTCTCTATAAAAAGGGCAAGTTCAGTGTATCTAAGTAGAAGGCACACCCATGCCCTCTCAGGGAGAGCGTGTGTATGCAATGCAAACACACAGGCAGGTACACACACACATGCTCCTTACACGTGCTCAAGAGCACACACAAATGCATGGTCACAGAAGCACCTGTTCCTGTTTGTTTCCTCCTTGCCCTAGCCATTCTGCCCCTTCCCCAGAAAGGCTGCCAGGCCATAGTGGGCACCTGCCTGTTAGCTGGGAAGGAAAGAAATACAGCCAGGACGTTTCTGGTCATAGAACCAGGGGCCAAGGCCACACCCACCATGTCCTCCTCACCACCATGGCACCCATTCGATAGAGGAAGTCCTGTGTTCTGGAGGAGCCCCTTCCTCCTCTGGGCCTCAGTCTTCTCTGTAAAATGTACTCCGCACCCCCTCCCCGAATCCAGACGAGCTGCAGCTCTGGAGCTAGGCTCGGGCCTGACTGAAATGGGTCCTTGGAAATGGACAAAAGGCAGATCAGCTCCGCCTGAAATGGGGCCTTGGCCAGTGTGGCACTGAGATGGGTTCTGGGATTGTGGCTCTGGCCTGGGGCTTCATTCTCCTGAGCAGCTTCCTGGTACCATGAAAGAAGCACTGATCTGGGAAACTGGAGGCCAGGCATTGAGTTGTTCCTCCCCTGCATGCCTTCTGTGTGGCTGTGGACAAGTCACTGACCCTTTCTGGGCCTCAGTTGCTGAAGTTGTAAAATGGTAATATTGCTGACCTCATCCAGTGTTGAGAAGAGAAAGTGAGGAAAGGTAGGAGGCCTATAAGAGCAGTGAACATTTCTTTCATTTCATTTTTTTTTTTTTTTTTGAGACAGAGTCTCTTTCTGTTGACCAGGCTGGAGTACAGTGGTGTGATCTCAGCTCACTGCAAACTCCACCTCCCAGGTTCAAGTGATTCTTCTGCCTCAGCCTCCCGAGTAGCTGGGATTACAGGTGCGCACCACCACACCTGGGTAATTTTTTGTATTTTAGTAGGGATGGGGGTTTCACCATGTTGCCCAGGCTGGCCTCGAACTCCTGGGCTGAGGTGATCCACCCACCTCTGTCTCCCAAAGTGCTAGGATTACGGGCATGAGCCACTGTGCACAGCCAGAGCACTGAACATTTCTTAAGCATCTCCAAGGTCCTCAGGGCTGGGCAAGGCTCTCGACAGATGAAGCAATAAGAATTCTTTAATTGTTTTAATAACTGTCACAGAAATTAGCATTCATCACATGCTTACTTTGTGCCAGGCATGGTGCTAAGCTTGTTATGTGTATTAGTTCATTTAATGAAATAGATATTATTGCACCCCCTGCCCTGTTTCACAGATGGTGACACTGAGTTTCAGAGAGCTTATGTAAGTTGTCCCGGTCTTTTGCCACTGCACGTGGCCTTGTGGGTTTTGTGCTACATGCTACCTTGGCACGCAGTTTGCCAGCCTCCAGGGTGGCGGTGCCTCGTGGTCATGTACAGTGGCAGCCTGCGTAGCTGTGTGCCGCTGTTGCTGCGGAGCTTGGGTTGGGCTCCCAGGGCCCAGACTCCTAACAGCTCTGCTCCTCAGCCTGTCTAATGTCCTGGAGCCATCTACCCTCAGCATGAGGAAGCCAGACAGGCTCCCATTGTGTCATAATCCACTGTCCTCTCAACCAGGAAGGGAGCAGGGAGGGTGGCTGCAGGGCCGCAGGTGGGGAGGTGCAGGTGGGAGAGAGGCCCTCTGGTCTGGTCTGGTCTGGGCTGGGTGGTGCAGGGCAGATGGTCAGGCCCCAGCACATGCCACCAGCGCAGCTGCACCAGAGCCCTCCCTGCCGCCTCATGTGAAGGCCATGTGTGCACAGCTGGCCTGGCCCCGGGAGTGGGGCTGCTCCCTGCCAGGTGGGAGGGGTCAAAGGGAAAGGCTGGCCTTGAGGGGTGGTGAGGGAAGGGGCCAGAGTGGCAGGACCTTCTGTCTCACAAGCTGTGCCCACCCTTGGGGCATGTGGTGTGCGTGTGGATTTCCTCTCTCCCTTCAGGGTCCCTCAGGGTTGATGGAGGATGGCAGCAATGGAAGACAGTGCGGGGCCCCGGCTTCTGCCGTGGTCCTCTCTACGGAGGACATGCCAAGCACCTGGGGCCCGGGCTACCTCCCCTGCTGCCCCTGGAGCTTCCCAGGGGGTCTTCACCGAGTGAACTCAGGGTGGCCCTGGAGAGGGCGTGGGAATGGTGCCCTCAGCACCTCCCTCACTCTGAAACCCCACAGGGTGCAAGGAGGGCATAGGGAGTGCAAAGCAGCCTGTACACCATCCTCTCGGGCAACGAGGGACAGGCCTGCTTGCACTGGGGGCTCCATGCAGGTAGGTAAGGGTGACAGAGGCCTTCCTCCTGTTCCATCATGTCCAAAGTCACCAGGGTGGCTGCCGTGGAGCCTCACTGCACTGAGTGAGGCCTTACCTGAGCCTGCTGTGGGATGTCCGTAGTGCTGTCTTCCCATTTTACAGATGAGGACACTTACAGAGAGGTGACGCAGATTGCTCAAGCCCACAGAGTGACCAGGATCTGTACTGTGGCCTGTCTGACCCTGGGGCTATAGCTCTTAACCACCAAGACCCAGGTTCTCAGGGTCCAGCCTGGTGGCAGTGCAGGAGGCTGGGATTTTAAAGAACCTATTTAGATAGACTTTGGGAAGGACATTGAACAGCTCTGGGTAGAGTGGATTCACGTCGGGAGTCCAGCACTCACTGACACGAGACGATCAGATGATAATTTCAGTGGAATCCGGTGCTCATCTGTGTGTAGTGGATGTGGTGCTGTTGGAGCTCTATGGGCCCAGGAGTCTTGGTGGGCTTCCAGGAGGGCGTCTTGGGCTGGGTCTGCAGGGTGGGCAGGAGTTGGCACAGAAGCAGGAGCATGGAGGGCTTTGAGGCCTTTGTTGCATTCTCTGGTGGGTTCTCGGAGTTGTTTCTTTAGGAAGTTTTCCCACATTTGCTCCTGCGATCTCATTCTGAGGTAGCAGGTGTTCTAATGCCCATTTTACTGGTGAGGAAACTGAGGTCCTGTAAGCTTGTGGACCTGCCTAAGGTCACATGGCTGGCCAGGAGTGGAGCCAGGCCCTCGGGCTCCCAGGCCAGTGCTCTTCATGTTTTTTCATGCTTGCTGGAACTGGGTCCAGCTTAGGGTGGGTGGGGTGGAATGTTTTGGGGGCATATGGGACCTTGCGAAAATGCCAAAGTCTGTTCCTCCAAAGTTTAAAAATCCTTGTGGGATGAGCACAAGGCAGATCCTTTTACTTTTCTGGAAGTTGGGCAGTCTGTCGGGAGTGGGAGCCAGGTAATTCTGCCTCCTCCTTTGGCCCGTGTCCTCTGACCAGGGTGAGCCGACAATGGCTGTGGGGGACTCTGTAGGCGGTGCGGGTGGGTGGGCTCTGGGCCTTGCTGTGGATACTCTAAGAGGGATCTCATGGCATCATCAGCCCAGAACTCTCCATCCCGAGCTCAGGAGGATGGGCTGCCTACCTCCTCACCTTAAACTATAGACACTTATTCAGATCCCCAAGCAGTTCATGCTGGAAAGAGCCCAGCTAAGCCACGAGTTCAAAACGCAGCTCTTCACTCACCAGTTGGGAGATCCAGGAAATTCCTACATGCCTGAGAATCACATGCTTTTCTGTAAAGTGGAAGTGACCATTTCTACCTCATTGGGCCACTTAAAAGATGAATACAGACATTGTATTTGAAACATCCACCCTCTGCCTGGCCTTATAGATCGTAATAACTGCAAGGTGGCCTGGGCCCAACAGTCACGGAGAATCTGTGCCGCTCAGACTCCGGTGGAAGCTGCTTGATGTAGTCCTTGAAGCTCTGTGAGCTGCCCAGGCATTGCTACTCCGACTTTCCAGATGAGGAAACGGAGGCTCTGAGGAGTGAAGGCACTTCCCAAAGTCACACCGCTTGTAAGTGCCTGGAATTCAGACGAGCTCTTTCCACCATACTTTGACGTCCTAGAACCAGAACGGGTGCTAAATTCTCACTTTGCAGTGGCAGCCCAGGCTGGGGTGCCTCTGAGCTGGGCTGTTGGGGGCTGAGGGGCTGCATCCGGGGGCATGGGCACCAGGAGGATCTGGAATTGGCCAGGTGGTAAGGAGCTGCCTCTAGGGGTCGGGGAGAAGGAGAGGGGAGCAACCTGAAAGATGCCTTTGGTGTCCCTTATGTGGCTACCTCCGGTGTGGTGGTGGGAGCTGGGAGAGCCTAGTGGCTATGTGCCTGGTGTCAGTCAGATGAGTTTCAGGCTCCAGCCGGGTCTTAGCTGAGTGATCTGGGGCCCAATATGTCACCTCTCTGTTTTTGTGTGTACAGATGGTGGGGAAGGTTTTAAATGGGCTAATACTACCTGTAAATAGCTACCACAGTGTCAGATATACAGGAGCTCAATGGATGGGTTTCTTCTTGTTAGATCTGGAGCTTGATAGAAACAATAGGGCAAGGTGACATATCTAGGACAGAACTGGCCCAGAACCTGGCATGGGGGCCTCTAGATTGGCCTTGGCCTCAGCTGTCACTTTGTGGTCCTACAGTGACCCTGGATCACAGCGTACAGATCCCTTCCAAAATCCCTGCTCCCTCCTGGAAGCCCAGCTGTTACGGGCCATGGGCTCAAAGAGCTGGGTCTTTAAGGGAAACTCCTGGTGTGGCCTCTGTGTGAAAACAGTGCTGAGGGCTGTGTCACAGAGCTGCACCCAGTCCCCAGAGTCTCCCTCAGGCTGCCACACCCTCCCTGGGGTGAAGAGGAGGCAGAAGTGCTAGCTGGCCCCTGAGACCCCCTTCCCTGCCCCAGGACTACCAGACCTTGTTTATTTGTTCAGGTTGATAAAGCAGGATTCCCTGGACTCTGGCTGGGAACGAGCAAAGTGCATTGTTCTGCCAGCATTTCTGGGATGGGTTTGGAGCTGCAGCCAGGGCTGGGAGTGGGAGATGGGGTGAGGGATGGAAATGCATGGGAGCTGGCTTTCTCTGTTGCCTTCTTCTCCCTCTCTGGGTTTCCTAGTCTCAGCACCCCCAGAGGGTGGAGGGTAGGGCAGGCACGTGTCCTGGCTCCAGACCTCTGGCTTCTCACCTCCTCTGGAGCCCCTCTTTGAGGACCTTCTGCAAGACCAACCATAATGCTTTCACAGACCTCTATCAGGCCTTACTCAATGCAATGCACACATCATCTCATTTAATCCTTACCTCCTTGTGAGATCAGTCCTGTTCCCAATATGACAAGGAAACCGAGGCTCAGAAAGATTCTGTCTCTTGCCCAGAGCATTACAGCTAGACAAAGCTAGAGCCAGGAGTTGAATCCACGTGACAAAAAGATACGCTTAGCTTTATGCCAGATAGCTTCATCTTCATCATCAGAGAGAGGAAAGGTGTTTGAGCCCAGTTCAAAATATTCTAGAGTGAAGATCCAGAGGGAGAGATCATTCATTTGTTCACTCATTGCCTTAATCAACAAACCCTTTTGAGGGCCTGTTATGGGCAGGACCTGTGCTAGGCACTGCAGACATAGGCCTTCCCCCCACAGTTCATAGGGAGACTGAGCACTAAAGAGCCACAGTATGGGCAGTTAAGGACAGACGGGGTGCTATTAGGGCCCTATTAAGGGCAAGCTGTCCCTCCTGGTGTAGGGTAGGGGAGGTCAGGGAAAGTTCTTGGACACAGTGAGGTTTAAAGTGAGATCAAAGTGGGCGATGTGTTTAGGGTCCCCAGTCTGGGGTGACTGTTCATGCTTTTTCTCCATGCTCTGGAATAGGGATTTCCATCCTTGGCACTATCGACATTTGGGGGCAGGTAGTTCTCTGTTGTGGGGGCACTGTAGGATCCTGTGCTCTGTAGGATGTTTAGCTACGTGCCCACCTCCGTCCCTGCAATGCCCCCACTCCCCTGTCCCTAGGGGACAAAATCATCCCTGGTTGAGAATCACTGGCCTGAAAGAATGCCTGGCATATGGTGGGCGCTCACTAAATACTTGTGTGGATGCATCGTGCCGTCCCACCCCCTGTGGGATACGAGTTCATCAATGATATGGATGCCACGTGTAGATCCTCAAGAGCCATAGCGAGGAGTAAACCAGGAGCCATCGTTGCTGGATTGTTAGCCCTTTAGGTGAACAGTACATCATAGGAACAGTGGGGTCTATTAGCACCTATCAGGTTGATTTTGTGGAGCTATTTCCAGGTTCCAAGACAGAACTCTGTTCAAGTGTACCACAGTCTTTGGAACTTTTTGCTCATGCAGCACAAATATTGGTGGAGAGACATATTAAAAATTAAAGGCTCCATCTTTCACCCCATACAAATCCCTGTGCAATTAGTGAGGAGCTAGTTGGTGATGAATCATTGACAAACGTGTCAAGTTTGTTCAGTGCCGTGTGTATTACGCCACTGTTGTCTGCCCAGCAGCACCCCAAGTCCTGAGGGCACAGAGTAAAAGATTTTTAAAAAATGAAAACCAGCCATGTTTGTGTCTTTCCAGCTGAGCACTGACACTTTCCTTCCTGTATGTCCCCAGAGTCCCAGGTGTGACATTATAACCTCACTCGAGTGTAAGTTCTCTAAAGTAGGAATCAAGTCATTCATTGTTGCACTCCCCAAGTGCCCAGCAAAACAAGTGTTGCTGAATGAATGAATGGAACATCAGAGCTGAAAAAACAAAATGCCTCTCAGGAATCTCAGAGAGATTCCTCCTCAAGAGGGTGGAGGACAGAGCTCTGTAGTGGTCGTGGAAATTCACTGAACTTAGATTCAGACTGACTGGATGGTGGGCATAAGCCAAACCTGTTTCTTCCCCTGCAAAATGGGAATGTGGGTATATCTCAGAGCAGATGAGCTGACGTGTGTGTGTGTGTGTGTGTGTGTGTGTGTGTGTGTAAACAGCAGGTGCGTAGAGCAGATCATAAGATTAGGGTGGAGGGCTCAGATATACCATAGACAGGCCGTCTCCCATGCCTGCCAGGCTGGGCACTGCGCCCCTGCAGCCCCTCCTGACGCCTTCTCCCCTCAGGTGCCGTGCTACTCATATGGGCAGAAGCTGTCCAAACTGGCCATCCTGAGGATCGCCTGTAACTACATCCTGTCCCTGGCGCGGCTGGCTGACCTTGACTACAGTGCCGACCACAGCAACCTCAGCTTCTCCGAGTGTGTGCAGCGCTGCACCCGCACCCTGCAGGCCGAGGGACGTGCCAAGAAGCGCAAGGTATGCACCAGCTGGGTGGGCGGTAGCTTCTGGGGAGCATAGGGGAGGCAGGGACAGGAACTTGGGGGTGCCCTGCCTATGCCCAGAATTCTGAAGGGGCCAGAGAGATCAGCTCTTGGAGGTTTGCTGGGAGTTGCCTCAGCTTCAGTGCTCCTCAAATCCCTGGGATTATAGGTGTGTCTCTACTTCTGGTAACCGGCTGCTGGGTGACCTCGAACAGTCACCCAGGGTCTCTGGGCCCCGGTTTGCTCCTCACTTAAATGAAGAGGACCATTTATCTCTAAATCCCCTTCCTGGCCTTAGGTGCTCTGGTGCTGAATTCCTTGGGTGGCCTCTGATAGATGTCATACCAGGACAAGATTCCCCTGAGCAGGGTGACAGCCCAGGAGAGCCCTTTGGCAGGTTTTGGGAGGGTGACTTGGCCTGTGGGTTATCTGAGGCTATGCATTAAGGGCGGTGATGGTCATTCATTCATTCATTCTGGAGAGACTGATGAAGCTCCAACCATGTGCTGAGCATACTGGGCAGGGGTATAAAGATGACAAACATATGGTCCTGGTCCCCAGGCAGCTCATAGGAGGGTCAGGGAGACCCTCTTGTAAGTAGATGAGGGCAGGAGCCCTGTGCTAGGGGCAGTGGAAGGCCAGGTAGAAGAGAGACAGATTCACTCCCTGCCCACGGGAGTTTGAAAGGGCATCTTAGTGTAAGTGGTGTTTAAGCTGGGACCAGCAGGACCACCAGGTCACCAGGCAGATGAAGGAGGGAACAGCATCTGAGGCAGAGGGAACAGCTTGTACGAAGCCTGATGTGGCTGGGGAAATGCATTTAGTGGGAAAGGTGTTGGGCACAGCTATAGGTCCCCAGGTGGCCAAAGCTCTGGGCATTCCCAGTCAGGGGTCAGTGCTGAGCAAGGCTTAGTGCAGCCCTCCGGATCTCTGTTACCACGTGGCTTCAGGGAGAGCAACAGAGAGTGGGATCCAGTCTACATCTGTGAGGCAAGAGGCCTGTCCCTGCCTAGGGCAGGGGGCGGACCCTGTCATCCTCCATCCATTCTTTCCGCTGCCTCCTTCCTTCCTGGCCTGCCCCTCCCCCATCCCTGACATTCCTTTCCAGACCCCTTTCCAGCAGGCCCCTCTGTGGGTTCTCCGGGTTTCCCGGAGGTCCCCCACGGACTCCAGACTCATGCCAGGGAGGGTCACGACACCTTCTCAGGGCTCCCCGCTGCCGCTGCCACGGTAACTGCACGTTGCATTCCTGGGAGTGCTTTAACGTGGACCAATTAGACAAAATCCTCATCAAGTGGGTGAGAGAGGAAGCGCCACTGGCGGCTCTGGGCAGCTTTCCTCTGGAAAGTGACACTGGTAAATTAGGGCGTGATTGATGGCTCCCGCGGCGCTCGGTGACAAAGGAGGTTTGTAAACTCTCGGTGAACTTCCCCTGGCATTCAGGCGGTCCGGAGGTGTAGATGGGCAGAGTGGGCAGGCGCCCCGTCTCCATCTCAGCCCCTCACTGCCCTACCCCCGCACCCTCCTCTTCACCCAGGGAAGGCAGAAGCCAGCGTGGAGGTCCCGCCTTCCCGGGTTCTTTGAATGGAGCAGGGTCTTGGGCTGGGAGGAGGCTGGATGCCTGGCTGGTGAGGAAGGAGGGACAAGTTGGGTGGAGAGGCCCGACAGAGCCGAGCTTTTGGCTTCCCCTGAAATCACCTCAAATCTAACACATCTTAGACACCCTCTGGGCCTGGTCCAACCTTCCCATTGTGGAGTCTGGGACTTTACCTGAGGCTACAGATTGTGGTTAAGAGCATAGCACAGCCCCGAGTTCAAGCCCTGGCTCACCACTCACCAGCTGTGTTATCCTGCACCCATTGCTTAGCCTCCTCCGCCTCAGTTTTCTTGTTGATAAGTGGGGACGGTGGAAATACTCACTCATGGGCCACCGTGAAGATGAAAGGAGTTACTGCAGGAGAGCGTGTGGTGTCTGCATGGTCACCGTCCTCAGGGTAATGATAATGAGCCCCTAAAATGCTTGAGCTCTGAACTTGAGGCTTATCCTATGGGGCTTACTTATGTGGTGAAATTGCCCTGGAGAGGGATTTTGGGGGTCGAGATGGAAGTTCCAGGGTAGGAACTCGACTGTTTCCTCTCCACCCTCCCTCCCCCACACCCAGCCCGGGCCTGAGGGCACTTCCTGCCTCCTGCCCTCAGTCTTTCCCAGCTGGGTGAGGAGGTCACCCAGCTGGGACTCTGGGAGGTGGGGTCTGTATGTCTTTGCCCTAATGACCTTCATGGTCTCGCAGACTCACATCATATGTGTGGTGACACATTTCTCATATGAAACCACTCAGGAAGCCCTGGCTGGCCCTGCGTCTCCCCATGGGGGCCGGTGTTCATAATTCCAGCCCTTCCCATACCAGCCCCTTCCATAGTTTTATCTGGACGACCAGGATTTGACACGGCAGCCTTTGCAAGTGTGGGCATCTCAAGCAGCCAGATTCCTTTCCAGCTCAGGACCCCTGGAGTCGCTGGAGCCTTCGAGCTCCCAGGCAGCCCTTCCAGGCAGGCCCCTGTGTCCCGCTTCTGGGCACCTATGCTTTTGCGGTCATAATTGCTAGCTGTCACCCTCCATCTGTCTGTCTACCTGTCTTTCTCTCTGAGTCTGGCTCACACTGTTCCCCTCTTTATCCGCTCTCTTGGTGGGGATGTGTGGCCCCACACTGAAGCCCAGCATAGCTGGCCTTAGCTGGTCCCCTCGGCAGATGTCCTGCCCCAGAGTGGACTCATGGGCCCTGACACCGAGGGGGCCTGAAGCCCCAGGGGAGGGTACTTCCCTGCCTCCTGGGGCCCCTTGTCCTTCCCTTTTTTTGGGGGGCTTGAGATGGCATTGAATGAGGAGCCCATCTTTAGATGTGTCCTGGCTTTCGAGTTGCAATTGGAACCTCACCGGTTTTATTTTCTTCGTTTTGTGCCTCCCAGCCTGGGACTCCTGAGGCCCCACCTCCATTTACAGAGATTCTGTTTGGGGAATCAACCCCCAGGACAATTGAACCAACAAATATTCTTTCCTCATGTCTAGGATTATTTCTGTGAAAAGACTTGCAAAGGTCTACCAGTAGATTGCACGTGGTTATGAGTTTTTGGGAAGAGGTGACTGAGAGCATGCACTGCTCACAGCGCTCAGTCCTGCCACACCACAGCCTGGGAGCCAGGCAGGGGCCAGGGGAAGCCCAGGAACTTATAACAGGTGCTGGGAGGAAGAGCCCCTCTTCCCCACCGTTCACCCTCTTCAGCAGTTGTCTACCCCCGCTCAACAGGACATGTGACTACTGTAGGGGTCCCCAAGCAAGAGATGGGAATCTCAAAGTGCTTCTTGGTATTCCCTCTTCCCCTCCCCTCCCCTCTCCTTCCCTTCCCTTCCATGAACAGCTATTGAGTACCCTCTATGTACCTGACACAGTGCAGGTACAAAATAATTTACCACATAGTCCCCACCATCATGCAGCGACTGAACACTTCTTGGTCTAGAGGATTTGGGAACCAGGAGTGGTTAGGGTGAGAAAAAGGAAAAAGCAAACCAAAGAATTTCTGCTTCTAACACAAATTTCTAGCCATCAGGGGCCATCAGGAAGCTGTGGACTGTGGAGGGGACCCAGGAGGGCTGGAGAGATTGCCCAGAGTCCTGCAGGGGCACAGGAGGGCAGGAGAGGGGTGAGAACTAGAGCCTTCCATCCAGACCTGCTTTGCCCTCTCTGGGTCAGGAGGTGGGTTCATGGGTTGGAGTCCCCACCACACAGGGTCTGGATTAGCACACAGTCCCTGGGCCACCACCCTGGGGCTTGCCTCTTGGCGTCACCTTGGAGATGGCCCTGGGACAGGAGCGTGGGCCCAGTTTGAGTCTGAATGATATTACGAGTGTGTAGTTTCTCTGTGAGGCCCCTCCACCTGACTTCAGGCCACTGTCCCTCTCACGACCACTCAGGGTTGCTGGAGTCCATTGCTGTTCCTCTCTGGAAAATGAGATGACCACCTAAGGCCTACTTGCTTCCCAGCCCTTCCTACCCCAATGAGCCACGCTTGCCGCTCCATGTGCTGTGGCTGTGGAAGCCTGCCTGGTAAAGGAATTCCTGACAAGGTGCATGGTGGCCCATAGCTTCACAGTCACCCTCCTGGCAACTCAGTTGCATGTTAGCTGGGGTTTAAAGCCTTAGGGTAGAGGACTGCTGACAGGCCTGTCAGGCAGGGTTGCAGAAGCCTGGGAGCAAAAATCTGGACCAAAGGCTGTGAGGCCGCAAGCAGATGCCTGCTGTAGCAGCTGTGATGGCAGTGGTCATCGCTGGTGTGATTGGCGGCCATTTGAACTGTCCCATGCAGGGACTGCTTCCCTCAGAGCTACTGTGTCCAAAAGAGGCTGGGCGACCCTCCTTCAAGATGCCCACTTGGGAGGTTGAGCTCAGTGTCCTCTGAGGTCCCTCGCACCCCGAGGAGCTGCACTGTGGGTCCAGGTCAGCATTAAGAATGAGATTTAAAGGGCACTCAGCTCCCCCTCCAAGCCCAGGTGCATCCTTCCGCCCATCTCAGCCCTCCTCGGCAGGGGGTGGGGAACCTGCATTCCTTGGCCAGTGAATCCTCCCCTTCTGGGCCTCACAGATCATGACTTTGAGGATTTGGAGCCCCATTTGGAAGCCCCAGTAGTGCAGAGGCCCATGTCAGAGGCCGCCCAGCAGAGAGACGGGCGGGAGGCCTGGAAGGACTCTGGGGAGTTCAGTTCTGACTCCGGCTGCAGCCGGAGATAATGCACGTTAAGCACCTGGCTCTGGGCCACTTTTCCACAGCTCCTGTTTTTAAAGCAGCAACTCCTGGGAGCTTCTGAGGAGGAGGAGGGGAAAGAGGAAGACAAGGAGGAGGCAGAACTGTTCTTCCACACCTGGGCTGGGTGGGCCACCCCCAGATCTATGGAATAGGAAAGCACTGATTTTGCACAAACCAGGGCATTGTCTTCTAATGATTTTAAGCCATCAGGTAGTATAATACTAACTACAACAACAGCTACTCAAATTGATAGCATGTTTTGAGCCCTGGCAATAAATGGCCAGTAAGTTCCTGCCCTCAAGTTGCTCAAAGGCCCTGGTTTTGCATGGGAGACAAGACGAACCAGAAAGTGCTGAGTTGAGGGCTGTACCAGAGGCTTAGCCAGCAAGCTAGACCCCCCCGGGTGGTGTGCCTGCAGCCGTGTGCCAGTGCTGGGAAGGCGGGGTCTGCAGGGCTGGGAGGTTTGCTCCTGGCCCTGTGGGTAATCTGAAGCCAGAGGTGGCAATTAAGCCAGTGCAGCTTCATGAGATCTGTGTCCTCCCTCTTTTCCTTGCTGCTTTCTGGGGACAGGAGGCAGGTCCTAGTATGGCCTGGGTCCGCTTTGGAAGAACGTCTTGGGTGCAGACCCCGTAGCTTCGGTGCCAGGGACAAGATGAAGGCATATTGGATTTTGTCGGGTGAAGGGGGTTTGGTGTGAGCTGAGGGTGTGTAGGAGGGGCCCCCTTCTGTCTGGATAGCTGAGCCCAGGCCTCGGACAGGATCCCTGGGTGCCAGCCCCTTCTGTGGACTGTGGGAGGCGGAGTCTCCAGAGCCGCACCCTGCCTGGATTCAGTTCCACCTATGGCCCCTAGGGTGCCCACCAAGGGGCACTGTCCCAGCTTTGTTCCTACCTCCCATGTACATTGTCAGCCCTGCTGAGGCCTTGTCTCTGAAAAGTGAGGAGCTGTCATAAGTGATTTCTAAGGCCCTTGCCAAGCCCACCTAAATCCTCTTTCTGCTTTAATGACTGACCCCTGTGTTACTTCTCAGGGCATTTCACAGAGATTTGAAAGTCGCTCCTAGAGACTGTTGGGACCTCAGGGCGGTTTGCCCTGAGAATACTGGCGACATCTGATGTTCAGAGAGCGTGGATCATGTGCCAGGCATGTGCTTGGTGCTTCCCGGGTATCACCTCGTGGGCTCCTCTCACCAACCCTTGAGGTGGGGGACTGGTGTTGTCTGATGCACAGATGGTGAGTCCGGGGCTCCCTGAGCCCAAGGAACTTGCCTGAGATCACCTAACCACTAACAGAGGTGTGTGCCCCCAGCTCCTACTGCTTCCCTGTCCTGCTTCTCACATGGGAGTGGGGTTGAGGGGAGGTTGGTGGCTCACATATCCAACCCCCTCCCGGCCCAGTTATTAAGTTAAATACCATCTGCTTTCAAAGCCCAAGGAGGCCATCTATGCTGGGGAAAAGGGGGGTGGGTGGGAAACCACCATCAAATTCCCAACTAGCCATAAAAATGGATGCAATTTATTTTTTCTGGCATTCCAATTACATAGACGTTTGTCGCCAGCTGTTTGTTCTAACACGGAGTGTTCTCTCAGCTGCCGTTTCTCTTCTCCCATTTGACACTGTTAGGCCACAAGTCTGGCAGGGCCTGGGCTGGAGGGGTCATTGGCTGGGGAGCCTCCCAGGTGAGCTGAGCTGGCTTTCCCTGAACGTGGACCGTGCCTCTGAGGTTCCCCGGGTGGTCTCGAGGCGAGGCGCAGGGAAAGGCTGGGGTGCCGCTTCCTCCCTCTTTTCACACTCTCTGCCCCTTTCCTCCTCCTCTCTCTTTTTCCAAATTGCTCCCCACCCTCAACATGCGCTCCCAGACCCCACCCTTCTCCCCAACACACTGAGAATGAATGAAAACTCAGGATCTCTGACCTAGGGAGAAAAACCAGCTCTTCCTGCTCAGAAGGTCTCTGAGACGTGGGAAGTCCCCTCTGATGCCCTAACTGACCACACTGGGGAATGCAGAGAACCCCCTGGGGCACCTCTGAGCCAAGATTCCCCTCTGGAAGCCCCTGTGGAGGCTCAGTGGCTCTCGGGACGCTGGAGAAGGGGTGTCTGTGTAGGGTGGGGGCTAACCCCAGAGAACGCTGTGGTTCTTTCTGGTGCTCTGTAGTGCTATCATTTAAGGCACAGGAACGCACGCTATGGCGGCCCTCAGCAAAACTGTGAAGTAGGCAAAGTGCAGAGTTCTGGGGCTGGAGACCTGGATTTGAGTCCTGGCACTGTCACTCTCGCTCTGTGGCCTTGGGCATGTTATTTGACCTCTCTGATCCCCAGTCCTCTCATCTGTAAAGTGAAAGCACACAAATCTGCCTTGCTGCCTTGCTGAAAGGATTAAACAAGACCCCATATGAGAAAGGGCTGGTGTTCCCGGTGAGTGCCAGAGAGGAAATCTCATGAATTTATAGCTACAAGGTAACAACTTAATTGGAACCCCGGGAAGGAACAGCTCAGAAAAGGGCAGTGCCAGGGTGGATGAATGACCGACCAGCCAAAAGGCAGATGGGGAAGGACCAACCTTTCTGAGTGAGAGATTCTTTCCCCTCTAGCACTTCAGCTCAAACCCCTGGTCCTGCACCCTTAGCATAGGGTGCAGCCTGCAGCCCATCCAGAAATCCTCGGATGTCAAAGTAGAGGGAGTCATACCAAGAAACATGCATAACATGTGGTCATATAATAATGCTAATCGGCACTGCAGCAGACCACTGCCACCACCAAGCACATCAACCATGTGGTGAGTGCCATTGTGTCCCCTTATGGGCATCCCACTCACATTATCTCTACCCCGTGTTATACTAACCCCAAAGTTGGGACCACTTCCCTCATTGCACAGATGGAAGACTGAGGCCAGGAGAAGGGCGTAACTTGCCTGGGGCCACATGGCCAGGAAGTGGCAGAGCTCAGTTTCCAACCTGTTTTATCTCTTTGGTTCTGAGTTCTGAGCTCTTCAGTCCTGAGGCCAGCCCGCTGCCTGAAGCTCGCACACTGCCCAGCACAGTGGCCTGTGCCCAGGAGGCCCCCAGCAAGTGCCTGGTGCCGTCCCTTGCCCAGAGCAACAGCTCTTATGTAAGCAGCCCGGCTGCAGCGCAGTGCAGGCTCCATTTAGCTGTGGGGAGCCAAGAGCCTGCTGGTGGTGGCCCTGGTGGTAGCGAGGGGTGGGTTGGGCAGGGAGGTGTCATCAGCTGCGGGCACCCCCAGCTTTGTGCCGCCGGCGAGGACTGACACCAGGTTAAGTCGCCTGGCGGCCTTTGGCTGCAGCTGGGAGCGCGCCTGGTTCCCATTCGGGCGCTGTGGTTTTGATTAGCTGTTCTGCGAGGCGGGCCTGCTGGTGAGTCCATGGGAGCTCCGCTGGAACAGAGGGTCCCCCGCCCGGCCGCCGCGGCCCCCCCTCCTGGCAGCCCCAGACTCCAGATGTTCCGAGCGCTCGCTGGGAAGGCCTGCTGGCGCCACGGAGGGCAGAGGGCAGGGAAAGCACGCGAGCTGGAAGCCCAAGCACTCAGTCACCACAGGCCTTGGCAGCCCGCCCGGCCCTCTGCTGGCACATTCCCCAGCTCTCCCCTGGCCATCTGTTCCCAAAAAACCCTTTCAGAGCCTCATCATCACTCAGGATACAACAGCGCGAGCAGCTGGTTTGGAGGCAGCAGGGAAAACCGTGCAAAAGGTTCTTTGTGAGAGAGGAAACTCGCTTATGAATAACAGGACTGGACGCCGTAAAAGTTGGCGGCTGGAATTCTTGTTTCTCAGGCGCCGCTGTTTTCTCTTGACTTTTTATCTCTGGTTTTTATTTTTTTCCCGTTTTCTTTTAATGTTGTTTCTTCCTCTTCTCACATCAGTTGTGACTTTTCTTCCTCCTCTGCGAGCCCGAAGGCCACCTCATTAGTGCTCCTGACACTGCGGAACTTTTCTTTCTCAAGGCTGTTGTCACTGGGGATGGTTGAAAGTGACTATTTTCCTAAGAAAACAGCTGGAGGGGACATGGGAGCAAGAAGGTGCTTGGGAGCGCATCTCAGTGTTGAGGCTCAAAACAGGCAGCGCCATGGCAGAGTCATTCCGCCGTCACCCTGAATAAACCCCATGCACACAGACGAGAACAATGTCTCCTCAGAGGGAGGGTCTGGGAGACCGGACACCATGCAGAGACCCCCATCAGCTCATCAGAGAGCTTCACGGAGATGTTCTGGGAGGACAATCACATTCATAAATACGCCGGTGCCTCGGCTCTGCCGCTGACTGCAGCATGACATGAAGCCTTTTTTAAGAACTGGCTGCTGCCGCCAAAGCCTTCTGGGATATGTCTGCCTGGAACCTGGGCACCTCCTGGGAGCAGTCACTGGGTGGCCTGTCAGGGGCTGTGGGGTCCTGGGGCAGGGCCGGCAACTGGAAGCCAGCCCTGGGGAGGAAAGGAGAGAAGGGCAAGGCTGGGCTGCTTTCCTCACAGCCCCTGGACACTGAGGGAGGAGCTGAGTTGGGCCTGGGGCTGCCATGTGTCAGACAGTGGTGATGTGATGGGGGGACACAGGTCAGTGGCAGGGTACTGGGAGTTTCCCCTTTCCTTTCTCAGTTCTTTGCACCCATTTTCCATGGGCTGCCTCCCCAGATCCAGAAGCCCCAGCAGCCCCTCACCCCAGCAGTGGAAAAAGCCCGTCATTGACACGGCTGTGGGTGGCCGGCTTTGCAAAAGCCTCACATTTGGGGCTTTGGAGGGCTTTTTGCATTTCATCTTTACACAGGCTCCTGCACCTCATTCCTCTTGCCCTCCTCTCAGCTTTCCTCCCACTTCCAGTTAGAGAGATGGCAGCTCTGGCAGGACCAAATATTGATGTTTATCACAGTTTTAGGGCCATTTGTCTCACCATCTGAAGGGCTCAGCGCAGGCCCACGGGATCCTCTCTCCTTGAGTGACCTCTGGGGGCAGGTATCTGGTTTGGATGCTGGAGCTGGTCCCTACTCTTCCCTTGGGGGCCGTGCGGCCGGGTGCTCAAGTGTTTTAACCTCAGGACCCTGATTAGTTATCATGAAGCTACCCCACCAGCTCCTGGGTCTGTTCATGGATTAGTGGCATAAAGGACGTAATATTGTTTTGCAAAATCTGCTCTCCCTCCCATGTCTCCTGCCCAAGAAGTTGGTCTTCGTGGGGCCAAAGGCAAGGAGGACCCGAGGAAGGAAGAGGAACCACTGTCCCCAGCCCCTGGTATGGCATGGCGTCAGCCTAGTGACCAGAAATTGCTTTTGAACTCTGAGGCTTCCAGAGGACAAGAGGAAGAGGAGGACAGGGCTGCCCTGCCCACTGCTCAGCCTTGAGCCCTGCACCTGGCACAGTGCGAGGCCTCAGACAGGGTGTCAGCAGGCCCTGGCTCCCCACATCCCATCCTTAAACAGGCCATGCCCTTTCTACCTGCCCCAGCAGACCAGAAAGCAGTTTCCATGGGAAACAACAAACCTTCCTTGTGCTCCCAGGATAAGTGTTTCTAGAGGGTGAAGTCGGGAGCCATTCTCTCCTTTAACATCTTGCCACCTCTGCCCAGAATTCACAGCCACCGGCGCCTGTCTTAGCTGCCCTGGCTGTCAGCCCCACCAGAGCCCCTCCTGGCTGCTCTGCTGAAAGCTGGTCAGACTGCCTCACTCCATCCCCTACTTAGCTCCCCTAAGGCCTAGGGGGCTCCCTACAGGCCAAGGGATGAGGCCAGACTCAATAGAACACCTGATAGGCCCCCCAAGTGACCTGGCCCTGGCCGGTCACTCCCTATGTCCCAATTTACACCCCAGCAGCACAGAACTCCTTGCTCAAAGGGGCTATTTTTGGCCTCTGTGCTCATGCCATCCCTTCTGCCTGGAATGCCCTTCTCCACTGTCTGCCTGGCTAACTCCTGCTCATTCTGGAAGGCTCAGCTCCTCCTGAAAGCCCTCCCTGACCCCAACCCCAGCTCCTTCCTCAGGGTGTCGTAGCACAGGGATGCTTTTGGTCTAATTCAGGAGAGCATCATGTGATATGCTTTTAAAGTAATGAGTTAAAATGTTAGACAATATGAAACTCTATTATGTGATATATTAGATTTCATGTCATTACATTGTATTATATTATATTTTTAGGTGGTATGCTATGTGACATAGGATGCGATGTGATATTACATCCCATGACACTATGTTACACAGTGTTGGATTAAATGCCTGTGTCTCTGGCTAGACTGTGAGCCCCTTTCTCTTTGTGTCCTGTCTTCTGGCACATACTAGGGCCCCCAAATAATGACACACCATTCTTTCCACTAAAATCCACACTGCTAGGGCTGAATGTCCCTATGCTGATGGCAAGGGACATTCCCTTCTAGGGAAGGATTAACTAGGGGCTTTAGGACACAGCTAGGGAGATGCCCCTGGGCTCTCCTGTGCTCCAGTTGGGCTCATACCCTTGTTCCCTTGAATCTGCAAGGAAAGCACTGTGTTTCAAATAACAGAAACCCCTCAAGCAGCAGCTTAAACTAACAGGGGCTGGCATTTTTCATAGTTCAGAAATCAGCTGCTCCCTGGGATCCAAGAGTCCAGGCTTCTTTTGATCTTTGCCTCATGGCTGCAGAGTGGTTGCCACAGCACCGAGCTTTTCATCCTCAAGCTGCATCTACAGTCAGGGTAGGGGGCCATGCTAGGAAGAGTGTTTCTCCTCACCAGGGCAGTCAGTCTTGCCCAGACAGCCCCTCCCTTCCTCCAAAGGAAGATGCTCCCCTCGAACCCGAGAAAAACATCAAGGTCTGTCAGCTGGGAGGGCAACAGAGAAAACAGCCATGTGGCTCGTGTCTGGAGGGTTGACCCTGATTTGTGACAAGGTGGTTTTCTTCCTGGGGAGCTAACTGTTGTCATTACCTTAACCACAATGTCAGAGCCCCACTTCTTTGAGCTTGCCCAGTCCTCACCACAGCCCCACAAATTGGGTGTCACCAGCCCCATTTTCAGGTGACAGTGCTGAGGTTCACAGAACTGAAATGACCTGACTAGGCCCCCAGCGACCTCGTTCCTGTGCACTGCACTTTCCGGTTTGCAGAGCCCTCTCACACCCATGATTTTCTTGAATCCTAGAACAAGCTCCTGGGGTCCACATTATTAAACATGGGAGTGAGATGAGGCGAAGTCGCCCAGGCTCAAGCAGCTGGGCAGGGCTGGGTGGGGCTTGGACAGGCTGAATCCAGGCCACCGCTGTCCTCTGTCCTCTGTTCTCTCAAAGGTGAGGGTGTGAGCTTCAGGGGTTGCCTGGCGGCTTGGGGCCTGAGGCTTGGAGGCATGGTCTGAGTCTCAGCTCAACCACTCAGGAGCTCCGTAACCTCAGGCACTTGCCTTCAACAAGCTTCACTTTCCTCATAAAATATGGATAAAAGCAGGTGAGGAGCGTTTGAGGAAATGAGGGCTGTGAAAGCATTTTGTCAACTGGAGGCACAGCACTCAGAGAGGGTCACTGGAGGCCACTGCTGGCCCATCAGGAAGGTGGGCAGAGGGACTTCAGTGTCCCCTCCTCACGCAGTGACTTAGAGAATGTGCATGCATGCACACACGCAGGTGTGCTGGCGCGTCCGTAGGCACCGTCTGCTGGGGTCCGGTGGAGGGCCTCCTGCATGGTGGGCCGATTTCCCATGCACATGGGAAGGAGGTACTCCCTGGAAGGCGGCTGATTGACTTCAAGGATTTCAAAATTGCTCTACCTGCACAGGGCCCAGGAGCCATTAAAGATGGACCCTCAGTGGCAGGGCAGGGCAGGGCAGAGCCAGGCAGCTGGGCACATGTTGGGCAGCTCTGGGAGTGAGCCGTTTGGAGCCCACCTGGAATCTGGAGAGCCGTGACCGGGCATTGCTGAGAGCTGTCCATCCCCCTGTCAGCAGCTGTGCCTCCCGCCTCGCTTTCCTGCCAGCCCTGTTCCTGCCACCACCACGTACACACGAGTCCCTGCCACCACAGCCCACCCACCCCCTCCACACGCACACACAGGGGTTCTTCACTTGTTCAGTCTTTTTAGGTACCTGAGTGTTAAAAGATGAGTAAAACATGAAGGGCCCTGCCCTGCACATCTACTTAAGAATAAATCGCCCTGAGTGTTTACTCTGTGTCAGGTACTGTTCTAGTGCTGGGGGCATTTTGGAGAATAAAACAGAGGCCCCACCCTTCGGAACTCAGAGCTAAACTATAGAAAGGCTATGCATAAAAAATTCAGAGGAGGGCCCCTCGGTATGGTCTTTGGAGCCCACTGCACTTAGCCTGCATACAGTTCTTACGAGCTTGACTCTCAGGCCCCTCAGATCTGAACCTCAGAACAAAAACAGCCTATGAGGGCAGGGGTTGGGGTATCAGGCCATGGAGCAGGTACAGAGATAGCACCCAGAATCAGCCAGTGGCCTCATCGAATAAGAAGAAATAGACGCATGATAAAGAACAAGGCCAGAGGCTCAGAAGGACCGAGAGGCTGGGGGCCCCCTTAGTGTCAGGGCAGAGAGCCGGCAAGCCTCAGGGACCTTGGAATTGTGTGTGCACTGATGTTCGTGGACTTGACCTTGAGTTGTCAAGAGGAAGCTAAAGTACATCCAGTAATGTCGGGCTGAGAATGCAGGGAAGTGCATCAGTTATTGGGAAAGGGCCCATCCAAGCTGTTTTGGCACAGAAAACATGTGGCTTCCTTTCTCCAGGGAAGTCTGCTTCTGTGCAGGAGCCTGTTCTCCTAGGATGGCGGAGCTGGGAGGGCTGGGCTTCTCGTCTGTTTTGTTCACTTTGGGATCCCCAGAGCCTCCAGTGGAGCCTGGCGTGGTCTAAACGCTTAGTAAACATTTGCTGGATGAATGGAGCAGTGGAAGCATGAGGTAAGGCGGTGTTTTCAGTTGTTTTCCACAAATACCGAAGGGCGGCTCCTCTGTGCCCATACAGAGGGAGGCCCTGGTGATCTGAAGTGGAGACAAAGTTCCTGTCTTGAGTTGCTGATGGGTAAATGGGGTGGCTGGGGACCCTTCCTACCCCACCCCGATGGAGTCTCTGTGCTCCGACATGTAGCTACTAAGCACTGAGTGCTTGGCTTTGCAGCCATTGTGTTCTTTAATCTTCCTGACAAGCTCATGCAGTAGATACTAATATTACCATTTTATAGGTAAAGAAACTGAGGCACAGACAGGTTAAGCATCTTGCTCAAGGCCATGCAGCTGGTAGAATGGGGAAGTCAGGATTCAAACAGAGGCCGTCTGGTGCCATAGCTGGCACATTTAACCACTGTGCTGGATTGTTTGCCAGTGAGTGTGCACACGTGCATACGTGTGTGTGTGTGTGCGCGCGCGTGTGTGGCAGTGAGTAAAGACCTCTAATCAGAGATGTCCCTACCCCCACCTGGATCCCTCGGTGGCACCTGCATCTAGCTAGGGGAGGGGCTTAGGGACAATGGAAGAGGCTAGGGGAGGTGTTCCTCATCTTAAAACTGCATTTGCATGGAACGCACACTGTTTTTGCTGAAATCACTGGATTATTTGGGCTTCCCAAATGTCTCACGGCCTCTCCAAGCCACGGGTGCCCCAGTGGTCCTGAAGTATCCACAGCCGGGCTCCGTCCTGGGAGTCTCCTGGAGAAGCACTGTGATCTCTGCAAAGGCTTGCTGGCCAGCACTTTGGTGTGACTTGGCTTGTCTGGTTGGTTGGTGCCCATCAATCCCTGCTGTCACTTTGCGGTAAGGACTGGGGAGGGGAGGCGCTTCGAGAGGCAGCAGGGTGATGGGAGCAGTTCCCAGTCCAGAAGGAGGCAGGCCTGATGGGGACCCTCCACCGTGGTCGGGGCATGTGAACTTACATGTCGTGTGGGGGTGTCTGTGTAAGGATCATAAGTCAGGCCCACAGGGCAGGTGAAGAGCAGAGCCTTTCTCGTGTGGCTGGGCCACCAGTCTGCCCATTGGTCTGCTCTCCACCAGCCTGGGTGCCTCCTCCAGCCTGAGTGGGCTGCCCCCTCCTGCTTGAGTGCCCCCTCCAGCCTGGGTACCTCCTCCAGTCTGGGTACTCCAGCCCGGGTGCCTCCTCCAGCCTGGGTGCCTCCTCCAGCCTGGGTGCCCCCTCCAGCCTGGGTGCCCCCTTGAGCCTGGATGCCTCTTCTGGCTCTGCAGTGCGGCCATGGGCCTTTTGAGCTGCTGGCATCTGGAAGAGCAGTGAAGCCAAGTGCGATGACCGGACAGCATCGCAGGATGGAAGCAGATGGGAAGCCGCAGCAGCTGCCTGCAGCTTCGCCTGGGCCAGCTCGACCCTCACAATGCCCCACGCTGGGGGTGAGCTGGGGTGGGGGGCAAGAAAGACAGATAGACTGATGGATATGGAGAGAAAAACAAAGAAGAGGCCAAGGAAGAGTTGGCAGAGACACACAGGCAGAGCATGGAGAGGGAGACAGCTCGGCAGCCAGAGAGAGTGGCCTGCAGCCTGAGAAGGCGTCAGCATGGCATGGCTGCCTCTGCAGGCCCAGTGGGCTCCTCTAAGCTCTGGCCCTGGCCCTGGGGGTGCTGGGCCTCCCACTGCCAGCCACCTTCCCTTAGGCTCCAGGAGTCAAAGGCCAAGATTTTCTTAGAACCAAGGAGGTGACAGCTGGCTGGATGGCTTGGGGACCTGCCGTTCCTGTTTGCCAGTGAGGAAACTGAGGTCTGTAGGGGTTAAGGGTCTACCTTGCCCTGCTGCATCCTAGCAATGTGGCCTAGGGCAAGTGAGGTCACCACTCAGGCCTCCATTTCCTCATCTGCAACATGTGTGCAGCGGTAGGCACCTCCCAGGAATTGCAAAAGACAACGCATGCAAACAAGTGTGGCACGGTGCCTGGCAAGGAGCCGCCCTCCGTAAATGGTGGCACTGAACACTAATGCACTTGCTTCTGTTCCCAGGCCCTGGGAGGATGGGGTGCTCGTGGTGGAGGTGTGTGGGGTAGGTGAAGGGACCGTGGCAATCACACCGACAACCATTCGTGGCGTAAGGGGATGTAGGAGGAATTGGGATAAAGAGCTTCGGGAGTTCAGAGGAGGCACCTGTTGTCCCCACCTTGCGGTGGGTGTGGGGCTGGTGGGGGTAAGAGGGTGGACATGAGCAGGCCCTCATTGTCCTGGACTAGGGAGGCAGCAAGGACTCCAACTGGCAACCCCCAGCCCCAGCCCTGCACTTGTGGAACCTACATTCTAGTGGGTGGAAGTAACTCAAAGTAAGGGCCTGCAACACTGTGGAGTACATGGTAGGTGCTCAAGAAATGCTAGCCTAGGATACCTGGGACCCAGCACCACCTCTAGCATCTTAGCACAAGAAGGGCTCCCCCAGGTTACCTGCTCTCATCCTCAACATTGCCTGATGCAACGATTGTTTCTTACTGATAGGAAAGTTCTTCTGCACGGCCTTGACTGACTCCGAGGTTTGCAAACATCCACTGGCTTCAGTGAAGGAGGGGTTTGACCACTGGCCCTACCTTGCTCCTGACCTGGGGCCTGTGGGGCAGCTGTCTGCACAGCACGGCTGAGGCCTGTGCCAGTCCCCTCCTCTCTGGTGAGCAGCCTTGAGAAATACAGAAAGGACTGGGCGGAATCCACAGCAGCAGCCAGCAACGGTGGTCCTCAGCTTTCCCCTAGAGTTAGACTGTAAGCTGCCGCAGTGCCTGGGACAGGACTGGCCCCTATTAGGAACTAATGCATCTTTGTTGAATAAATGACTTTTTCTCCCCATTCTTGGTCCCCAGGCCAACTGTCCTGGCTCACTAAAGGCTCTGGCCATAACTGAAACTCTTAGACACTCGGGACCTTGAAGGGCCCTCCAAGCCCGGACACAGCACTATCCTCGATTCATGCCATGTTCCCGCCCCCCGCAAATAGCAGCCAATTCCAACTGCTCATAAATTTCCTGCCTGTCACCCATGGCACCCAGGCCAGGCAGGCAGGAGGTGCTGGAGGCCGACTGGTCCATACTTGCTTCCAGGTCCCTGGGGAGCTTGGAGGCCAGAAGCCCAGGCTTTGCGCCTGTGCCCAGAATAACCTCTGCAAAGTCTGTCCCTTGGAGAAGATGTGAAAGCAGATCTGTCAAACGCAAGGATGTCCAGGCTTGAGTGTTAAAGAAAACACCAGTGCAGCTTATGATGCAGCTTGTACAGCGTAATTCCACTTTTCGTAAAATACTGTATGTGAGTACGCATATGCATGGGAATAGCATATGGGACAATAGTTAACCAAATGTTATCAGTGGTTTGCTCTCCGTGGAGAGATTAAGGTGATTGAAACAATTTTCTTTCTGTTCACTCTTCTGTATTTTCTTTTTCTTTTTTTTGAGGCAGAGCACTTTGGGAGGCTGAGGTGGGCGGATCACTTGAGGTCAGGAGTTCAAGACTAGCCTGGCCAACATGGTGAAACCCCGTCTCTACTAAAAATACAAAAATTAACCGGGTGTGATTACATACGCTTGTAATCCTAGCTACTCGGGAGGCTGAGACTGGAGAATCATTTGAACCCAAGAGGCAAAGTTACCGTGAGCCAAGATCACGCCACTGTACTCCAGCCTGGGTGGCAGAGTAAGACTCTGACTGAAAAATAAATAAATAAAGATGAGGAAACTGACCAGGATGGTGGCTCACATCTGTAATCCTAGCACTTTGGGAGGCTGAGGTTGGAGGATCGCTTGAGCCCTTAAGTTTGAGACCAGCCTGGGCAACAAAGTGAGACTCCGTCTCTACAAAAGATAAAAAAAAACTAGCCAGGTGTGGTGGCATGAGCCTGTGGTCCCAGGTATACAGGAGGCTGATTGGGGAGAATCACCTGAGCTTGGGAGGCTGAGGTGGCAGTGAGCCTTGTTTGCACCACTGCATTTCAACCTGGGCAACAGAGCAAGACTCTGTCTAAAAAAAATAAAAAATAAATAAAAATAAAAATAAAAAAGATGAGGAAACTGAGGCTTGGAGAGGTTAAGTATCCTGCTCAGGGCCCCCCAGCTGACTCTGGGGCCAAGATGAACCCCAGTAAGAATCAAGAGCAGCATTCAGAGGCAAACACGAAGCCCCATTTCTAGCCCACATACTGGTGTACTTAACAGTGAAAGGCAAACTAATACTGTGGTTTTTGAAAAACTCTCCTCCCATGCCATATCTGCTCTTTTTTTCACCTTTTAGTTTTAAAATAACATTTGAAATCTGCCCTTTTTAGGAAAGACCAATTTAAAAAAAAAGTCAGGATTTCAACCCCATTGGAGGTTTATTCCTCCCTGCATGTAGAAGGCTGTATCAAAATTGCTTAAATACAAAAAATGTATAATTTGAAATAGTGGAAAATGGTTAAGTAGGTAAAGTGGGCATCATAGACTGACAATAAATGTAAAAGGTAAAATAACTTAAAGGCAGATAAAATCATTTTTTTAAATGCCCCAAAGTGGTAAAATTACCCTGCAGTGCACAGAAGTGATCAGGATAGGAAAACAATTAGAATTTTTTTTTTTTAAACTGGAAACGAACAAAAGCATAAAGGTTGCTAAATTGTTCCAGGGTTCATAACAATTACCACAACTTCCCTGAAAGTATAGATAGACCCATTTACAAAAATGCTCAATGTTACATTTGAAGTAGGAGAAACATCTTGCAATATATAAAGCCACAGTGAGTAAAATGCCTGTGACCAAAAGTAGCTATGATTGAGTCAACCAGTATTTATTTGTTGTTGTTGTTGTTGTTGTTTTGAGACAGAGTCTCCAGAGTCTCCCTCTGACACCCAGGTTGGAGTGCAGTGGCATAATCTCAGCTCACTGCAACCTTTGCCTCCTGGGTTCAAGAGATCCTCCCACCTCAGCCTCTCAAGTAGCTGGGATTACAAGCATGCGCCACCACACCCAGCTAATTTTTGTATTTTTAGTAGAGATGGGGTTTTGCCATGTTGGCCAGACTGGTCTCGAACTCCTGACCTCAACAGATCCTCCTGCTTTGGCCTCCCAAAGTGCTGGGATTACAGGCGTGACGCCTGGCCCAGCATTTACTGAGATACTGCTGTGTGTTAGATACTGTTTTGGGCATTGGAGCTACAACAGCAAACAAAACAGGCCACGTCCCTGCCCTCGTGGAGCTGGCATTCTGACTATAAACAAGTGAACAGATAAAAAGATGATTTCTGCTTGTGATAAATGCTCCCACTTTGCCACACTGACCAAATCACCTTGCTCTGATTCAGCACGTCAGAGCAGCTGAGAGGGACCTGTGAGGCCTCCTCATCTAGTCATTCTCAAGGTTAATCTTAGCAGCAGAACCTGTTGTTTAAAGGACATCTTCGGATGGGCACGGTGGCTCAGGCCTATAATCCCAGCACTCTGGGAGGCCAAGGAGGGTGGATCATCTGAGGTTGGAAGTTCAAGACCAGCCTGGCCATGGTGAAACCCCGTCTCTACTAAAAATACAAAAAATTAGCCGGGTGTGGTGGCGCACGCCTGTAATCCCAGCTACTCGGGAGGCTGAGGCAGGAGAATCACTTGAACCTGGGAGGCGGAGGTTGCAGTGAGCCGAGATCGTGCCATTGCGCTCCAGCCTGGGCAACAAGAGTGAAACTCCGTCTCAAAAAAAATAAATAAATAAAATAAAGGGCATCTTCTGTGGTGGCGGGGGTTCTGAGGACAGTAAGCTAGGGAGTAAGCCGGACCCAGAGCCTTGGCCGGCAGCAGAAACACAAAAACCCACAAAGGGCCAGTGCTGCGGGGAATGTAAGCCTCTCGCACTGTGCCCCTCACATGGGACACAGGATGTTGCCAGGCTTTCCATGAAAGGGGTTCTGTGGTGTGGTGGTCACAGCGCGGATGCTTGCTATTCTCCATATTTGCAATTATGCACCCCCACATGCACCCCCCGCCCCCCACACACAGCCACTTATGAAGAGGTATCATTGGCATCTTTGTCTTCTATCCCTCGGCCAGAGCTGATTGGTCCAGGGGAATAAATCAGACCTAGGCTAGACCAATGGGCGTCCTCCACTGGGTCTTGGGGATTGGCATGCTGGGAGACCAGGCCAGTCAGTAGTCAGGGAGGAAGGCGGATACCTGCAAGTGGCTGTTATTAGCAGGCGTCTAGAGGGCAGGGCCACAGACTGCCCCTGCTGACCTTTGCAAGCCCTTTGCTACCTATCCTGAGACCTTCCCCCTGGTCTCTGTGAAATGCCCTTTTGTAACTTTAAGTGAGCTTCCCTTTCCTGGAGGGTTGAAGTGAGTTTCTGCTCCTCACAATGCAGTAGCAATTACACGGTCAAATCAGTTGGGAAGGCTGGCTGCAGTGGCTCACACCTGTAAGTTTGGGAGGCTGAGGCGAGGGGATTGCTTGCATCTGGGATTTCAAGACCAGCCTGGGCAACATAGTGAGGCCTTGTCTCTATAAAAAATAAAATAAAAAATTAGCCAGGCATGGTGGTGCATGCCTGTAGTCCCAGCTCCTTGGGAGGCTGAGGCTGGAGGATCGCTTGAGCCTAGAAGGTCAAGGCTATGCTGAGCCATGATTGCAACCACTACACTCAGCCTAAATAACAGAGTGAGACCCTGTTTCAAAAAAAAAAAGTCAGTTGGGAAACTGGGTCATTAAAGCCACACAAATTTGTTTACTGCAGGACTTTTCGGAGCCTTTGACATGCTAATACATACAGTGACTTTCCAAGTGGGACCAAGGTATGTGGTATTTCCCAAACTCATGGAATGCCTCACCTAGCTGGTGTTCACAGAACACCTTTTGGGCAATGCTAATCTGCCTCCCCTCCCCTCACTGTACAAGTGACGGAATGAAGGCACAGAGCGGGAGAGTGAGTTACCCAAGGTCACACAGCTGCTGAATTGCAGAGAAAGTCCTGGCACCTGAGGCCTCCTAGTGTTCTTCCCATTACATCCCAGTTGTCATAAGACTTCCTTGGATGGATGATGTATGTGCTGAGATTCTTGGACCGAGGTGGTGGTGGTCCAGTGTAGACGCCAGGAAAAGGGTGAGGTCGAGAATTGAAGGTCAGGCCTTGGTGAGAGAAACCCCTGTCTCCTTTAATCCTGGATGGTAGCTGTGGCTTCAGCGGGGACTAAGAGCCAACAGACGGCTTGGGGCTGGCCCCAGGCTGCCCTGACCGCCTTTACAGCATGCCCAGGAGGACGGCTCCAGCCAACCCAGCCTCCCCTTCTTCCTCAGGCCACGGGCAGGCTGAACAAGAGAAAAACCTTTTCTGCCCATGGCAGGGCCCGCCCAGGCAGCCAGCGCCGGGATGACGCGAGCTGTAAATCACCCCGTGGACCACAGACCCAGTGCCATCCCCACGGGTTTCCTTTCCGCTTCTTAATCCTCCTCCTCAGACTCGGTAACACAAAGCAGATTCCTGCTGGGGCCAGCCATGCACAGTGGGCTTGGAGAATGTGAGCCTGGGATTTACCACATCAAGATGCTCCCGCCTCTCACTTTTCCTTTTCTCCCTCCTGAGCCACTATTAGCTGGAGAGCACTCCCTCCCTCTGGCCCGGCTCCCTCGCCCTCCTTGGACCCCACTTCAGCCTTGCCCCAGACTTGCGTCTTGGCTGGCTGCCCCGGCCCACGGGGCTCACCAGGGCCTGTGGTTAGCAGGCCCTCCACGTCGTGGTTTGGCTCCATCCTGGCTCCCCAAGCCTCTGTCTCAGTGAGAGCAGCCTCTGTGTGGTAGAATGAACACTGCCGATCTGGATTCAAATCCTGGCACTGGCAACTTCTAGCACTTCCTTCTCGGAGCCTGGGATTGCTCACTCATGAGAGGGGGGAATGGGAATGCTCCCTGGCAGGTCGGAGGTGCCTGACAGATGTTTTGCTTTAAAAATAACTACTTATTAATAGCTGTTGGTTGAGGGTTGGAGCACGAATCAAAAGGGTGTTTGGAGTTGCTTTAAGAGGGTTATGTTGTACCAGGTTCAGGGACTTTGTTATTTTTCATCCTGGGTGGATCTGGAGGTCTCACAGAGCCTCCCCACCGGCTCTGACCTCCCCAGAGAGCTAAAACCCCACAGGCCCCATGACCTTGCCCCCTGTCCCATCCCTTCCTGGTAGCCAGTTACACCGTCTGCTCAGAGCGCCAAGTTCAGCTGCCAGAATGAGGATTGCACAGATCAGGGCTGCAGGGAACTTAAAGGTGGTCTAACCCAGCAATTTTCGAACTGTGCTCCTTAGCACCCTGATTCTCAGACATGTCCCAGGCTCTCTGTTGGAAGGAATGCAATAGGTCTCTGGGTCCCCCTTCCTCTGTGTCCCCTGACTCCACTGCAATCAAATAGACAGACACATGTTTTCTGTGTTAGTGTTCCATGTACTTCATTCTCCTGCTTAAAAGGAGCTTTCATCGATCTGCTCCAGCCACGCCATTTTACAGATGAGGACACTGAGGCCTAGAGAAGTCAAATGACTTGTTTTAGGTCACCCAGCTGGCAGGTGAATGTGCTACAACTAGAGTGGGCCTTGTGACTCCTAGGGCAGCGCAAGGAAGCTGCAGATGGCCATTCCAGTGGGACTGAGCCTGCAGAGGAGCCTGCCACCCCAGGGTGGGGACGGGCCTCTGAGATCCCTCAGAGGGGTGGCCCTGGGGATTGTGGTGTCAGCCCCAGGTGTCCCCGAGCTTCCAGCGGCCCTGGCTCCCACTACCCACTGTGGTCCTCTTCTTTCCCCAAACCAACCAAAACGCAGGGCCTCTGAAATGCAGCACTAAGGAACAGGGGGACAGTGTGGGCTCTGGAGGCAGCCAGGCCGGGGTTTGAATCCTGGCTCTTCCACTTATCGAACCCTTCAAGGTGGGGGCCCCTCTGCCTGGAGGACTCAGTGAAGGGACATTCTGCAGCTGTCCAGAAACAGGAACCAGGTGGAGCAGGGGCAGCTTTTAATGGCTGGTCATGTCTTTCAGGAGTGACTGGCTGCAGGCAAGACCAAGGCCACCACTGTGGGCCCTCCTTCCAGTCAGGCCTGAGGACAAGGTGAGCTCGCTGAGTCCAGCCTCGTGGTCTTCTCCAAGATGCCGCCAGATGCCCAGCCTACAGCCTCTCAGGGTCGGATCGGAGCACGCCTGCCTCCCTCTCCCCTCCGCCCTCACCCAGCCAATCCGAGGCTGCTTCGCACTTTGCCCTCTGCCTGGTGGGGAGGGGAGAGCTCAGCCCCCGACTCACTCAGACCCCAAGGCCCACTGTCCAGCTGCAGAAATTCGTTGCCAAAGATTGGACAGAGACACCGAAGGAAATGGGGTGGTGAAACCCCACAGCGAAAAGCCACACCGTTGCTCTGTGACTTTTGCTCCTCCTGTTGCCTGAGCCCCATCTCAAGCCAAAGATGAGTCAGTGGTTCTGCTAGGAACTCATGGAATGGATGGGCATTTGATGACCCCTGGGGGTCATCTTGGCCCTCTGACCTGGTGCTCTCTCTCCACTGGGCCTTGTGCTGGCTGAGTGCAAGACAAGCCTTAGGGGCTGTGAGAGGGAGGCTGGGGTGCCTGGGCGGGGCTGGGAGTGGGACCTGAGATCCCTGCCCACTCTCTCCCCTTCATTGGCTGCCCAGGCCACTGGCCCCAGTTCTCAGTGTCCCTTGGGTCCAGGCTCCTTGGGCCCTAAGCATCACCAGAAGGGAGTAAGCAGGGAGAGAAGCAATATTACTCCCTCCCCTACACCAGGGACTTGCCCCAGGGCAGCTACCTATGGGTCTTTGCTTCCCCAGCCAGCCTCTCCTCACTGTGACCCACCCCCATGGGCCCCCGTCCCAGGCAGCCAGCACCATGGGCAGGCCCTGCCATGGACAGAAAAAGAGTTTTTCTCTTGTTCAGCCTGCACGTGGCCTGAGGAAGGAGTAGAGGCTGGGTTGGCTGGAGCCGTCCTACTGGGCAAGATGGCGCCCCACTTGGAGGGCGGTGGTCTGTTACAGGGTGTGCAGGGGCAGAGAAGGAAGGGACCAGGGGACTGGGCCAGTATGTGGAGGATGGGGCCTGCGTGTTCAAAGCCAAGGCCCGCCCCTTCCTTGTGCTCAAATGGCCAAAGCTGTTCACGTCTGTGCTCAACCATCTGCTTCAAATTGAAGTAAAAGCCCCAAAATGTCAAGAAAATACTTGTGTTGAGTGGACTCTGTGGGTGACCAGGACTTTGGCCGGTCATCAGCTGGGGAGTGTGAGGGAGGGGGTTGGTTTCTACCTACAGGTTGAGAGCCCTTCAGGATCAGGCGCTGTCCGAGTGAGAGTGTGTGTGTCTGTGTGTGGAAGGGGGTGGAGGGCGGTTCCCACAGTAGTCTCAGCCTGGACTAGTGACCAGGAGGCCTGGTCAGGAACACATGAGGAGCCCTCTCTGTCCGCACTGCACTCAATCTGTACCATGGATTTATGAGATAGGGGCCCCTATTATTAACCCCGTTTCACAGATGGGGTAACTGAGGCCTCAAGTAGACAGGGTCAGTCGGTGACAGAGCCAGTCATCGAATCAGGATGGGCTCACTTCAAATCCTGTGCTCTCAAACCTTTTCCAGCCCCATCACCAGTCCCAGCCCAAAGTCTCTTGTGTGGCCTTGTCACATTGCTTCACCTCAGCGGGCCTAAGGTAGGGACAATAAAGGCCCATTGGGACTGGGGGAAGGGGTGATAAGATAAAAAATAGGAGAGCACTGTCAAGGCAGAAGGGACAGGGCTGGCCAAGGAAAGGGGGATAGGAGGGGACCGGAGGCTGCAGCCATACAGGACACAGTTTGTCCCTTGGTTTCACCAGTGTCACTTTCTCGTCTCTGCTGCTCAGACTCCTGGGCTGGGCTGGGGCTGGCTGCAGGGAGCCCCCCTTGCAGTAGCGTTTCTCAGGCTGGCCCTTTACCAAGGACCACAGTGTCCATGCTGTCTTGGATCCCTAGGCTGGCACAGAAACAGGGGACCCAGGTGGCCCTGAGCACTCCTCAGAGCAAAGGTGCTCTGGAAGCAGACTGGACAGAGTGGGCATGGAATGGGGCCAGGAGGGTCTGTTAGGAAGGTTCAGCCACCCTGTGAAGCTGGCACAGATAACAGCACTGCTCTGTTGTCCCTCGGAGCCTCTGAGTAACCCTGATGGCACTTCCTAAGGCAGCAGGACATGTGGACTGACCAGCATCAAACTGTTGACATAGAAGACCATTTCTATTACCAAAGGGAGTGTACCCCATTCTGCTGCCAAGGGAGCAAACCCATGGCCTTACCACCCAGAAAGAGCCCATCCTCCACCTCCCATCCCCCTCCTGCATACATACTTCATTACATGTTTCCCTTTCATTCTGAAGCATCATTGATGACCAGCTGCCTGTCAGACACTAAGATAGGCAGTGGGAATGAAGAGATGGATCTTGTGTCATGCATGGCATCACGGAGCTCTGGGTTCTGTACGGAGGGTGGGACAGACAGGTAGACAAGCAAATAATTATGATTATAGCAGATGACTAAGGTGTTGTCGGGAGCTTCAGGAAAGGAAGAACTAACTCTTGGGGAGGTTCTCAGGAAGGATTTCCCTGGAAAGTAGCCATGGGACTTGCGTCTTAAATGGTGAGTAAAAGCTTTCTGAGCAGGGGAGTAGGAAAAGGGCTTTCTATGCAGAGGAGCACTCAGCGCTGGCAGGAAATTGGAATCACCCAAGGAGATTATTAAATATTAAATATTGATATGAAGTATTGATGCCCAATTTCATCTCCAGAAATTCTGATGTATTGGTCTAGGGTGTTGCCTGGTCATTGGGATTTTTACAAGCTCCTCAAGTGATCTTAATGTGCAGGCAAGGTTGAAGCCGCTGGTCTAAGTGGGGTCTGGTCTACGATAAGAAAGTGACTTTGAGCCATCGATTTGGGAGACAGGCTCTGGGTGGATGTGTGTGTGTGCACACATATGTATGTATGTGGATGACTAAAAGTGCATGCTCTCCTCTCCTTTCCCAGCTTCCTCTCCAGCACAGCAACTTGTGTTCGTATGCACACACATGCATACTCTCTCTCATGGGCACATGCATACCCACACACACACTCGTGTACATTTCCAGAAAATGGAATTACATTTCAGATAGATTCAGATTCCAACGGCAGTCTTCTAAACACTTTTATGCAAGCAGCCATTCAAGGAGACCCTCAGCAAAATATAAATGACGAGGAGCTGCCCTCATGGGGCCCTGTGAAAGCACTTTGCAGTCCAGCCTTGGGTTTGTGGTCACAGAGTCACCTGTGGATGTTTGTAGCACACTCTCCTTGTCTTGTCTGCTCTGGGTCACCAGGCACAGGCCATAAAGGGATGAGGGGGCCCTCTCCAGGGACCCGCAAGATCTTCCTGGGTATGTCTGCATGAAGCCCCACGTGTGCACACCCATCTTCATGTGTGTGTGTGCCAGCCTCCTGCTCTCTGCAGAACAAAACCAGAAGGAATGGCTCTGGGAGTTGGAGATCTCAGCTCACAGGCCAAGCTTTGCAAGACTCTCCAAAGACTGCCCACAGACTGTGCTGCTTCCTGGGTCTGGCCTGAGACTATCCCAGAAGAGAGGGTTAAATTCTGGAGGTGAGGTTTTGAGCAAGTGTTCATCCCCCCACACTATGCTCCTTCCTGTCTCCATGGCCACATCCTTCAAGGCTCTGTGCTGTTCTCTTTTTTTCTGGATTTCTCCACCTCCACCAAGTTCCCCTTTCTCACAGCTAGTGGAGGCATGAGTAGGCAGGTCCCAGGGGCTGGGAACTGGGTAGCATTGCCATGTGCAGGGACTGTGTTGGGAGCTGCAGGTACAGAGCTCCTCTGTGCTCAAGAGCTTGCCGGTGAGCCTGGACGGAGGCATAGGTGCAGCTAATTAGGATAAGACAGGGGCCGCGCTGTGGTCAGCCGTGGGAAGCCGGCGAGGGGACTGGAGTTGGGGCTACACTTGCCTCCCTCCTATGCTGCTTCCTGAGCCACGAAGTGGTCATTGCCAGCATCCCAGGCAACAAACAGCAAGACTCAGACATCTCCAAGGAAACCCTTTGAGTGGATCTGTACCGTTGTTCTCGTCTTGCTCTCTTGCTGCCCTGCCACCTTCACAGCTGCTTTCTGTTTCCTGGTTCCAGGAAGACAGCGGGGCACAGGGTCCCTGCTTTGTGAGGAGCAGCTGGCTTCTCCCTTTGCCCCCAGGTTTTGCCCTCCCACATGTCTCCCTTCTGGTGACCCGGACCCCAGACAAACTATGCCTGCCTCCCTGAAGCCAGGCATCCTGAGGAACTTGATAGACAAACAATGACAGTGTTTTCCAGAACTGTGGGTACGTGTCTAATCTCAGATGGTACTATGAATTCCTGGAGATCAAAGTTTGGATCTAATTCAACCCCTGATCCTCGAAACGGCTTTCTTGCAAAGTGTATATATTGGTTTCTTTGCTGAATGAATGAATAAAACATGGAAAATGTGGTAATTCACTCATTTTTGTTTTCTTCCTTCCACAAATAACTCCCAAGCATCTAATTTGTTCAAGACCTGGGGAAAACAGGACCCAGGCCAGGTGATCTTTTATATGGCTTCGGAGAGGCTTGAAGGGAGAGGGGCTTAGAGCCGAGAGAAGCCTGGCCTTGGACCTTTTTGCTCTTTATGTGGCCGAGTCTTTGAGAACTGAGCGAAGAGGACAGCATCACAGCACACGTGCTGGCACACAGGCACTGAATGAACAGTTACTGAATGTGTAGATGAGTGAATGAATGCCGCCAAGCCTCCTTACAGCCCTGCCTCGGACATCACTAATCAACAGTGGCTCTTTTTCTCCAGGGGCTCCTACACTGCCTGAATTCCGCTCCAGACAATGCTCCAAGCAGTTACTACTAATGGATCGGAGAGATGAGCTCCCTCTGCCGCCCTGGTCCCGTGGCCTCCCTGGAGTGGGCCAGCCTCCTCGGGCCACCCCAGCATGGCGTGTTTGAGGTGATGTCAGGAGCTTCAACTTCACTGTTGCTCACGGGCCATGTGGCTGCCTCCTGACTGGCCTCTCTGTCAATGGTCTGTGACTTCCAACCCTGCCTCTGCCATGGCTGATAGGGGTTTATTTCCAAACTTCCTCCCTGGGCCCATTGCCTCCAGACTACAGCCCAGGCTCCTTAGCTGACCATCATGATGGTCTTGTGTGCCCTCCAGGTCCACAACATCTCCCTGTCGCCACTGTCTGGGCATGCCCACAGCTTGGCCGTCTGGGGGTGGTGGCCAAATCCCATCCTGAGATATCATTAACAGCCCCTCTTTCTCAGCCGTGGCCCTGTGTCCTTCTCTCTGGCTGCCCATGAAACAAGATTCTTTCTGATCTTAATGTTTGCTGCAAAGGAAGCAGTTTCTTTTTGTCCTAACATTACCCGGCGTTGTATCCCGCCTAGCGCCTGGGTCCCCGGGGAACTCTAGTTCTTTCAATCCCAGAACCTGGGGCGGACAGAGAGGCCCTACTTAACCTGGCAGCAACAACCTAGATGGCCGCCCTTCTGCCCTCGGGGCTCATCTTGCCTTTTCACATATAAATAAAAACATCTCCACTCCCACGCCATGTTCAGTGGGAAGCCAGCCCGGCATTGCCCGTGTCTCTGAGGATTCTCGAGGGACTTACATCCTTGGCTTTGATCTTTGGGGCCCACTGAATTCATCTCTTGCTCAGGGGCTCCCTATGGCTTCCTCCTTCTCTCTACTTTGTGGCCCTCAAGGGAACACACACACCTTTCCTCAGTTTCCCCAAAACATCCCTCACCCAAGGCAGTGGTGTGGAGAGGAATTATTTTTTCCATTCCTGATGAATCTTTTTAAATGCTTACATGCATGAAAAAACAAACAGGACCTTGCCTTTTACTTCCTAACTTATGCAGCTGATTTCATGTATTTTTGACAGGTTCATCATGTTTCTGGCAGTTGTAACTTTTTTCCCTTCTGGCTTCACTCCCTGGTGCTACATTTCTGGGCTGTGACTCACCCAAGGTTGTCTCACAGCTGGCACTTAAATCTAGTATTTTTTCTTCATTCTAACATCTTCCCCTGCCCCCCTTCATGCCCATCACCACCAATATGGTGGCTAATGGATAGACTATGAGCAAATACAGCAGCTGGTGAGGGCGCTCACCCACCCTCGGCCGCGCAAGTATCCAGGATCTCACCTCCAGGAGGAAAGATGCACCTCCCTGGACGAGCCAGCCTCTCCCCGGGCTCTCTTGTCACCAAGGCTTGTCCAAAGGCAGCAGATGGGCCACACAGCGGGGAGTGAGGCCAGGACAGAGCCTGCCCCCTCCCCAAGAAACCGGCAGAGCCAAGCCTGTGCCCCCAACCACCTCCAAAGCCATCTGGCCCACAGACAACATGCTTTCATCCTTTGGGATTTCATTTCCAGCACCACAACCAGAAGTTTCTAGAGAATTCCCCTCTGGCAGGCACACACATGCACATGATACACACACACACAAACACACACACACACATTTTTTCTTTTTTTAAATAAAGAGCTCAAAAATGTTTCCAAATCCCAGGAAAGGAATCTCCATTTTTGGAGAAGAAAATAGAACAAAACCAGCAAGTTTATTTATTTCTTTATTTTTAGTATGCTTTGAGATGGCCACACTGACCTTTATTTCCTAAATAAAAATCAGGACAAGAGGTTTGATGAAGATTTAAGTGCTTTTTCTGGACAGGTCCTGGTATGAGAGGCAGCCTAGGAAGTCAAACATTGTAATCTGGGGAGCGGCTCTAAGATGAATAAGATTAGGCTGTCTAAAAGCAACCGATTCAATGATCCTGTCCGTTGAGGACCACAGTGTAATATATCCTTTTCCTAAAGGCTCTGAAAAGTCCTGCAGTAGAAAAACTCATTTAACTTTTTAAACTCCGTGCCTCTCAAAGTTTTATGAACACTTATCCTTTAAAAAAATGTATTATGGTAAAATATCCATATGGTAAAATAATATTTAGCATTTTGACCATTAAGTGTACAATTCAGTGGCATTAAATACATTCATAATATGGTAATATGTGCAACCATGACAGTTATCTGCACCCCAAACATTTCCATCATCGCCAACAAAATTAAACACCCATTAAACAATCTGCACCCATTAAACAATAATTCTCCCTCCCTGCCTCCCCCCAGCCCTGATAACCTTTATTCTACTTCCTGTCTGTATGAACTTGCCTATTCCAGGTACTTCATACCAGTGGAATCACACAATATTTGTCCTTCTCTGTTGGCTTATTTCACTATGTGTAATGTTTTCAAGGTCCATCTGCGTGTTGGCATGTATCAGAATTTCATTGCTTTTCATGGCTGAACAATGCTCCATTGTATGGATAGACCACATCTCTGTTGATGGAGAACGCTTATCCTTTATTACAGGGACCCATCTCTCATGGGACACCAAGAAAGGTCCCCAGAACATAGTTTGGGCACTGTTGGTTTTTGGAACCACTAGAATGTTTGGATTTAGAAGGGGCCAGGATGTTCATGTTCTTACCCACACGGTTGCCCCAGGCACTGACAGAAGGCCTTCAGTGAGCTCAGTCTCCAAACTTAAGGCAAAGGCTGAAGCCCTGAGTGGGGAAGCTGTCTGGGAGGTACCTGGGGAGTGGTCACCCCTGGGGGGAAAGCCGGGGCCAGCCTTGTTCTCTAAACTCCACAGGACACTTGGTCCTGCTGGACTGTGGGGCCTGCTGGGAAGGCTGACAGCTCAGTGTTGGTGCCATCTGTCAGGGCTGCCTTCCCTGGTTTTGAGAACAGGGCTGGACAGGAGCCAGGTTTGAGGGGAGCAGTTGCCCGGGAGGCCCTGGCCCCTTTTGGCAGCCTCACAGGTCCTGTTCCTACAAGGAGCTGGACACGCTGTCCGAACAACTGCCCCTGCCCTTCCCTGTCAGCACCTCCCACGGAGACCCCTTTCTAGCGGGCAGACAAGCTGGGGATTAATGGGTTAGGGGGCCCAGAACCCCAGTTCAGGCAAGTGAGGAGACGCCCAGAGTCGAGCCTCCATGTTGTCCACGCAGACAACATGGGTCCCTCTGGGAACCCGAAGGCCTGGGCTCCAGCTTGGCCCGATCCTTCACTCCATGCCTGCAACCTCTGAGGTCGCTCCTGGCTTGGCAGTCTCCCACCTGGTCCTCACACTGCCTTGTCCCGCCCCGATGCTGGGGTTCAGGGTCAGATTAAAACTCCCCTCACTGGCTCTACTGCCCCCGGAGACCCAGGGTGCACCCTGTTCTTGCTGAAACAGCTGTATTTCCCCTCCTGAGAGATTTTCTTTTGAGCCAGAGAATTATTTGAAAGAGCAAAGACCTTCCAGAGTTGTTAAACAAAACAACACACCATCTCTAGAGGAATTACAAATAAATGGGGATTCACCCTTCAAATCTGGATAAAGCTCCCCTCCCCAGACCTCAAACTTGCTGCTCAACTAAAGCTGCTTTGACCTTGGACCAGACCTCCCTGTGCCTGGGCCTCCCAGGACATGTCCTCTCTCCCCCGTGGCCTGGTTCCTTGCACCTCCATCTGTCTTCCTGGCTCCGTCGTGCACTCCTGGAAGGCAGAGAGTGTGGTCATCTCCCCAGGGCAGAACGGCCCTCAGGACCTGCGTTGATGCAGCGCTGCTGGCCTGGGCTAGAAAAGTTTTTCGCGATTCTCTGCCCTGGCGAGTGGCTGCAGGGTCCTGCCCACCCCAATGCAGCCCAGCCCGGCCCTGGGGTTATCCTGCAGAGCCCAGTAGAGTCAGGTGTGGGAGGGAAGTATGAAGTAGGATGAATGCTCTCGGCACAAAATGGCTAAGGAGCTGGAGCCAGACGGAACACACAGTGAGGGGAACCCCGAGAAGTACTGCGCTTCTCCAGCCCAAAGCCATCTGGAGAGACTGAAGTGAATGTCTCGCGCACACGACAAGGTGGCAGGGTTCATTCCTCCCAGGGCCCATCTGCAGCCCCCAGCCCCAGGTCCTGAGCCTGCCTTGAGGCCTGCCTCCCTGCAGAGCTTTGTCTCTGTCTCCCACTGAGCCGGGCCTCTCCTCAGGACCCCCTTTCCTCCTCACAGAGGCCACCCCTCTCAGAGCCAGCCCTCTCTCGGCTCTCCCCGCTTTATCCTGGCCCATTCTGCCTCAGCTGCTTTCCTCAGTGCGTGGATTCCAGTGGCAGCAACATCTGCTGGGCACTGTCTGGCCCGTGGGTGGTCACAGGGTGCCAAGGACCCTAGTGCTGTTTCTTGGCCCTGCCACTCACTGGCTGTGTGACCTAGGGCAAGTCGCTCCCCTCCCTGAGCCTCAGTTTCTCTTTGTAAAAAGTGGTTGGAAGAGATGGTGACTAAAGCCTCTTCCAGGTACTTAATGGACGCAGCCTGTTCCCCTGCTGAGATGCTGTCTTCACTGGCTCTGCGCCTCCGTCTCCCTGGTTTGGCTCCTGCTTCTTTGGCTGCTCCTTCCAGGCCCCCTTGGCCTGTTGTCACACTCCGGGGCTCAGTCCTCGGGACTCCCCACTCAGGCTGCTGACTTCCAATTCCTGTCTGTATCCCAGAGACGGAGAGGATAATATCTGCTCATTCAACACCAGACTGAGTTAAATATCTAAGGAATTTCTACTCTAAACCCAGCGTTTAGAGCCAGCCCTGCCCCACTGGCCATCATCCACCACAGGCAGGCAGAGGCATTTCATTCCGTCTGCCTTCCCCCTCAGCACTGGCCCCGGTCGGCCTGTCCTTGCCCAGGTCCTCTGGGCCCCTCCCAGGGCTGTGGCCTTCCTTTGGCTGGGACCTTAGGCAGGGCTCATTTCCTCCCAGGCCTGAGCACTTTCCCAAGGAGCCAGCGCCTGTCCCTGCTGCCCAGTGCTTCCTCAGAGGCAGGACTTTGGCAAGCACTGCCTTGCTGCTGATGAGACTTAATTAACGCAGGGATCCGCTTTCCTCCTGGCCCTGGGAGAGAGGCGCCCGCCTTGGAGCTCGAGGACACAGGGTACCCCATTGTTCTCTGGAGAAACACAGCTGCCCCTCTGCAGCTGCTGCCCCGGGCCTGTCAGCTGCCTTCTCTGCTCTCGGAGGTCCTTCCCACTCTCCTCCCTGAGGGGCTTATTCAAGTGCCCACCAGCAGAGATCCACATCCTTCCCCTGAGCTGGTCTCTTCAGGGTGTCCATGGTGCTGACTCCACAGGTCGAGCATTAGGCCTCATTGGACTGGACGTATCAGGCATCGGCGCAGCCCGTTCCCCTGCTGAGATGTTGTCTTCACTGGCTCTGCAGCTCCGTCTCCTTGGTTTGGCTCCTGCTTCTCCGGCTGCTCCTTCCAGGCCCCCTTTGCCTGTTGTCACACCCCAGGGCTCAGTCCTCGGGACTCCCCACTCACTCAGGGCCACGCCCTTCATAGGCTGCTGACTTCCAATTCCTGTCTGTATCCCAGAGACGAATAGGAATAGATATCGCTCTGTCTATCACAATAGATATTCCTATCTGCATCACCCAGAGCGAAGCTGAATCCTTGCCTTCAAGGCCCCGCACCACCTGCCCTGGCACCTCCCTGACCTCACCTTCACTGCTGTCGTCTGTGTGGTTGACACACCAAACCCAGCCACTCTTTGCATTAGGCCTTCGCATCGGCTGTTCCCCCTGCCTGGAATGCTCTTTCCCCAGTATCCGTTTGGCTCGTTCCCTCATTATCTTCAGTCCTCTGGTTGAATAGCACCTCCTTAGCAAGCCCTTCCGTGATGGCTCGATCTTATTTATTTGTTTGTTTGTTTGTTTGTTTTTTGAGACAGAATCTCACTCTGTCGCCCAGGCTGGAGTGCACTGGCGAGATCTTGGATCACTGCAAACTCTGCCTCCCAGGTTCAAGCGATTCTTCTGCCTCAGCGTCTGAGTAGCTGGGATTACAGGTGTGTGCCATCACATCTGGCTAATTTTTGTATTTTTAGTAAAGACGGGGTTCCACCATGTTGGCCAGGCTGGTCTCGAACTCCTGACCTCAAGCGATCTGCCCACTTCGGCCTCCCAAATTGCTGGGATTACAGGTGTGAGCCACCGCGCCCAGCCAATGGCTCTATTTTAAATCGCAATACTCCCCTACTTCCCCTAGCACTCTCTCCCCTGCTTTATTTTCTCCATAGTACTCATCACTCTCTGCCACGCTATGTCAGTTTGAAAACACTATCACCTCCCTCTAGACCGTAAAGTTCATGAGAGCGGGGGTTTTTGTTTTGCTGACCACTGCATCCCTAGTGTCTAAACAGTGCCCCCTTGGGGCTTTTTGGAACTAGGAATGCTGTCCTCAGTCTCCAGTAGCTGATGAACAAATATTTGTTGCACAAATGGATGAATGCTTCATTAAATGTACTTGTACATGTATCTTTATGTCCTGGTGGTTTGACTTCTGTAGACTAGATCATGGAAGTGTGGTTATTCTGTCCAGTGTATGTATAGAGTATTTTTAATTTTAATAAACAACTCTAGATTACTTTCCCAAGAGGTTGAAGCAATTCATGCCCATTTCTCTGCCTGTGCTGGACGTTATCACACTTGAGTTCTTGCCAGTCTTCTGGGGAAGCAGGGAAGGCATCTCATTGCTTTAATTTTCATTTTCCTGCCTAATAGAGAAGAACATTGTTCATATTTATTGACCACTTGAATTTCTGTTTCTGTGAATTGTCTTGTTTATTATAGTCTTTGCCTATTTTTGTTTTTACAGGGGAGGTGGGTGGGGGAGGACTGACGTTTTCTAACATGTGTGTAAGACGGAATCTGCATTTTTTTTTTAAAGCATCCCAGGTAATTGTGATACTTATGGCCATTCCCAGCGCTATCGCTTAGTATGAGGATCCTCCTGGTCCGCTACTGCCTGGCAGGCTCTGGGGTCCTCTATGGGTTTTAGAATGAAAGGTTTTAAGGTTTTTTTTCATTGCTGGTACTCTGTACTTTCTACAACGATCTTGTGTTACTTTTTTAAAAAGGATATTAAAAAACAATCATAGGAAAACCCTTGTACTGTAATACCAAGTGGAAAAGCATTTACAGTTAGGATGTACTTTCTGATGAGAATGACATAAAAAGGCTCTCTGTATGCAGAAAACCCTAGCAGTGAATGGCCAGAATGAAAACATAGGATTGTGGGTAATATTCCTTACAATGGAAGTTTTCCTTACGATGGAAGGCAGACAAGTGGGGGAAGAAGAGGTGAGGGTGAACCCCTAGTGGAAAAAGAGTGCCTGCTGGAATGGTAGCACTTGGGCTAAAATACCCTCCTTTTGTGGCTTGGCAGACATCACTAATTAATCACTTCAGCAGTTCCTCCTAAGCTCCAGCTTGGTCTTAGAATCTTTCTCAGCCCCATAGTCCAGAGAGCTACTGTCACAGATCAGAGCTGGCAGGCGACATTAAACCCAGTCACCGTCCTTGCCTGAGCAGGGGACAGCGCAGTCATACCTGGCAGCCAACTCTCTTGCTGGGGCAGCAACAGGCTCCCTGGCAGCCCTCGTGGCTATGTTGGGGCTGCAATCCAGTTGGCTGCTCCTACCTATCTGTGCCCTGGGGGTGGGGGAGGCACCTGGGGTCTTTTCAACCTGCACTGGCTCCCATCTCTTATATAGAGCATAGCTTCCTGGACTCTCTTCTCCTCCCAGCCCTGGGGGCTTGTTGGAAGTGGGAACGTTGTCCTCAGCCTGATGCTTGGCCCTGATGCAAAGTCCACATGTTTTTTCATCATTGACTTTCAGGGTCAACATGTGGACCCTGGACCCTGGACCCTGGAACATCCCCTCCAACACCACACCTTGGCCACTCTCACCATTTGGGCGACTCTGCAGCCTCTGACCTCTGCTTTCATGATTTTTGGCGTAACCCCTCTCCACTCACATGGTCCCAGCTGTGACTTCGTGCCCTGATGCTGTGTTCACTGGCACATCCTGACTGTCTAACCAGGCCCCTGGCCCCGCCCCACCTGCCTGCCCTGCACTTGGCATGACTCAGAGCTGACAGGTTCACCAGCCGGACTCACTGCACAGCGCCAGGAATTCCTCATCAGTCTTCTTCCTCTAGACCAGCTTGGGGTGGGGGCCGTGGGGGGTTGATTAGAAAGAGTAGGAAGAAATATTTTTATAGCTTTTTCTGGTTTTTTTTTTTTGAGAAACAGTAAATGATATAGAAAGATAACATAGAAATATATGAGGAAATCACCAATAATCTAATCACCTGGAGATAACCACAGTGACTGTGTTGGTGAACATCCTTCCAGGCACCTCTCTGCCTCCACACTCACTGACATATACATATGCACATTGTCATAAATGGCATCGTGCTCTATTCAACCTGCATTTTTCACTCAACTATATGTCATGAGCATTTTCAAGAATGTCAATGACGAAAAAACATGTTTTCTTCTCCTAGAATGTAAATTATATTCCACAGGATTCTTTTTTTTTCCTCCTAGCATATTTGTGTTTTTGTTTCCTCTGAGGCAGAAATGTTATTAATTTCCCATTTCTCTCCCATAGTAATAGACCACCAATTTCTAGTTGTGTGGACAGCCACTACAATGAAGACAATGTATCTCAGCTTCCCATGGGGCTCTGTATGGCTGTGGGACTGAGTTCTAGTCAACGGGTGCAAGCAGAAGAGGTATGTGCAACACTGCCTGGATGTGCCCTGTGCTAGGTAGTTTTATATATGGCCATCAATTATTTGACAGTCCTTCTTTCATTTAGGTGGAGGCTTAATTCCCTTCCTTTAAGCATAGCCTGCACTTTGTGACTTGCTTCTAATGCATAGAACGTGGTAGAAGCAATGAACACCTGAGGTTGAACTGAAGAGGCAGTTGGCTTCCTTCTTGCTCTCTGTCTCTTGCATCATCCACTCTGGGGAAAACCAGCTGCCATGTCATGAGGACAATGTAGCAGCCCTATGGAGAGAAGACCCATGTGGCAAAGAACCGAGGCTTCCTGCCAACAGTCACGTAAAAGAGCCATTTTGAAAGCAAGTCCTTAACCCCCAAACCAGCCTTCAGGTGACTGTGGTGCTGGATGACATCTTGACTATAAACTCTGAATTCCTGACCCACAGAAACTGAGATAATAAGTGTTTATTGTTTTAAACAACCAAGTTTTGGGGTAATTGTTTTGCAACAATAGACAACTGATACATGCCCTTAAAAGGATGGGCGGGTCTTCCCTTCCCCTTTACCCTCTCTCTGGATGGAAGGTGGATGTGCAGTGTGCCATCTGGGATCTTGCAGATAAGGGCAACATGCTAGGGATGGAGGAGCAACAACATAGAGGGGGTCTGGGCCCTTGATGGCTTCATAGGACAGGGTCAGCATAACAACTCAGACTTCTAAGTGAGAGGAACATGAATGTCTATATTAATTAAGCCAGAGCATCCCAACCAATGCTGGGCCTTCCTGGAGTGCTGTCAATGGGTTGCAGGTGCATGAAGCTACTGATCCCCTCTGTCTCAGGGCCAGTTGCTTCTGCATGTAAGCAGCCTGCTATGGACTGAATGTTTGTGTCTCTCCAAAATTCATATGTTGAAACCTAATTCCCAATGTGATGATTTTCGGAGGTGACTAGGTCATGAGAGTGGAACTTTTATGAATGGGATTAGTGCCCTTATAAGGGACTAGCAAGACCAGAGATTTTTCCCTTTCCACCATATGAGGACACAGCAAAAAGGCACTATCCATGAACTAAAAGCAGGCCTTCACCAGACACTGCTCTGCCAGTGTCTTGATCTTGGACTTCCCAGTCTCCAGAACTGTGAGAAATAAATTTCTGTTTATAAGCTATCCAATTTACAGTATTTTGTTTTAGCAGTCTGAAAGAAATAAGACACAGCCTTATTCTTTTACCCCCGTGAGCTACACAATTATTACAATTTTCTCTGTGTGCTGTGATGGGAATAATGTTTGGGAAGCTTTGGGTCTCTGTCATGACAGCCAAATTTTATCCCAACAAATACATTCTCCAAAGTGAGATGTGGCTTAGTACTTTTAACATATGCTGCTCTCCTTAATCAGGCTATGGGACACTCGTGCTCTGAGGGGTATGTCAGGTCTTGGCAGGTGAGGTGGCAGGTACTACAAGTGGTCGGGCTTTCTCTAGGTCCCAGAGGCCCCAGGTGTTTGTGATCACTCCCCTTGCCTGTGCAGGAGACTGATTCTGCAAACAACAAGAGCGAACCCTCCTCCCGGCCTTGGGGAACCACTCACAGTTTGCTTCTGACTCCAGCTCTCTTCCCCCTGAGCTGTGTCTGTATCCCAACCTCCCTTCTCTTCTCAGGCTCTGTCCGCTCAGGAACACAGATGGTAACAGTGCAGAGGTGGACACTGCTTAATAACATCATTTCTCCCTGAGGACGGTCATGGGTCACACACCCAAATCAAACCAAGCCTCCTGTGGACAGAATTCTATTAGGAGGTATGGGACTGGGGCTTTCCTGATGTCGCCCACTCAGAAGAGCAGAATCTCTATTTTAATGGCTACATGTTATGCACGGAATATTTGTGTCCCACCTAATTCATATGTTGACATTCTAATCCTGATATGATGGTACTCAGAGGTGGGGCTGTTCAGAGGTGATGAGGTCATGAGGGTGGAGCCCTCATGAACGGGATTAGTGCCCTTGTCATAGGAGCCCTGGGGACCTCTCACACCCTCTTCCACTGTGTGAGCACACCACTCAAGAAGAGGGCAGCTTGTAACCCAGGAGAGGCCTCAGCAGTACCTGACCATGCTGGCACCCTGAGCTCAGCCTTCCAGACTCCAGAACTTTGAGAAATACACTTCTGTTGTTTAGAGGCCACACAGCCTATGGTACCATGTCACAGCAGCTCAAATGGACTGAGATGGTGAGGTTCGCCAGACCCAGGCAATCTGCTGGATGTGTCCTCCCCTTTGCTTAAACTCAGGGTTATATGAAGTAAACAGAAGGATCCGTTTTAGCATGAGTGACATCACACTGTAACATGAGAACCATACACATTTTGTGATATTGCTTTTGCAGACTTAGATCTACAAGACCATAAAGATTCCACAGTGGTGGCTGGGCACAGTAGCTCACGTCTGTAATCCCAGCACTTTGGGAGGTCGAGGTGGGCAGATCGCTTGAGGTCAGGAGCTTGAGACCAGCCTGGGCAACCTGGTGAAACCCCGTCTCTACTGAAAATACAAAAATTAGCCAGGCATGGTGGTGCATGCCTGTAATCCCAGCTACTTGGGGGACTGAGGCAAGAGAATGGCTTGAAACCTGGAAGGGAGAGGTTGCAGTGAGCTGAGATTGTGCCACTGCACTCTAGCCTGGGTGACACACTGAGACTCCATCGCAAAAAAAAAAAAAAAAAAAAAAAAAAAAAAAAAAAAAAAAAAGATTACACAGTGGCTTCTAGTCTCACTGCCCAGTGGCTCCTCATTAATAACTGATAGGAACTCCAAACAGCATGGCCAGGAGACTGCATCAGCTTGGACCTGGTGGATCCCTCTTCTGACAGGCCCTGCTGCTCCCTTCAGCTCTCCACACTGCTCCATGCCCACAACTGCTAGTCTTGGGATTGAGTGTTTATTTCAGGGCTCTTATTTCCAAACTAGTTCAGTATCTGCTGAGGTGATTGTTCAAATTTTGCTTTGAGCATTAAGTTAGTGAATTTTTTTCTTCTTTTTTTTTTGGAGGGAACAATTTTTTTATTGTGGTAAAATATATATAACATAAAATTTAACATTTTAAGCATTTTTGGGTTTATAATTCAGTGGAATTAAGTACTTTCACAGTGTTGTACAACCATCACTACTATCCATCTCCAGAACTTTTCATCACCCCAAATTGAAACTCAGAAGGTATCAAACAATAATTCCCCATTTCCCTTCTGTAACCCATGGCAGCTCTATTCTACCTCTGGTGTCTATGACTTTGCCTATTCTAGATATCTCATCTAAGTGGAATCATACAATCTTTGTCTTTCTGTGACTGGCTCACTTAGCATAATGTCTTCAAGACTCGCCCATGCTGTAGTATGGGTCAGAGTTTCCTTCCTCTTAATGGCTGAGCACGTAAGTTTTTAATCCGTGGATTTCACCAAAGGTTGATGTTTCTAATGCATTCGGCAAAATTCCTGCAGACACTTACTAAATGTGGAGTTGACTTCTCTTTTTCCTGCATCATTCTCTTCATTCTCTATACAGTGACTGTGTGACATCTGGTAGTGCGTGGTTAGGTGTTTCATTCATTCTCTCGAATGAGAGGAGGTCCTCCCAGGTTGGAGGTCTATGCTAGCAGCAGGTGCTCTGTGGAGCGGTGCCAACAGTGACACCGAGAGACGCCCCTCTCTGGTGACAGCTCCGGAGCACTGCCTGTTACTCTACTCTTATATTCTGGAAGCCTCATCAACATCATGCTTTGGTATTTTTCAGTGTGGCTACACATTTCTTACTTCATTTAATCCAAATGCCCTGATGGAGGCTATGTGTCAGTAACCCTTTTAACTCTGAGGAAACTGAGGCCCAGGGAGGTGATGGCTCTTGCCTCCCCAGGAGGTCAGTGGCAAGTGGGAGGCTGAAGCTTAGGGCACCCAAGTCCAGGACTGTTTTCTGCTTACCCCTCAGGGAAGGTGGCAGAGGCTTCAGGTTCCCTCCTTTTTGCACTGGCTTTTCTCCTCCTACCTTGATGGGCATGGATACACTGATAGGGGTTGGAGAAGGTGGGGAGATAGGGGAGAATAAGCACCAACCTTTCAATTCCTCAGCTTGTGCAAACCTTGTTTCTTTTGAACTGTCTTCAGGGCTGAATCTGGCACTCTCAAAAGGCAAGGGTAGGAAGGTGGCAAGAGGGGCTGTAACCACTTCCTGGGGACTGGGGCTAAAACCACGGGGCTGGAATCTTCCCCTCCCCCTGCAGGAGGATATCAGGAACTACAGCCATTTGAGAATAAATGATTCTTGCATATGATTTAAAAATTATGAAATAAAGGAAATGAGGTGAAAAATCTCTTCACTCTTGTCACCAGCAGCCATTTTCTTCCTTACAGGCATCAATGTTTTCTACTTTTGCATATCTTTCCTGAGGACTGTTATGTATGCATATATACACAAGTACATACATACACGTATACGTATGTACGTATGGGTATGTGTGTGTATATATATTCTTGTTTCATTTTCTCCCACAGATAGTAAGTATATTATGCATATTGCCCTGTGCTTTATTCTTCCAGCACTTTCACATAATATATAATAGTAATAGCACTGAACATTTATTAAGTGCTTACTATGTTCTGGGGTTCTGGGTACTGCTCTAAGAACTTGGTATGGGTCAATAGTCTTAATACATTTCATCCTCACAACAACCCCATGAGGTAGCATCATTTTTTCAATCTATACATAGTAAAAAAAAAACCCATGCAAGCTAAAACAACACTGAGATACTATTTTTCATCCGTCATGCTGTTAAAGATCAAAAAGCTCACTAACACACGGTGTGGAAGAGGGTGTGGAGACATTGATACTCCATAGATTTTTGGTAAGCAATTCAGCAAAAGCTATTACCATTATAAAGACAAATAACTTTGATTCAGCAATTCCACTTCTAGGAATTTTTCCTGCAGATACACTTTGCAGATGCTGAATGAGTGGGGCACATATTATTCATGCACCATTGCATAATAGCAAAAGACTGGGAAAAAGTTAAACATGCATCAGTAGGGACTGGCTACATATGGTATATTAACATCCATTTATTGAAATATTAGGCTGTGGGTTTTAAAAAAATGAGTAAATTATTGATGCACAGAGGTGGTGTTAGTCTGTTCTTACACTGCTAATAAAGACATACCAGAGACTGGGTAATTTGTAAAGAAAAAGAGATTTAATGGACTCACAGTTTCACATGGCTGAGGAGGCCTCACAGTCATGGCGGAAGGCAAAGCAGGGCAAAGCCACTTCCTACATGGTGGCAGGCAAGACAGTGTGTGCAGAGGAACTGCCCTTTTATAAAACCATCAGTTCTCATGAGACTTATTCACTATCACAAGAGCAGCATGGGAAAAACTCGCCCCCATGATTCAATTACTTCCCACTAGGTCCCTCCCACAACACGTGGGGATTATGGGAGCTACAATTCAAGATGAGATTTGGGTGGGCACATAGCCAAACCATATCAGACTGGCTAAATACGACATATGATATGATATATTAACATCCATTTATTGAAATATTAGGCTGTGATTTTTTTTTAATGAGTAAGTTATTCATGCACAGCGGTGGGATGCTCTCCAAGATGGAGAGGCAGTGCAACATCATGGTTAAGAATCCAACTTGAGCCAGGCTTCCTGGGTTTTAAGTCTGGCTTTGCTGCTTATCAACTGTGCAAAATTGGACTGTTACTCTACCTCTCTGCATCTCTGGTTTCCTCATCTGAAAAGTGGGGCTTGTAATAATAACACATTGTAATACCTCCAGCTAACCCTCAGACAAGTAGGAAATAAACGGTCATGGTCATATGCCACTGGAATTTTTTAAAAATATTTTTTACACAGCATGAATGCAGTGATAACTAACTGATACAAGTGCACAGTAGTTGCTCAATAAGTATTGCTTAATAAGGAACTGAGCAAGTCCTTTCTTTATAGTGGGAAACTTCACAGGTTACCTGAAGAGCAACTCCATGTAGAGCCCAAAGAGGAAGCTCAAGGTTAATATTCAACATACAACCAAAGCACTGGGGTTTTATTTATTCAGCAGGCTGGTTTTTTTTTTTTTTTTTTTGAGTACTGGCTGTGCTAGAAGCTGACACACATACAAATAGAGTAAGGATTGACCCCTGTCCTCAGAGCACACACTCTCTGGAAGGACAAGATTTATAAACAATTAATTATAAGTATCGTGGCACTTGCTGTAACAAAGGTATGCAGAAAGTGTGCAAAGGAGGTAACAAGCATTTCAGCCTGTGGTGGATGCAGGGTGAAGGAGGTGAAGTCATGGGAGTTGGGGTGCCCAGTGAGCGGTAAAGGGATAGAAAGCTGCAAAGGTCAGCCAAATCCAGCATGGGAAGGGCCTTGAAAGCTTGGGAAGGAATTTGAGTGATACAATTTTTTGGCAGAGGGGTGCCATGATTTTGGAAAGATCACTTTGGTGGCAATGTGGAAGGTGCAAAAGGCGGCTATTGCAGGGCCCAGGATGTGGGGTTGCTTACATCAGACCTCCTGCTACAAGGACAGAATTGATCGGGGACAATTTCTAGGGACAGGATTGATCTGGGGGGTATGTGGCCCCAGATGAGGAAAGAGAAGTCCAGGAGGTGGTAAAATAAGTCCTTTCTTCTAACTCCCCTGCTAGGTAGGCACTGTACCAGTTAGGAAGGCATTTGGCTGCAGGTAACAGGAAACCTGGTTCTAGAAGTTTAATCACACAGGGGTGCCTTTTTCTCATAATAAGAAATCAGTAAATGGTGGTTGCTGACTTTGCTGTGGTAACTCGACAACTCTGAGATTCTTATGGCCTCTCCTCATGGTCTTAATGTGGTTGGTACAACTCTAAGTATCGTGTCTGTGTTTAAAAGAAAACCAAGAGGCAGAAAGGTGGAAAGAGAGGGCCATACCAGCTGCACCCTTTTGTCAGGAAACCAGTTTTACTTGACATTTGCACCCCACCCCCTGCCAGCTTCCACCTATATCTTATGGCCCTATCCTGGGTGCAAGGGGGCTGGGGAACTGAGGAACAGGCTTGTCATGCTCAGTGGAGCCTCTTTGTGGGACCAGGCCCATTTCCATTCCAAATGAATTGGGTTTGTTACAAGGAAGAAGGGGAAATAGATATTGATAGGCAGAAGCATGTCCCCAAACATGGCCAGAGATGGTGTATCTTCTGCCATAGGAACTCCTGGTGCATGGCACGAATTCAGACATCCTGCCTTCTGGACCTGACACTATGAAGCCCCACTGTGTTTCCCCACTCCCATTCCAGGCCTCTGCCTCAGTGGGTCCCAGTTCATCCCTGTCCATCCCAGAGGGGCCCTCTGAAGTAGATCCAGGCCCTGGGTGGGGGCAGTGGCTAGTGCTAAGCAGAGTGGGACGAGAGCACCATCACTGAGTTCCCTACTGACCGTTTCTGAGCTGAGCTGGCACAGAGGTCCTGGGAACAGAGGCTGTCTACAGCCTGGTATTCTGGTAGCACAGAAGGCTCCTGGAAAGCCATCTAACCCATCTTGCTGGTCTCTTCTTGTGGCACATGATAGTAAGCCATGAGGACTCTTGAGGACAGATGGGAAGGTCATATGAAAACTCCTAGCAAAGTGCATTTACCGTGGAACGAGGAGGACCTGGATTCTTCCAAAATCCAACTTGGTGATAAGCTGAGTCATGCGTGGTAACAAATGCCCCGACAAGTATAATTGCTTAAACACGAAGATGTATTTCTTGTTCACTCTGAATGTCCATCGTCAGTTCACAGGGGCTCTGCTCCATGTCTCTCCACTCTGGGATCCAGGCTGATGGAGCAGCCACCATTTCTAACTTGCTGCTTGCTATGAGAGAGGGAAAGAAGAGATCTGGAGGGTTTACTGTGGCATTTCCTTACTATTTATTTATTTATTTATTTTTTGAGACAGTCTCTTATTCACTCAATGGCCCAGGTTGGAGTGCAGTGACGTGATCTCAGCTCGCTGCAACATCTGTCTCTCATGTTCAAGAGATTCTCCTGCCTCAGCTTACAGAGTAGCTGGGATTATAGGCATGCACCACCATGCCCAGCTAATTTTTGTATTTTTAGTAGAAACGGGGTTTCATCATGTTGGCAGGCTGGTCTCAAACTCCTGGCCTCAAGTGATCCGCCCACCTCAGCCTCCCAAATTGTTGGGATCACAGGGGTGAGCCACTGTGTCCAGCCTCACTATGACATTTAAATGCCCTGATTTGGGAGAAACTCACATAATTTCTGCTCACAACAAATTGGCCAGGGCCAGTTTCATGGCCCTGCCCTACCACAGAGGGGCCCTGAGTGTGATCTTACCACGGGCCTGGAAGACAGAGAGTAGGGAATGCATTCATGACAACCACAGTGACCTTGGGAAAGTTGTCTTAGTTCTCTGGGCCTCCTTTTTTTCACCTGAAAGTAGTGTTCTTAAAGCAAAGACAGAGTGGTTAAAATGGCTCTTAGAATCCCTCCAGCCACTGGAGATAGCCATTGGCTAAAAATGAACCTCAAATTAACCTCATACCCCATACAAAAATTAACTCAAAATGGATCACAAACGTAAATGGACTTTACAAAACTATAAAACTTGAAAAAGCATAAGGGCAAATCTTTGGAATCTGGGGCTGGACAAAGGGTTTTTATTCCTGATACCAAAAGCATGATCCACAAAAGAAAATTGGTTCAACATGGATCATGAATTGATAACTTGGGCCTCATTAAAAAATCCTATATGAAAAACTTCTGCTCTGCAACAGATCCTGTTAACAGGGTCAAAGACAAATTACACAAAGCTACACATATAATAAAATTGCAAAGAGCAACACACACCCAGACACATACACACATACATGAGTGCACATATATCTGGTGAAATCCGGATACATTCTAAGGACTATACCAAGTTTCCTGGTTTTGATATGGTCCTATGGTAATTTATCAAGACATTGGCAGAGTCTGGGTGAAGGGTGCATGGAACCTTCCTGTACATTTCCTTGCACCTTTCTATGGATCTGTAATTACTACAAAATGAGACCAAAAGAATCCTGGCTGGGCACGGTGGCTCACACCTGTAATCCCAGCACTTTGGGAGGCAGAGGCGGATGGATCACTTGAGCTCAGGAGTTCGAGACCAGCCTGGACAACATAGTGAGTCTTCTTTTCTGCAAAAAATACAAAAATTAGCTGAGCATAGTGGTGTGCGCCTGTCCCAGCTCATCGGGAGGCTGAAGTGGGAGGATTGCTTGAGCCTGGGAACTTGAGGCTACAGTGAGCCATAATTGTGCCACTGCACTCTAACCTAGACAACAGACTGAGACCATGTCTCAAAAAAAAAAAAAAATCCCTTCAGCCACCCATAAAGAAATCTGCTTTGGGGATCATAAGCATTCGTATATTTAAACACCTAAGTCACTCTTAGTCCTGCAACATGTTCCCGATGGGCTGAGGGGCCAGCAGATCCCATCCCCCAGAGTGTCATTGCATGGAATACATGAAGAACCACCTGAATCACTGCCACTGACATTTCTCTGGCTCTGTCACTTTTATCGTTTACACTGGTCCACAGCTTTTTATCAGAAACCCTTGGGGCCAGGAAGTTTCAAAGATGTGTATTTTTTTTTAAAGGGGAGTTAGAAAAGTTGTCTAGGGTTGTGGTGTTTATTAGGTAACTCTCCCTCCCCCAACAGGATGTGGGGCAGACCCTGTCATCAAACACATTTAATGTAATTAATATTCACAAATGTAAGGTATAAATACTCCCAAGGAGTGAGATAAATACAGACTAAAATTATCTTGTGTCACTTCAAGTCACCAAATGAGTTCTGTTCAGGTCAGATTTAGCCCTAGACATTACACACGTGCTCACACGCATGCACGCACGGCTGGTTTTCCGAGCTTTTGGATCTGGGAATTGCAGAGCAGAGGCTGTGCAGCATGGCCGAATGTGCCTACCGTGACTCCTCGGGTGCCAGGCCCAGGCCTTGTCTGACCCATGGGTTGTGTGGACAAGAGGCCACTGCGCCTCAGGGTGCCAGGGATCCCAGGCTCCTGAGAGTGAGGGGCTCAGAGCTTCCCCAGCTGTCACCTTCACACCTGGCCACTTGCCCCTAGATCTGCTGGACCCTGAAACACACTCCTCCCGTTACTGGCTGGTTGTGGGTGTCGTGGTGTCACAGCCCCTGGAGAAAATCCCCCAACCCCCACCAACCTTTGTCCCCTCCAGAGAGCATGGGCACCTTATCTGCAGCCCAGGTGGCTCCTAATCTTCTTAGACTCCAAGGTGCTGGGTCTGGCAGGAGCCAGAGACGGAGCCCAGGCCCGCCCTGGTTTTACAGATGAGGGAACTGAGACCCAGAGAGAGTGAGTGAATTACCTAGACTCACACAGCAGGTCAGTCTGGGCACTGTACTGGATGATTCCTGGCAGGGAGAGGGGTGCTGGAGGCATGTTTAAAAATCAGGGACTGGAAGAGCCTCTCAGCCTCAGAGAAGACATCTGAAGCAGCCTCTGAGCCACACGGAGCACCCCCCGCCCCCACCCCAATGAAGTGGGAGAGGTTCCCAGGCGCAGGGGGAGGAAAGGGGTCATGCAACCACGTCCTTGCCTCCCGCCACGAGTGTACCCCGAGTCACCAGGTTTGCTCAGCCGCAGCAGGGCCAGCCCCGGCGGCTGGAAGGCGGCGGCTGGGCCTGGACGTGGGTGTGGGCGCCCCCGGCCTCCCCCCGCCCCCGCAGGCGCCCCCCACCCCCCTAGCAGGCGCCCCGGTCCCTGTGTGGGCTGCTTTGACTCAGCGCCGGGAGCCGAGCTTAGGCAAACCACGCCGCACTGGACGCCATTCAAGCTTTTACAGGCCCTCAAATTGGGGCTGGAGCCGGAGAGGAAATACTAAAATCCTGTGTACACAACTTCTGTCTGGGCGCGCCGGGGCTCTGGGAAAATCAGGCGCGGCGAGGGACACATTTGGACTGTTTAAGGGCTCCTTTTCCCTGCTCTGCTTTTAGCAGGCATCACGATGTGTCGCCTAAAACCAAGATTCCTGGGTGTGGGCGCAGGAGGGTCTGCGGAGTGTGTGAGCTGAGGCTCGGCGGGAGGAACTAAGCTTTTCTCCTGCCCCCACGTGCCAGGCACACATGCGCCCAAAGTTGGGTTCAGAAATCCCTGTGGTCCATAAACCACACACTCTGCATGGCCCAGGCCCCTTCCCCTGCAGAAAGATGCAGCTGTCGGATGCTGGATCCTCAGAGCCTGGGCTTGGGAGTTAGGCAGGCCTGGGTGGGAACCCGGCTCCCCACTTGGCAGCACTATGACTGTACTGTGGGCAAGGGCCTCTATTTCCTCATCTGTAAAATGGGCGTGATCATGGTAAGTTACCTTGGAGGTTAAAGACATGATGTAGGTGGGGAACTAGCTCAGAGCCTGGCACATAGTAGGTGCTCCCTAAGTGGTAGCTGTTAGTATTTATATGGATTAATAGTGATAGCATCATGTTGAGCCTGGCACATGCTAAGTGCTGCCTACAAATCAATTCATTTAATCCTCACAGCAGCCCCATGGGATAATACTGTAACCCCATTTTAAGGGCAGAAACTAGGTCAATTCATTGACCTACCCAAGGTCACAAAGCTGGTGACTGGCCGGCCAGTCAACTGAACAAATGAACAGTTGAACCCAGGCCATCATTTTCATAGTGCAGATGATTTGCCACACTCTGAACTGTAACAGAGGAGGAGCTGGTGGTGGCCAGAGCTGCTGATGAGCTGTGTGTCCATGGCATCCTCAGCCTGGCACCGAGCCCCCCACACCTGGGCCTCATCCCACTGTCCCAGTTCCAGCTCTGCCAAGTGCCCTCAAGCACTTCCCACCTTGGCCCACCAAGAGCCCGAGCTGCCCCCTCCTACCTCTCGGCCTTGGCTCAGCCTCTCCCCCACCCCCAAGCTCGCTGGCTGCCTGCCTGTGCATCAGGCCACTCACTGGCCACCCCTCCGGTGGGGCTGGCTTCTCCTCTGAGCTGCAACACTTCCACCCCCAACCAGTGCCTTCAGCCTCCCTTCCTTCGACTTGGGCCACGCTGGTCTGTGATATGTTTGTTTCCCTCATTCTGGTCACTCGTCAAAACCCTACAGATCTGAGGCCAGACGTAGTGGCTCATGCCTGTAATCCCAGCACTTTGGGAGGCTGAGGAGGGTGGATCACCTGAGGTCAGGAGTTCGAGACCATCATGGCCAACATGGTGAAACCCCGTCTCTACTAAAAATACAAAAATTAGCCAGGCATGGTGGCATGCGCCGGTAGTCCCAGCTACTCAGGAGGCTGAAGCATGAGAATTGCTTGAACTGGGAGGCGGAGGTTGCAGTGAGCCGAGGTCATGCCATTGCACTCCAGCCTGGGCAACAGAGCAAGCCTCCATCTCAAAAAACAAAAACAAAAAATCCCCCAAACCCTACAGGTCTGGTCTAGTCTCTTGTGCAGAGCAGGGTCTCCCATTTGTGGAAACGAATTTTCATTGGTGGTAAATATTGGGTGATTGGTGACATTGTCCTCACTGGTGACTTGTATGAAGGAAAAAGAGAAGCCCCAGACAGTTTGTATAAGGAGGCAGGAGACAATGTGGGCATCACCCCGTGTTCCTGACGTCTGCTGCCAAGCACGTGGGGGTGTAACTCCTCTGCCCACCCTTCCCCCTACAACCCCCTTAATTGTTCTGTCATCAGGGCCTCCCAGGAGCCCATGCTGTCTCAGGTAATGGCAGAAACCTCAGGTAACGGCAGGTGTGTGAGCTCCTGGCTGGGCTTCCCTATACCAGCAGCCTGCAAAGGGTTTCCATTCTGGGATCAGAGGGGCTCCAGGCCTGCCCATGAGCCACATGATGCCAACCTCAGTGTGGGCCATGCCAGGCCTGAGACCACATAGTGGATCTCCCAGACCTCTGCTGGGCAGCTAGAGCTGCCATCCCACTTCCCCCAAACAGCCCAAACCCCCAGTGCCCACACCCAAGAGGCACGACAGTGTCATGGAAATAACATGGCCCTTGGAATCCAGAGATCTGGGTGTGGGTCCTGATACTGCAGTTCCATGAGGTCTTGGACAAATCACTTAACATTCCTGTGAGCCTCAGTTCCCCCATGGTGGTAATCATGTATATTTTACTTTGGGATTGAGAGACAGGAGAGGTATGAGAGCACCTGGAACACTGTGGGAGCTGAAGTGTTGGTTTAAGTGGGAGTCACAGTTGTGGTGGGGAGCTAGACTTGAGGGGTGACAGGATGACCCAGTGAGCTGGCCCAGCAGTAAGAAGGGAGGAATTGATGATGGAAAGGCTGGCGTCCCCTGGTCTGGCCTCTGCAGGACTCGTAGTTGAGTCTCCCCACCCCTTAGAGTGGGGGTATTCCTGGCCCCAACCACTTCACACCTTTGACGCTTGGGGGAGGGATGCATATACAGGTGGAGGCTGCTGGGAGTCTGGGGTGCCATGTGGGATACCCCAGACATCTGGCAGAGCTGCAGTGGTGCCCTATGGGTGCAGACTGGTTTGGGACCACACGTGAGCCACCCCAGGGGCTTCCAGAAGGGCGCAGTGCCAAGGCAGCTGAGGATCACGAGTAAGGAGCCTAAGGGGGCCAGAGAACTTGGGGGCGTGTTACTTGTGTCTAAAAATTGGCAGATCGAGGGTCAGGGCATCTGGACTGCTCCAGTGAATAAGGGAGAATGCACACTGGCCACCATCAGCTGCTGGGTACAGCCGGGAGAGCTGGTGGACTTGGAACAGGAACAGTCTGCATGGCGTGACAGCGCCCTCTGCTGTCCAGGCTGGGCTGGCATCGATGGTACAGGAGGAGGGTGATCCTCACACCTGGCATGAGCAGAACCTCCACTTCAAGCAGCCAGGGCTCAGGAGCAGGAGGGACCCCGGTAGATGGGAAACTCATTCCCATTTTACAAATGAGAAGACAGGCTAGGAGGAGTGTAGAAAGTTGCTCAGGGTCCCGTAGCTATTAAATGGCAGAGCCAGACTCATCCTGCAATGCCCTTCCTTCTACCCCAGACTGAATCATTTTATGCAAAATATAACAGGACTCAGGGATGCTGGAAACAGTACCCTTCTTTATTCTATTAAAATCAAATTAGATCTGACTCCGCCTCTGGCTGGGCTGCAGAAAACTTCATTCTGACTTGCTTTTGGAGATGGGAGTGGGTGCTGCTCCTCCCTAGGCCTGTGCAAGAGCCAGGGAGTCTAAGGTGATGCCAGAAAATGGGTGTGAGGGAGTAGTGTTTAAATCTTCAGTGCGTCAGCACCACTGTGAGAGCTTCGTGTCCAAGCCTCAGGGGGTCTGTGCTGCCTCCTTGCCCAGTTTGGCAGCCTGGGCCTGAGGCCATGCCACTCGCTCCCCTGAGGCCCCCTACAGCTTGGCTATGCCATCTGAGGTCTTGCTCCCCCGCCCCCACCTCAGCAGGTACTGCTGCTCCCAGCCATGGAGTTCTCTCAAAACCTTTCTCAAACCTTTTCCTCCCCTCCCCAACCCGCAGCCTAATCCCCTTAAATTGCTCCAGATCCTAGAAAATAAAAGCAGGAAAGGAAAGGTTGGCTGAACAGGGAAGGAAAATATGTCAAGAACAAAAGACAAATGATTATCTCAGGAAAAGTTCCTGCCCCTCTAAACTCTGTGCTGGGCAGCCACACGTGCCCGTGGGAAAGTGCTGTGTCCTTGGAGTGCCCTGCACGCTGCAACTGAAGCCAACAAGACACGGCCCAGACAGGGAGCAGGTTGGTTGAATCCATTTGCAGAAACTTGGGGCAAGGAGTTGGTTGTGACGAATGTGGCATGCCACTCCCCATCTAAAGCAGTGAAAGTTAAAAGGAGGTTATGGAAAATTGGGGAAGGGGCTAAATGCCCAGGAGCCTGGGTTGCAAAGCCAATCCTATCTGAGAAGAATGAACTTGGGGACCCCTTATTGTCATCACAACTATAAAAATGGCCTGGCAGGTCCAACTGTGGCCCTCTGGACTCTGCAACAGCCAGATCTGCAGTCCTCAGTTTTAAATCTGTAACCAAGAGATTTGGTTAGAGATCCAAATTAGAGACCTAGTTATCCTTAGCTGTTATGTTCAGTCCACAAATCATGTTATTCTGTTTATAAATAGGGCAAAATAAAAAGTGATCTTTAATTTTCTTTGATTAATGAGCTATTAACTCAACTTGAAGACACTAAGCTCTCTTAAAAAAAAAAAAAAAAAGCACTCGTGGCAATGAAACTGCCAGCCCAGTGTCACCAGTTACCCAAGGGTGACACCCTCGTCCTGCTGGAGATGGTGCATCTGCTGCTTCGAGAGCCCTTTTCTAACCTGGGAAAGCTTGAGTTTAAACATGAAGATAGTGAAATAAGGTAAGCCTTTAGAAGCAAAACTTTCATGCTAAGTTTAGGAGTAATCTTCGTATGTTTGTTTCTTTAAAATACTGTAATAGTCTAAAGAATCTAACATTAAAGACCGACAGATTAGCCTGATGCCTCCAGTTTTAAATATGTACTAGAATTTAGACTTGTCATGGAACCAATCTAAGTGTCCACCAACTGTTGATTGTATAAAGAAAATGTGGTTTGTATACCCCACGAAATACTATGCACCCATAAAAAAGAATGAAATCATGTCCTTTGCAGCAACATGGATGGAGCAGGAGGCCCTTATCCTAAGTGAACTAACTCAGAAGCAGGAAATCAAAAACCTCATGTTCTCACTTATAAGTAGGAGCTAAACGATGCGTACACATGGGCGTAAAGATGGAGATAATAGACACTGGGGACCCCAAAACTGGGGAGGAGGCTGGGAGGGAGGAGGAGAAGGGTTGAAGCAGGGAGAAGGGTTGAAGAATCTCCTATTGCATATAATGTTCAATATTTGGATGATGGGTACACTAGAAACCCAGTCTCCACTATTACACATATAATACCCATGTAACACACGAGTACATGTACTCCCTGAATCTAAAATTTAAAAAAAATTTAAAAGAATTTAGACTTGTGATTTTAAGTTGCAAAGGGAAAAAAATGACCTTATTTTTCTGAATAATTATTGGAATTTCAAGGAAAACTGATGCTTCACTATTTTAATAACATTTTATTTCTTAGATTTATAAGAATTTATTATTTGAAGATATTTTGCTTGTTAAGGCAATACAATTGCTTTGTTAGGCAACTGAAGTGCTTACAAAAGAAATGTAATATATTACATTTATAATGCAGTTCAGAGTTTAAGAGAATTTAATTAATTAAATTTACAAATAATTATTAAGGAAACAGAGTCTTCAAGTTGAGTTAATAGCTCATTAATCAAAGAAAATTGAAGGTCACTGTTTTTATTTTGCCCCATTTATAAACAGAATAACAAGATTTGTAGACTGAACATAACAGCTAAGGATAACTAGTTTATTTCATTTTAATGGAACATTAATTTAAAACCCAAGCAACTGTGAGTAGCCCTTTCTGGACTGCCCTCAGACATTAAAATAAAAAACAAAACAATTCACAATGACAGATATTAATACGAATAGCTAACGTTTGTATGGTGTTTTACACTAATGCTCTCTTCCATTACTAATGAGAAGCACTGGGAGGTTAGTAACTTGCTCGAGGCCCTGCGTCTAGGAAGTTGGACTGGAGCTTGGCTCTTTGACTCCAGAGGCTGCACTCTTTTTTTTTTTTGAGATGGAGTCTCGCTCTGTCCCCCAGGCTGGAGTGCAGTGGCAGGATCTCGGCTCACTGCAAGCTCCGCCTCCCGGGTTCACGCCATTCTCCCACCTCAGCCTCCCGAGTAGCTGGGACTACAGACGTCCGCCACCACTCCCGGCTAATTTTTTGTATTTTTAGTAGAAACTGGGTTTCACCATGTTAGCCAGGATGGTCTCCATCTCCTGACCTCGTGATCCGCCCGCCTCGGCCTCCCAAAGTGCTGGCATTACAGGCGTGAGCCACCGCACCCGGCCCGGAGGCTGCTCTCTTAACCACGGTGTCGGAGGATGTTTGGGTCTTGGTTTCTAGGGTCTGCAACTGAGGTCCCTGGAGAAGGGCTAACACTTCCCTAACATACTCTAGTGAATGCTGTCTAGTCAGCACTCCCACCTGCTCAACCACTTTGGTGCTCAACAGAAGACGTGGGCAGATCCTGGCTGCCTAGATTTGAACCCCAAAGTACGGCCACAGGTGTGTGTCCTTACAAACATGGAAATTCTGATATCCACGTGTGACCGTTTACAGATGTGAACTGTGAGAGCTATGCATTATTTTCTTCCTTGTGAAATACATTCACCATTTTCCCACACTGTCTTTCTCCCAATCGTTTACATTTTAAAAGTTGGTGGCATTTAGCATTACAATATAGTTTTTAGGTAACAGAAAGTTCCGGTGGGACTGGTGACTGAACTAGATGAGGAATTAACGTAGCCCAGAGATGGAAGCAGTGGACTTCGTGTCGAATTTTTCGTGGAGAGGATGAGTGTGTCTTCATCTAGGCGAGTAGCGGCTGTGTCCTGCTAGGCAGAAGCGTGGGTTGTAGTCAGTGTTGTCATATGGAGGTTTAAACATGGGTGACATGGGAACTGTTTGGCGGAGTGCGCTGGGTCGTGTCTATTGTCTCTCACTCACCGTCTCTGCCATCCTCTCTACTGCTGGGATTGGGAATCTGAAAATTATATTCCAACTCCGTTGTCTTTCTACCTGTTAGGTTCTGCTAACAGTGGGGAGGGGACATCTGGCAGCATCTCTCCCAAGCAGCAACGGTAGCAGTGGTGGCAGCAACAGCAGCAGCAGCTGGTGAGTATGGGCCCCTGGGTAACACCATTTTCCCTTTTGCTTCCTGTAGGTAGAAATCTGTAGGTAGTCTTCTTACAGCAATTCTGACACCTCTGTCACTCACTAATGCTTTGTGTTGAATCCTTCTGTTTAAAATGTTTGCCGTCGTTTCCACTCTGCTGATTGGACGCTGACTGATACAGATCTCATTCTCTGTTTGCTTGTTGCGCTCAGCTCTTTGATTTTAAGATAGGTCCATCTTGCACTGTAGACACCAGGTTGGTTGCTTCTGACTGCCACATAGTACCATGGAGCATGCGTCGGCCACATTGTACCTCCCCCTCCCTGGGGGATTGCTCATTCAGATTGCCGCCCAACATGCTGTGATAATTTTTTTTTTTTTTTTTTTTTTGAGACAGAGTCTCACTCTGACGCCCAGGCTGGAGTGCAATGGCACAATCTCAGCTCACCGCAACCTCTGCCTCCTGGGTTCAAGCAGTTCTCCTGCTTCACCCTCGCAAGTAGCTGGGATTACAGGTGCACGCCACCACACCTGGCTAATTTTTGTATTTTTAGTAGAGACGGGGTTTCACCATGTTGGTCTGGCTGGTCTCAAATTCCTGATCTCGTGATCTGCCCACCTTGGCCTCCTAAAGTGCTGGGATTACAGGTGTGAGCCACTGCGCCCGGCTGATAAATATTCTTAAACGTGTTGTCTTTTTAGACCTGTGTGAGAATTCCCCAGGATAAAAGTATATACCCAGGAGTGAAATTGCTTGGTCATAGATCATAGCTATGTCATATGCTACGTACTATAAGATTACACTCCAAACTAGCCATGCTCCCCACCCAGATAATACTACATATATTATTCTATAACTGGATTTCTTTCACTTCATATATGACAAAATTTTAAACGGTTCCAACTGGGGAAATTTAAGAAAAAAATTAAGGTGCAAACTCTAATCAACTGTGGAAACAACTGAAACTGTGTATAGGATAACAGCTTCTACAGTCAGCCTGCAAAGCCTGTCTACCACTCATTAACTGTGTGACCCTGGGGTAATAGCCTAACCTCCCTGTGCCTGCCTCAGTTTTCTCATTGGTAAAATGGATATAATAATAGTACCTACCTTATTTTAGGATGTTATTAAATAATGTACATAAAGTATTTAGACTATTCCCTGGCACATAGCAAGAACCCAATGACTGTTGGCTATTATTGTTGAACATTTAGGTAATTTCCAGTTTTTTTGCTATTTCTCAACAATGCTCCAATGACATTCAGGATTTTTTTTTTTATGGTGGTAAAAAACATATAACATCACATTTACCATGCAAGGTCAGATTCTAGAGTGACCACCTGAGTACTCACACTAGAGCTCTGGCAGCAAACACGAGCCTGGGTCTAACAACCTTTTGGCTTGGGACTCTTGGATCTCTTTAGAGTAACAGGGTCTCTTCAGACTGCCTGTTCCAGTTGCTGCATGGTCAAGACCTGTGGCTGGAAGTCCCCTTCCGATGGTTTCCTGATTTCTGCATTGCCAATCCCCTGGCCAGGGCCAGCTTGAGCTTCTGGTGTGGGTGAGACTCCACAGTCCTAATCTCAGGTCAGGTAGGAGAATGTCTGTGCACAGTTGCATGACATGAAGGGACAGCATTGATTCAAATCCCTGCTCCGTGGCTTAGCATCTGTGTGATCTTAGGCAAGTGATGCCACCTGTCTGAGCCTCTGTTGCCTCATCTGTAAGATGGGAATGATACCTATTTCACTGTGTTGCTGGGAGGATTTGAGAATTGCAATGTGTCTTAGTCTGTTCAGATTGCTATAACAAAATACCATAGACTAGGTGGCTTATAAACAGCAGATATTTATTTCTTACAGTTTTGGAGGCTGTGAAGTCCGAGATCAAGGCACTGCAGATTCAGTGTCTGGCGAGGGCCTTCTTGGCTGGTTCAGAGACAATGCCTTCTTGCTATGTTCTCATCTGGTAGAAGGAATAAGTCAGCTCTCTGGGGCATCTTTTAAAAGGGCATGAACCCCAATCAGCAGAGCTCCACCGTTAGGACCTAATCACCTCCCAAAGGGAGTGCAGTTATTTGCATGCCTGTAACTGAAGAACGGTCCTCCTCTATCAGGGAAAGTTGTCCTCTTCGACTGAGCACACAGCTTCAAGAGGGACGCATGTGAAGTGGTGAGGGAGGAAGGGGATACCCACCTAGCCAGCCTCACATCCTACCAGACTTTTGATTTCTATCATTTCCTTCTGATTCTTTCCTAGATTTCTCATCTCTCTGCTTATATTATCCATCTGTTCTTGTATGTTGTTTACTTTTTCCATTAGAGCCTGTAATGATTAATTTTATGTGTCAGTTTTGAGGTTCCAAGATGCTTGTTGAAAGTGAAGATATTTAAAGTGTTGAAAGAAACAAACAACCATTAAATTCTGTAGCTAATGAAATTATTCTTCAAAAGTGAAGGAGAAATAAGATTTGCTCTCAGTCAAAGGGTATTTGTAGCCGTTAGACCTACCTTCCAAGAAATGTTAAAATAAAATTTTCAGAGAAAAGGAAAATGATATAGGGCCAGGAATTTGGAACTAAAGAAATAAAGAATGCCAGAAAAGGAATAAGTTTAGATTGGCTGACTGTAGACCAAAAAAAAAAAAAAAAAAAGGAATAAATGAGGTAAAATAAAATATTTTAATTTTCCTATTTTTAATTACTTTGATAGATTATTACTTTGTTCAAAGTAATAATAGCAACAATGTGTTGGGTGATTATAGAATACGGATAAGTGAAATGAAAGCTAGTTGTCTTATAAGTATAGTAGGGAGGAATTGGGAACAGTCTTGTTATAAATGGACTTCTATTAGTTGTAAATGTATATGGAAAACTCTAGGGCAACTTTTAAAAAATGTAAAGACATATAATTGATATGCTAGGAGAAGAAAGAAAACAGAGTCATATAAAATGCTTAATTAAAACCAGACAAGGCAGAAAAAGAGAGAAAATTTTTTAAAGGAAATAAGAACAAGTGCAACAAATAAAAAACAGCTATCAACCTGTTAGAATATCAATCTAACTATATCAACAATCACTAAATGTGAATGGTCTACATATACCAATTAAAAGAGACTGTCAGAGTGGATAAAACAAAGCAAGACCCCAACTATATGTTAAGAGCAACCTTCTTTAAATATAAAGACCCAGATAAATTCAAAGTAAAGGAATGGAGAAAGATAAACTATGCTGTCACTAATCAAAAGAGACCTAGGACCGCTATGTTAATTTCAGGCAAAGCAGATTCAGAACAAGGAAAGCTGTCAGGGATAAAGAATACATAACGATGAAGGCATCAATTCTCTAAGAAAACATAGCAATCTTTAACATGCAGGCACCTCACAACACTGTCAAACTATCTGAGGCAAAAATTGATAGAACTGCAAGGAGAAATAGACAAATCCACTATTATATTTGGAGAGGCCAATACCCCTCTATCAGTAATTGACAGCCCCAGAAGGTGGAAAATCAGTAATTACATAGTTTACCTGAATAGCCCCATCAATTGTCTGGATTAAATTGACATTTATGGAATACTTCATTTAACAACAGCAAGAATACACAGTCTACACAAGCTCACATGAAACATTCAGCAAGTGTTTGATATTTAATGTTTGTGTCCCTCCAAAATTCATAGGTTGAAGCCCTAACCCCCACGTGACTGTATTTGGAGATGGGGTCTTGAAGGATGTAATTAAAGTTAAATGAGGTCCTATGGGGGGTGACCCCATCCAATATGATTGATGTCTTTTATGTCTTTTTTTTTTTTTTTTTCTTTTGAGACAGGATCTCACTCAGGCGACCAGGCTGGAGTGCAGTGGTGAGATCTCAGCTCACTGCAACCTCAGCCTCCAGAGCTCAAGAGATTCTCCTACCTCAGCCTCCCAGGAAGCTGGGACTATAGGCGGGCACCACTGCACCCAGCTAATTTTTGTGTTTTTTGTAGAGACAGGGTTTTGCCATGTTATCCAGGCTGATCTTGAATGCCTGGGATCAGATGATCCACCTGTCTAGGCTTCCCAAAGTGCTGGGATTATAGGTGTGAGCCACGGCTCTCGGTTGGATTAATGTCCTTATAAGAGGAGACACTGGAGCGCTTGCATTCTCCCGTGCTTCTCTCTGTCCCTTCCTCCCTCTCTCTCCACATTGGTCGTGTGACCACAAAGCCAGAAAGTGGCTGTCTGCAACCCAAGGGAAGAGCCCTCACCAGACGCCAACCTGGCTGGCACCTTGATCTTGGACTTCCAATCTCCAGAACTGTGAGAAAATACATTTTTGTTATTTAAGCCACCTGGTGTATGGTATTTTGTTTTAGCAGCCTGAGCAGACGAAGACATCAAGAAAGAACACTTCTGGGCAATAAAACACACTTTAACAAATGTAGAAGAATAGAAATCATACAAAGTATGGTGTCAAATCACAATAGAATTGAAAAGGGCACGTACACGTGAGTGCCCTGGAGTTTAAGCTCCATTGGCTTCAGGCAAATCTGCTTCTGCTGGTGATCCCCTTCCAGGCAGGGCGGGTCAGCCTCTCTGTGCACAGCTGTCCACTGCAAACTTGTCTCCCTCTCTCTGTGGCTGGGCACCAGGACATGTGAAGAAGGAAGTTCTCAGGTTATAGGGACTCAGCCTCCAGGGCACAGCCAGCTAGCCTCGGTGACCATTTGGAGGCCTGGTGTGTTAGTCAGGGTTGTCTTAGAGGGACAGAACTAATTATATATATAATTTATTATTATTATATATAAAATATATTATAATTATTATTATAAAAATATATAATATATATAATTATATATACTTAATATACTTTATATAATAAACTCATAATAAATAATAATTATATATAATTAATATATATAATAAACTCATAATAAATAATAATTATATATAATTAATATATATAATAAACTCATAATAAATATATATAATATATAATAAATTCATATATGTTTATATATGAGTTTATTAAGTATTTATATATATATGAGTTTATTAAATATTAACTCACAGGATTACAACATCCCACAATAGCCTGTCTGCAAGCTGAGGAGCAAGGAGAGCCAGTCCAAGTCCCAAAACTGAAGAACTTGGAGTCTGATGTTTGAGGGCAGGAAGCATCCAGCATGGGAGAAAGATGTGGGCTGGGAGGCTAGGCCCGTCTCACCTTTCCACATTTTTCTGCCTGCTTTATATTCGCTGGCAGCTGATTAGATTGCGGCCACCAGATTAAGGGTGGGTCTGCCTTTCCCAGCCCACTGACTCAAATGTTAATCTCCTTTGGCAACACCCTCACAGACACACCCAGGATCAATACTTTATATCCCTCAATCCAATCAAGTTGACACTCAGTATTAACCCTCACACTTGATAACAGGAGATTTCTGTAGACAGGAAAGTGAGGAAGTGGAAGGTATCTCACAAGATGGTCCTGAAGAGACATCAGAGTCTTCCCTCTGGCCTTGCAGGGGCCTATGCAGGTAGCTGCATGGAGCCCTTCTTCGGGTCAAGGAGATGATGTCCCCTTCACTGACTTTTGCACTTCCTTGAATCTGCAGGGGAGTGTCCCTCCAACTTCAGAGTGAGCAGCAGCAGCTGACCAGATTGGAGGACATTTCCACTGTCTTCCCTGGCAGCTGTGATGTGTTGTGCGGTGGCAGCTGAGGATTGCCTGCGTGTAATCTTTGAGGTTCCAAGATGCTTGTTGGAAGTGGAGCCTGGTCAAGCAGCAGAAAGGACAGCTGGATCCATGCTGGGTGGGGTGAGGTGGGGTGCTTGTCAGGGAAGTTGGCTTCAGCTGGAACTGGAGGTTGGCTCCAGCAAAGGAGGTTGAACATCACTGATTCCTGACCTGCAGCACCCAAATGGCCACAAAGAGATGTCATGGGTTTTGAGGAGGCCACAGAGCCAACAGCTTTAGTGTCTTCAGAAGGATGAAGAAAACTTGAACAACATTTTAAAATAGCTTGAGATATAATTCACATCCCAGAGAGTGCATCCATCTAAAGGGTACAATTCAATGGATTTTAGTATATTTACGGAGCTGTGCATTCATCACTACAATTAATTATAGAACTTCTTCATTTACTCAAAATACCCCAGCACCCCTTAGCTATCACCCTGATTCCTCTATCTCCCCCAGCCCTAGGCAACCATTAATCTTTTTTGTATCCATAGATTTGTCTATCCTAGACATTTCATATAAATGGAATCATGCAATATACGACCCTTCTTTCACTTTGTGTAATGCTGTCAAGGTACATCCACGTGATATCAGTTCCTCATTCTTTTTATGGCCAAATCACATTCCATTGTATGGATATATTACATTTTATTTATCTGTTCATCAGTTGGTGGACATTTGGGTTGGTTTCCATGTTTTTGGCTGTTAGGAATGATGTCCCCATGAACATTCATGTACAAGTTTTTGTGTGGACATGTGTTTTCATTTCTCTTGGACATATGCCTAGGAGTGGAATTGAGTCACATGGTAACTTTATAACCATTTGAGGAACTTCCAGACTGTTTTTCAAAGTGGCTACACCATTGTACATCCCCACCAGCAATGTACAAGGGTTCCAGTTTCTCCACATTTTTTTCAACTTTTTTTTTAATCATTTGACTTTTTTTTGAGACAGAGTCTCACTCTGTCGCCAGGCTGGAGTGCAGTGGCGTGATCTCAGCTCACTGCAACCTCCGCCTCCTGGGTTCAAGCGATTCTCCTGCCTCAGCCTCCCAAGTAGCTGAGACTCCAGGTATATGCCACCATGACCAGCTAATGTTTGTATTTTTAGTAGAGACGGGGTTTCACCATGTTGGTCAGGATGGTCTTGATCTCTTGACCTCATGATCCACCTGCCTCAGCCTCCCAAAGTGCTGGGATTACAGGCATGAGCCACCGTGCCCGGCCTCATCTGACTTTTTAATTAAAGCTACCCTAGCAGACATGAAGTGATATCTCATTATGGTTTTGATTTGTATTTCTCCCATGGCTAATAATATTCAGGACCTCTTTATGTGCTTATTGGCCATTTGTATATCTTTTTTAAAGAAATATCTATTCAGATCCTTTGCTTATTTTTGAATTGGGCTATTTGTCTTTTTATTCTTGAGTTGTAATTGTTCTTTATATATTCTAGATACAAGCAACTTATTATGTTTATAGTTTGCAAACAATTTTTTCCCATTCTTTGGGTTGTCTTTTCACTGTTTTGATAGTGTCTTTTGAAGCCCCAAAGTTTTTTATTCTGATGGCTGGTTTATCTGTTTTTTTCTTTAGTTGCTCATGCTTTTGGTGTCAATCTAAGAATGCAGTGCCAAATCCAGGGTCATAAGGATTTATCACTATGTTTTCTTCTGTGACTTTTATGATTTTAGTTCTTCTTTATAGGTCATTGATCCATTTTGAGTTAGTTTTTTTATACAGTGTGAAATATGGATCCAACTTCATTCTTTTGCATGTGGAAATTCAGGTGTCCCCACATCATTTGCTGAGGGGACTATTCTTTTTCCATTGAAAGAAGTTGGCACTCTTGCTCAAAATCAACTGGCCATAGATATGTGGGTTAATTTCTGGGCTCTCAGTTCCATTCTGTTGATGTATAGATCTGTCCTTATGCCCATACCACACTGTTTTGATTACTGTCATTTTATAGCAGGTTTTAAAATTGGGTAGCATAAATTATCCAACTTTTTCAAGATTTCTTTAGCTATTTGTGTTTTCTTGCATTTTCATATGCATTTTAAAAGCAACTTGTCCATTGCTGAAGTCGAAATTTTGATAGGGATTGCATTGAATTTGGAATCTGGGAGTATTGCTATCTTAATAATGTTAAGTTTTTCAATCTATAAACATGGGATGTCTTTCCACTCATTTAGATCTTCTTTAGTTTTCAACAATATTTTGTAGTTTTCAGAGCATAAGTTTTGTACTTCTTTTGTTAAATATGTTCATAAGTATCTTTCTGATGCTAATATAAATGAGTTTTTTTTTAAGACAAAGTTTTGCTCTGTCACCAAGGCTGGAGTGCAGCGGTGTGATCTCAGCTCATTGCAACCTCTGCCTAACGGGTTCAAGTGATTCCCCTGCCTCAGTCTACTGCGTAGCTGGGATTACAGGTGCCCACGACCACACCCAGCTAATTTTTTGTATTTTTAGTAGAGACAAGGTTTCACCATATCGGCCAGGCTGGTCTTGAACTCCTGACCTCAAGTGGTCCACCTGCCTCGGCCTCCCAAAGTGCTGAGATTACAGGCTTGAACCACTGTACCCAGACTGGAATTGTTTTCTTAACTTCATTTTTTATTTGCTCATAACTACTGTATAGAAATAAACTGATTTTTGTACACTGATCACATATCCTTGTAAACTTGCTAAACTCATTTATTAGTTTAATCATTTTCAGTGAATTCCTTAGGATTTTCAACGTACAAGATCATGTTATCTGCAAATGAAGACAATTGTACTTCTTCCTTTCCAATATGGATGGCTTTTACTTTATTTCCTTGCCTCATTGCCCTGGCTGGCCTCTTTAGTACAATGTTGAACAGAAGCTGTGTGAACAGACATCCTTGTCTTGTTCCTGATCTTCTGGGGAAAGCATTTTGTGTTTCAGCATTGAGTGAAAGCCCTTTAGCTGTGGCCTTTTCTAGATGTCCTTTAACAGGTTGAGGAGACCGAGTTCTTCAGAGGAGGAGCTGTGTCAGCTCTGAGGTGACGCACAGCATTGTCAGCTTTCTGAGTCTGAGGTCCCGGCTGGCTGGGAGGAGATGATGTCCTGAAGGATGTGGACATGATGGGCTGGGGCTCTGGGGACTTGAGGGGAGTCCCCGCTGCAGACCTGGGTATGGGAATAAAAAGGCAATATCAAAGGCAGTAATTGGACCCGTGGGAGTGGACCATCTCGGGAAGAGAAAAGAGCATCGGGGCAGAGATGTGGGAGAGGGGAGGGGAGCCCGAGAAATGGTCAGAGAAGGAGGAGAAAATCCAGACTGTGCAGGGAGGAGAGAAGTGCCCCAGCAGCTGAAGACGGTGCCAGAGCCTACTGGCTGGGGGGACCTTGCAGAAGAATGGGCCAGACCCACTGGGGGCCACCTGGTAGCCCGGCGCTGAGAGCTGTGCACGCGGCCTCACAACACCAGGTGGCGCGGTGGACCATTGTAACAGCCACTCCTCTTAGCCCTGGTGGTTTCTTTTCATTAACGACAAATGAAAGAGCTGGGGCCTCGCCAAGCCCCTGTTCAACCGATGGAACCTCTGAGAGGGGCTGTGACCTTCCTGAAAGCATTACAGGGGCATTGTGGCAAAGGTGGGGCTGCCTCCTGGCCTCCTGGCTCCTGTCCCAGGATCTCTCTCCAGTCACCCCTTACCTACCCCAAAGGGATCTAGAAAAGTGGCTGGCGGAATACCCGGTCAGAAGGCAGCCTGGAAGGACTTGAGGTCCACCAAACCCGTCTAGGTCCCCAGCACCACCTGCTTTTCAGTGTTGCCTGCGGTGAGATCACCTTCCTCAGCTTTCCCATCGATTCTCTGCTCCCAGTTCCCCACTCCCCATTCTCTTTCCACTCAGAGCCACATGATTTTCAGTTTAAGCTGAATTGAGTCACTCTCCGCGCCCCCCCCGCCCCTGTAACATCCCTCAGGGGCTCCAAATTGCTCCTTACCCCTACATTCATCTCCCTCATCGCAGCCACACCCTGAGCCTATGCTCACTTTGTGATTTGGTTGTTAAAGCATGTCCTGCTTTAACAACCCTTCTCGAAAGCTGCTAGTTTTGCCTGGAACGCTCCTCCTGCCCTCCTGCCGGCCCCCTAATTAGCATTTTGGTCTCAGTTTAGACTCACCTGGTTTTCCTGGTGCGCTCCCGTGGTGCGCCTCCCCTTTGCTTTGACACCGCCTTTGTCATGTTGACTTGTTTAGCATCTTTTCCCTCTAGACTGAGGATCCAGAACAGTAGGCAGGGTCCATGTTAGGTGCAGCCTGTCATCAGCGCCCAGCCATGGCTCTCTGCAGGCCATGGGAACTAAAGGTGGCGGTGCTGGCAGGGCAGGATAGGAGGTGGCGCCAGGAGCCACAGGGCAGTATTTCGAGGACAGCCCTGCTGGGTACTAAGATACAGCCAAGAGTGTCTGGAATGATGGGCAGAGCATCAACTGGTTTCAGAGTTTGAACAAATGGTGTTCAGAACAGCATGTTCTGCCAGAATGGTCAGCCAGACTGCCAGGACTGAGGGTCCTACAGAAGGACCCCCTTTGTCATTCTCACTTCCGTATTCCAGAACCGGGGGTATTTTAGTGTGTGGGAAAATAAAGCAATCGTTGAGTTCGATTTCAGTCCCAAGTTTTGGAAAACGTGTGGGTGCATCTGCAGTAGATAGGTCTCAGCACGGCCTTTGTTCCAACCCAGTCAGAACTCAACCAGAATTGGGGCCAGTAGATCCTTGAGCCAGACAATGACAACATGGAGGTACCCATAAAGCCTAGGGGTGACAAGCACCCAGCCATGCCATTCCTGTGGATACGAGGGTTGTTGGCCCATAGGACAAACTCTTCACAACATTTCCCTCTCCCTTCCCTCTTGCAGCTAGTTGCATCAGTGGGTGGTAATAGAGGTTCTGAATTTTCCCAGTGCATGGGCGGGACGGCTGAGGGGCTCCATGAATGCAAGTTTATTACACAAAGGAAGTCACCTATCTCTTTATGTACATAGAGACTTCCAGAAGGCTAAAGAAATAAAAAATGATCTAAATGAGCTTTTCTCCTTTGTATTTCATATTTCAGTGTTACAAATATATAAAATCTTTTTTTGGGGGAGTATTCAAACTTGGACAATACAAATTAGGCAGTCCAGGGGCTGGGCATGGTGGCTCACACCTGTAATCCCAGCATTTTGGGAGGCCAAGGTGGGTGGATCACTTGAGGTCAGGAGTTCAAGACCAGCCTGGCCAACATGGTGAAACCCTATCTCTACTAAAAAAATACAAAAATTAGCTGGGCGTGGTGGTGGGCACCTGTAATCTCAGATACTCAGAAGGCTGAGGCAGGAGAATCACTTGAACCTGGGAGGTGGAGCTTGCAGTGAGCCGAGATGGTGCCATTGCACTCCAGCCTGGGCAACAGAGCGAGACTCCATCTCAAAATAAATAAATAAATAAATAAATAAATAAATAAATAAAAATTAGGCAGTTCTTTGTTTCTGCAGGAAGCTTTGACTCTGACAAACAGGAACAAGACTGTGGTCTTTGAATCTGGCTCTTTACCTCCAGCCAGAATCTCCTCAAAATCGTTATCCCAAACTTGCCCACTTCCTGAAGACAGATGATTCTTTCTTGTGGGGAAGTACAATGCAGGAAGTGGGCAAGTTTGGGATAACGATTCTCTGCTAAATGGATTGAAATTTAACATTGGAAATTAGTCCAATGTAGTCATCCAGATAATGAAAATTAAACTATATACATCTCTATTTGTAGTAGAGATGGGGTTTCACCATGTTGGTCAGGCTGGTCTTGAACTCCTGGCAGGAAGTGAGCGAGGGAGAGGGGTGGGCAGAGAGATGGGAGAGGGAAAGAAAATCAGGACTGCCTCTGTATGGAGGGGGACTGAGGAAAATTCTGGAGACACTTTGAAGTAGCTTCAGGCTGAGACAGATGTCATCAGGAGAGCCCCTTCTGAAAGTGACTCCAAACATCTTGGGATAAAGGTGTTAAAAACATAAACTAGGTCACTAGGAATAAGTATATAAAGCAGTGAGTGTGCTGGTCATATTGTCCAAAGACAACCTCAGGATATTTGACTTGCTGACTGGGCAGTGTAGGAAGTGAGGTTGCACACCCCAGTGTGCATGAACCTGAAAGGAGCTGCTCCTCTGTGAAGCAGGAGGTTGAATGAGGTGGTTTTTCTATGCCTTGTCAGTCTTCTGTGGGACTAATAGTGGTCATGTTGGGAGAGCTGGAGAGTTTAGCAAGAAGACAGGAGGCCTGTCCCTCTGACCTCTCCTTAGCTGCCCCCCTGGCATCACAGTGCACACCATGTTCTTAAATTTAGGCCAAGTTTGCCGACAAAAGTGATATAGGTGAGCCATCGGCAAAAGATGGAGAAGGGAAGGCCATTGACATGCTATTCCACTCAACCTTTTGTTCGAGGACAAGATGCTTGGTTTAGGCTGGAATCTATAGTTTCATTTGTTTGGAATCAATGTGTGCTATGGTCTGAATGTTTGTGACCCCCAAATTCATATATTGAAATCAAACACCCAATATGACGGTGTTTTGAGGTGGTACATTTGGGAGATGATTAGGTCATGATGGTAGAGCCTCATGAGTGAGATTAACACCCTCACAAAAGAGGCCCAGAGAGCTCCTACACCCCTTCCACCATGAGAGGACACAGCAGAAAGATAGCCATCTATGAACCAGCAGGTGGCACCTCACCAGACACTGCACCTTGATCTTGAACTTCCCAGCCACCAGAACAGGGAGAAATACATTTCTGTTGTTTATACACCACCCACTGTATGTTATTTTGTTGTAGCAGCCTGAACACATGAAGACTGTGTGTGTGTGTGTGTGTGTGTGTGTGTGTGAAGGTTTTGAAAGTGACCCCCTTTTCAGCTTATCACAATGGAAGCTCACGCAGCTCTAGAACAAAACCCCATAATCAAAAGGTCTTTTGTCCACCATTATTTTAAATACAAGGTTGTATTTAAATGATCAGATCTGTAGTAATTACCATCTTTTAAAAATAATCTTTGAGTATATAATGATGGCCAAAAATTTTTAAAAAGCAAATATGCAATACAATAGAGTTATATTATATTGGTTTCCAAATTCCATGTAATAAACTCATGACAACTGCCTTGAACGCAAATCACAGAGCCTCTGACTCAGGAATTTCCCTATTAGAGTCTGAAGCTCCAGCCCACACTTTGATATACCTTGGCAGGTCTCTGAAAAGGTAGGGTACACATGTATTTTGTAAACTTCAGCAGTAAGCTGGTTTTCTAAAATGTATGGATATGTACACAGACATTAAATGGGCCTATCTGGCTTTTGACACTTTTTAAAATACGATTTAAATCACTAGGACAATTACATATAAAAAAAAGCAACTGTTCATTTATTGCTTCAGTTACCTATATTCCATTCCTCTTAGCATAAGACTCCCTTATCCCAGATTCTAGACTCAAGAGCTCTTCATTGTATTCAATCTTAGACCATCAACTGCCCATCTTCATGTTCCACCAAAGATATGAAATCAAATAAAATCAAAACATATTTATTTAATGCCTACGACAGGCGAGGCCTTGTTATAGGTTCTTGAGATGGAATAATAAAATTCTTTCACTGCAGAGTTTATAACTTAGTTACAGATGTACACTTGAATTACTCATTGCTTTAGGGCTGATGGTCAATTTCTTCCCACTTCAAATGAGCCAGTCTGATGGGACATCTTGATATATTATGAGTAACAGTCAATGCGAAACTACTTTTTCATTTGACTACTGTTCTTGTTTTTTTTTGAGACAGAGTCTCACTGTGTCACCCAGGCTAGAGTGCAGTGGAGGGATCTCCCCTCACTGCAACCTCTGCCTCCCAGGTCCCAAAGTGATAGGGTTAGAATGTAGCCAAAACGAAGTGATCCATGGTTTTAGAAATCTTTAACAGGCTGGGCATGGTGGCTGACACCTGTAACCCCAACACTTTGGGAGGCTGAAGCAGGAGGATTGCTTGAGTCCAGGAGTTCAAGACCTGCCTGAGCAACATAGTGATACCCCCATTTCTACAAAAAACTAAAAATTAGCTGGGTGTGGTGGTGCACACCTGTAGTCCTAGCTACACAGGAGGCTGTGGTGGGAGGATTGCTTGAGCCCAGGAGTTTGAGGCCAGCCTGCACAGCATGGTGAGACTCTGTCTCTACACAAAATAATTTGCTGGGCACAGCAGTGCCTGTAGTCCCAGCTACTTGGGAGGCTGAGGGAGGAGGATTGCTTGAGCCCAAGCATTCGAGCCTGCAGTGAGCTATGATAGTTTTCAAGATACTAGAAAAGTAAAAGAAAAGAAACTAAAAAAAGGAAAAGAAGAAAAAACTCACTAATGTGCAAAAAGAAAATATTTGAAGGTTTAAAACCCACTGGTAAAATTAAATACATGGATAAACCCAGTATTACTTTAATACTGTAATTGTGGTATATAATCCACATCATAACTATGGTATACAAATCTATCTATCTAGTATAAAGCCCCAAATACAAATCTATCAAAAACAATAATAGTTATAGCAACCTATTAAGAGATAGGGAATATCGGCCAGGTGTGGTGGCTCACGCCTGTAATCGCAGCACTTTGGGAGGCCGAGGTGGGCAGATTACGAGATCAGGAGATCGAGACCATCCTGGCTAACATGGTGAAACCCCATCTCTACTAAAAATCCCAAAAATTAGCTGGGCGTGGTGGCAGGCACCTGTAGTCCCAGCTACTTAGGAGGCTGAGCCAGAAGAATGGTGAGAACCCAGGAGTTGGAGCTTGCAGTGAGCCAAGATTGCACCACTGCACTCTGGCCTGGGTGACAGAGCAAGACTCTGTCTCAAAAAAAAAAATTAAAAAAAAAAAGGGAGATAGGGAATATAAAGATATATAAATTGAGATAATATAAAGCCAAAATGTGGGGAGGATGAAGTTAAAGTGTAGAGGTTTTTTCAGTTTTTTGTTTTTACATTTTTCTTTGTTTCTATTTTCTGTGTGATCTATGCTGCCATCTCTTTAAAATAACTTGTTGTATCTGTAAGATTTTTTTGGTAAGCCTGATGGTAACCACAATGCAAAAATCTATAATAGATTCACTAAAAATAAAAAGCAATGCGTTAAAACATACTATCAGAGAAAATCACTTACCACAAAGGAAGACAGTAAGAAAGGAAGAGAGGAGTTACAAAACAACCAGAAAACAAGCAACAAAATGGCAGTAGTAAGTCCTTACCTATCAACAAAAACACTGAATGTAAATGGACTCAGTTCTCCAATTAAAAGACATAGAATGGCTAAATGGATAAAGAAATAAGACCTGACTATATGCTGCCTACAAGAAGATCATTTCACTTCTAACGTGAAGGGATGGAAAAAGATATTCTATGTAATTGGAAACCAAAAAAGAGCAGGAGTAAGTAGCTGATATAAGTAAGTACTTACATCAGATAAAACAGACTACAGATCAAAGACTGTAAAAAGAGACAAAGAAGATCACTAATGATAAAGGGAATAATTCAGCAGGAGGAAATATGTATCAATATCTATGTACTGAACAACAGAGCTCTCAAGTATATAATGCGAACATTAACAAATCTAAAGGGAGAGATAGACTGCAATACAATAATAGTAGGGGACTTCAACATGCTACTATATGTGATGGACAGGTCATCCAGACAGAAAATCAAGAAACACTGGAGTTAAACTACACACCAGATCAAATTAGGCCTGACACTTACAGAACATTTTACCCAACTGCTGCAGAATACACATTTTCTTCATCAGCACATGGAACATTCTCCAAAACAGACTGTATATTAGGCCACAAAACAAGTCTCAACAAATGCAAAAAAGTAGAAATCATATCAAGTATATTTTCTGATCACAATGGAATAAAACTAGAAATAACAAGGGGGGCCTTGGGAAATACACAAACACATGGAAATTAACACACTCCTGAATGACCTAGGGCCAATAAGGAAATTAAGAAAATTTTAAAAATTTCTGGAAACAAATGAAAATGGAAAATGACATATCAAAATGTGTAGAATACAACAAAAATAGTACTAAGAGGGAATTTTATAGCAATAAATGCCTGTAACAAAAAAGTAGAAAGACTTCAAATAAACAACCTAATGATGTACCTCAAAAAACTAGAAAAGAACAAACTAAACTCAAAATTAGAAGAAAAGATATAAAATTCAGAGCAGCAATAAATGGAGACTAAAAAATAAAGAAAATCAATGAAATGAAAAGGTTTTTTTTTTTTGGCAAAAACTAAATTGACAAACCTTTAGCTAGATTAACTAAGAGAGAAGACTCAAATAAATAAAATTGTAAATGAAACAGGAGACATAACAACTGATGCCACAGACATACAAAAAATCATTAGAAGCTGTTATGAACAACTACATGCCAACAAGTTGGAAAACCTAGAACAAATGGGCAAATTCCTGGACACATACAACCTACCAAGATTGAAACCATGAAGAAATAGAAAATTTCAACAAACCACTAATGAGTCATGAGATTGAAGCCATAATAAAATGTCTCCCATCAAAGAAAAGTCTAGGACCTGATTGCATTATTGCTGAATTCTACCAAACATTTAAAGAAGAATGATGACCAATTCCATTCAAATGCTTCATAAAAATTGAAGAGAAGGGAATATTTCCAAACTCATTCTATAAGGCTTGCATTACCCTGATACCAAACCAGACAAAGACACAACCAAAAAAGAGAACTATAGGCCAATATCACTGATGAACATAGATGCAAAAATCCTCAAAAAAATACTAGCAAATGGAATTCAACAACACATTAAAAAGATAATTCATCATGATCAAATAGGATTCATCCTAGGGATGCAAGGATGGTTCAACATACAAATCAATAAACACAATATATCGCATTAAGAGAACCAAGAACAAGAACGATATGATTATTTCAATAGATGCTGAAAAAGCATTCAATAAATTAAACATGCCTTTATAAGAAAAAAACCTTCAACAAACTAGGTATAGAAGAAACATACTTCAAAATAATAAAGGTCATTAGCTATGAAAAACTCCTAGCTAATATAATACTGATAGGGAAAAACTGAAACCCTTTTCTTTAAAATCCGGAACCAGACAAAGATGCCCACTTTCACCACTTTTATTTGACCTACTACTCGAAGTTTCAGGGCAATAAGGCAAGAGAAAGAAATAAAGGGCATCAAAGAAAGAAGTTTAAATTAGTCTTGTTTGCAGATGACATGATATTATACTTAGAAAAACCTAAAGACTCCACCAAACAACTGTTGGAACTGATAAGTGAATTCAGTAAAGTTGCAGCATTCAAAATCAACATACAAAAATCAATAGCATTTACATATCCCAAGAACAACAATCTGAAAAAGAAATCAAGAAATCAATTTCATTTATGGTAGCTACAAAGAATACAAAATACCTAGGAATCAATTTAACCAAAGATGTGAAAGATCTATCCAAAGACAACTATAAAACACTAATGAAAGAAACTGAAGAGGGCACCCCAAAATGGAAAGATATTTCACGCTCATGGACCCGATGACATTCTTCACAGAAATAGAAAAAATAATTCCAAAATTTACATGGAACCACAAAAGACCCCAAATAGCCAAAGCAATCCTGAGCAAAAAGAACAAAGCTATAGGAATCACACTACCTGACTTCAAAATATACTACAAAGCTATAGTAACCAAAACATCATGGTACTGGCATGCAAAGACATCAGACCAATGGAACAGAATAGAGAACCCAGACCCAGATATAAATCCATGCGTTTATAGCCAACTCATTTTTGACAAAGGCACCAAGAACATACAATGGGGAAAGGAGAGAGTCTCTTCAATAAATGATGCTGGGAAAACTGGATAGTTATATGCAAAAGAATAAAACTGAACCTCTATCTCTCACCATATACAAAAACCAAAGCAAATGGATTAAAGATTTAAATCTAAGACCTAAAACTATGAAACACTCCAGGACATTGGTCTGGGCAAAAATATTTTGTGTAAGAGCTCAAAAGCACAGGCAACCAAAGCAAAAACAGACAAATAGAATTACATCAAGCTAAAAACATTCTGTGCAGTAAAGGAAACAATCAACAAGTCAAGAGACAATCCATGGAATGGGAGAAGATACTTGTGAACTATCCATCTGACAAGGGGTTAATAACCAAAATATATAAAGAGTTCAAACAACTCAAAAGTAAAAAACAAACTGATTTTAAAATGGGCAAAAGATCTAAAGAGACATTTCTCAAAAAAAGACAGAGGGCCAAGAGGTATATGAAAAAAATGCTTAATATTACTAATCATCAAGAAATACAAATCAAAACCACAATATAATCTCACCCCAGTTAAAATGGATCTTATTAAAAAGACAGGGAATGTAAATGCTGGCAAGGACGTAGAGAAAGGAAACCCTTGCGCATTGTTGGTGGGAATGTAAATTAGTACAGCCACTATGGAGTATTGCATGGAGGTTCCTCAAAAAACTAAAAATAGAATTACCATCTGATCCAGCCATTCCACTACTGATTATATATCCATAATAGTCTGTTTTCACGCTGCTGATAAAGACATACCCATGACTGTGAACAAAAAGAGATTTAATTGGACTTACATTTCCACATGGCTGGGGAGGCCTCAGAATCAAGGTGGGAGGCAAAAGGCACTTCTTACATGGCAGTGGCAAGAGAGGAGGATGCAAAAGTGGAAACCCCTGATAAAACCATCAGATCTTGTGAGATTTATGCACTACCATGGGAACAGTATGAGGGAAACCACCTCCATGATTCAAATGATCTCCCACAGGGTCCCTCCCACAATACATGGGAATTATGGGAGTAAAATTCAAGATGAAATTTGGGTGGGGACACAGAGCCAAACCATATCAATATCCAAAACAAAAGACATATTGAAGATATATCTATACTCCCATATTTATTGCAGCGCTATTCACATAGCCAAAACATGAAATCAACCTAAGTGTCCATCAATGGGTGAATGAATAAAGAAAATGTGGTATATATACACAATGGAATATTATTCTGCCATAAAAAGGTTGAAATCATGTTATCTGCAGCAAGATGGATGGAACTGGAGGTGATGTTAAGTGAAATAAGCCAAACACAGAAAGACAAATATCACATGTTCTCATTCCTATGTAGGAGCTAAAAAAGTGGATCTCATGAAGATAGAGAGTAGATTGGTAGTTACCAGAGGCCAAGAAGGGTAGGGGGAAATGAAGAGAGGTTGATTAATGGGTACAAACATACAGTTTGATAAAAGAAACAAGACCTAGTGTTTGATAGGTCAGTAGAATGCCTATAGTTTACAATAATTTACTGTGTATTTCAAAATCACTAGAATAATTCAAATGTTTCTACCATAAAGACAAATATTTAATGTGACAGATATCCCAGTTACACAGATTTGCTCCTTATAATTACACAAATGTATTACATTATCACATGGACCCTCAAAATATGCACATCACTATGTATCAATCAAAAATTAAAATTAAAAAACCCTAAAACTGAAATTTTCTGCAGCTCAAAGTTCTAGAAGCATGTTAAAATACAGAACATGTGTAAGTCTTCCTAAGTTGCCTCAGAACCAGTGATTTCATTTATGTCGGAGGGTGTGTGTGCGGGTCTAGAATGCAATACAAAGCTGTTAGTGTGGCAGTGAATTCTCAGTTACTGGAGATCAACTTTAGAACACCCAGAGGCACCTAGCAAAGGTCTGTTTTCAGAAGAGTGTGTGTGGGGTGGGGGAGTAATGGGGGCACAGCTCTGAAGTGAAGATGCAACTTCCAACAAATGAATGCCAAAGTGTGAAAAGTTCTTGAGAATGATCTCCAGCCAACTCCTATTGGCTGGTGGACTCTATAAAAGGTCTACAAAAATATACCTTTTTAGGGTATCTGCTTACCACCTGAGTAAGTAAAAGTTGAGAGACATGAGCAAAGCAACCTAAGGATGCAAGAAGGGCCTTACAGGGAGGAGGGATGGGGATGGGAGCAGGCCTGAGAATGGCTGCAAGCTGACCAAGTGGAAGCTTTGAGCACCACACATCCCAGCAGCCTTGAGAAGCAGGTAGGCAAGTCTCCTCATACCAGCAAGGAGGCGCTCGTAGCATTAAGAACGTTGTCTGAGGAAGTTCCGGCTTCTCCAATAACCCCCTGAGGGATGTAGGGGTGGAGCTGTGTGGTGTAAGCCCAGCACCACCTGAGCCACAAGGGAGCTGTGGACCATCTTCCAGAGTCTCAATTTTCTAAACTCATTTGATGGGTGATAATCTTAAAACATTTTCTCTTAAACAAGCAGTAGCTTATAGAGTAGGAAATAAAATTCATACAAAATTATCTGTAAAGACACAAAACGAGAGAAATATGACTTTTGCTCTCCTGGCCACTCTGAGCTGGATCCCAGACCCCAGGAGACAGAAGGGACTCTGCTTTGAATGCTATGACCTGACTCCTGGCCCTGCATATGGTGAGGAGGAGGGAGATGGGAAGACGTTCGAATGGGCTGGGGCCAAGGCTGCACTGGGGCTGCACAAGCAGTTGCAGGAAGGGAAAGTGGAGGCAGGTAGCATTAGTGACAAGAGCAGCCACAGAGTGGAGAACAGCGATGGCGGCAGCCGAGTCTGGGGCAGGCTGGGAACAGAGTAGCAGATCTTCTGATATCAGAGGCTAGAGCCATTAAGAGACAGAAGCTAGGGGCAGCCTGTCTTTGGGGAGGAAGCCACCGACACCCAGCATCTCTTCAGAAGGGTTCACAGTTGTCTGGACTCAAGCAGCTTGCAGGACCAGGTGCCTTAATTCTCTGTCCCTCACTACTGGCATCCACAGAGAGGTCTCCGCCTAGCAGCAGCATCCAAGAAGGAGGTTTTGGGTAGATTCATAGACATAAGCACCCAAATTAACCAGACTACGAGAGTTCCTCAAAAGTTTTTATTCTTTTTCATCTTTTTAAACTGGCACACTGCCTGGTATACACCGCCAGGTAGGCATTCAGAAAAGTTTCTTTTTTTTAAATACACAATTTATAATACTGGGAAGATTTCATTTCAGTGTTTCCCAAAACATTATTCCTGGAAAGGGTGTACTCTCCCATGACTCTGGATAATAGAAGTTTTGTTCTGATTTTTTAAGTCACCTCAGACAGACACTGGAACACGTTAGATCTAACACTTAAGTGCTTTGAAAGGGCAGTAAAAAATCCCCAAGGAATTCAAGAATTGTAATAATTGCTGGGAAGACTGTGGTTTCTGTAGCCCAGGGTGGCTTCACAGTTGTCAGAGGTCACAGATTCTATGTCCCTCTCCGACCAGGGACCTCCAGGACAGCTTCCCTGGTTGGTTCTCGAGTCTTTCAGCAGAAGGCAGACCAACAGAGAAGGGTTGTGACCTTCTCCAACCAGCCCAGGCCTCACGCCGCTGCATCGCAGACCCAGTATCAGCAGCAGAGCTACGGAGCACGTCATCCTGGGAGTGGATCCTCCGTGGGTCACACCAAGCAGCGCAGCAGGGAACCAGAATGAGGTTCAGGGCCACCATCAAAAGAGTGACCTCCCCTCTCCTTCCAATTAGTTACCTGTATTCAATGTGCAGTGTAAACGAGCAGAAGTTTTACAAATTAAATTACTTTCTTAAAAATCAATACAACATCGTTACATACAATTCTCTTTGAGAAGTCTTTCCAATTCAATTCTTAAGTTTCATTTACAAAATGGTGTGCAAAAACAAACACTGACCTCAAATAAATAGGAAAAAAAAAGTGGGAAGAGCTAAAATTTTTTTTGTGTTTTTAAATTAAAAGTTAAAAACATGAGCTGCACTTCAAAGTATCTGCAGGATGGAGAAATACATCAAGAAGGCTGTCAAAAACAGCTCTCAGAGTTAGAGTTGCATTTTCAACTGAGGTTTTCTGTGTTCAAAATTCACGATCAATGCCTCCACTGAGATCTTTCACCACTCCCTCTTTGACCAGCTTTAAGAGGAACTTGGTTTCCGTTGTCACATTATGCATGGTCTGAAAGTTCATAGCAGCCATGCATTGACTGTCGAAGTAGTGCAAAGGTGTTCTGGGTTGATTGAGGTCATATCCAAAACCCGCCAAACTGACTTCATCGCACAGATGTGTGGCTAAGACAACGGCAATGACACCGATTGTGGGGACGTTCTGAGAAAGGGAAAAGAAGACCAAAAAGTAAAAAAAAATTTTGGCACAAGTCACCATTTTGCTGGTATTACACATGCTACGCAGAGTCATGAAAGCTACATTGGGGGCTGCAATTTCATACATCACATAATTTTATACATCATGAACTTTAGAGTCCAACTCTCCATTTAAGTCAGGAATCTAGGCTCTAAAACATGGTCTGTGATGTTCACACACTTTCAAGGGGCAGCCTGACAATTCTTACACCAAGTTAAAAGGTATTCCCCTTCTAGGCCAGGTGCGGTGGCTCACGCCTGTAATCCCAGCACTCTGGGAGGCCGAGGTGGGCGGATCACGAGGTCAAGAGTTTGAGACCAGCCTGGCCAATATGGTGAAACCCTGTCTCTACTAAAAATACAAAATTTAGCCAGGTGTGGTGGCACACGCCTGTAGTCCCAGCTACTCAGGAGGCTGAGGCAGGAGAATCACTTGAACCCAGGAGGCGGAGGCTGCAGTGAGCCGAGATCGAGCCACTGCACTCCACCCTGGCGACAGAGCAAGACTCTGTCTCAAAAAAAAAAAAAAAAAAAAAAAAGGCATTCCTTCTAAAATGTCTACCCCACTGGTCCTTCCTATATGTGATGCCCAGAATCATTAAAAAAAAAAATAAAAAAAAAAGCCTACTTCCTCTCTCAATGACAAATGTCTATGAGGTCTGCTCTGGGAGAGGTGGCCACAGGACCTTCCACGGTCCTTCCCAGGGCACAGTTTCTGGAGCCCATCCCTTCCTGAGAACAGAGGATTCTCAGTTCTCACTGCAGAAGACTGTGTTCACACACCAGCAGCTACATCCCACTTAAGGGCCCCATTGGCTTTGCTGGCAAATAGCACTTCCAGGCCATTTCCCTATGTAGAGCTGCTAAGCCAGTTTCTTCCCACCGTCTGTTTGGGCAAGTAAATTTTGTTTTTTTTTTTGAGACAGCATCGGTCTCACTCTGTTGCCCAGGTTGGGGTACAGTGGCGCGATCACGGCTCACTGCAGCCTTGACCTTCACAGGCTCAGGTGATCCTCCCACCTCAGCTTCCTGAGTAGCTGGGACTACAGGCATGTGCCACCATGCCCAGCTACTTTTTGTATTTTTTTGTAGAAATAGGGTTTCACCATGTTGCCCAGGCTGGTCTCGAACTCCTGGGCTCAAGCAATCCTCCCGTCTTGGCTTCCCAAAGTGTTGGGATTACAGCCATGGGCCACCATGTCCAGCCTCAAGTACATTTTTAGTCCTGAATTAAATATTTCCACATTTGTTCCTTTAAAAATGTATCCTACTGACCTTGGCCTAGAATCTCCATTGTCTAAACCTTTCTAGATTCTGATGGTGTCCCCACTCCCTCCTCATGTCTGGCATCTTGTCTTGCTTCCTGGAATGTGCAAATCTGACATCGTGCTTTCTGGATCTCCATGCCAGCCTTGGGTAAAAACAGTACACAGGACAGGGAGGAATACAGAAGGCCCTGCAGCTCACTAGGCCTCCTCAAAGGCTGCCACCAATCTACTACTACTCTTACTATTAGCATCCTTTTGTATAGTTTTTCATGGAAAAATGTGCCTCTCTTTTCATTCATCTTAGTTGAGCTTGTGGCTGCCATAAATATAACTCTTCTTTTTTGTAAAGTGGAACAACAGTGGACCCTCCAGAGTTCACAGATTCAGGTGGGATTAGGGAACATCTACTGAAGCCATCATTTGTTAAAATCTGCTTCCTGCTCCTTGATGCATCTACCTCTCAAAGCCAACCTCACCTGTTAAAAAGGAACTCAACAGCCATTCTGCATGCTTGGAAATAGAAACCAAGAGAAATTAACACAAAGGACACTTTCCTCCTGTTTAGCCAGGGCTCTAGGCGTTGTTCTGTCTTCTCCAACCATGTACCCCCAGTGACCATCTTGTCACACAGGGAATATTCAATGTTTGTCGAAGGAGTGTGTGAAATCAACTGTCCATTGGGGTGATATATGGAGAGAACTAAAAAACCGATGAAAAACTCCCCAAAGCATGTCATCTCTATAGCATGCCCTTTGAGATCACATCTCCTACTGCTCAACAGGCTTCTTCATCTGCTGGAAGGACATATACATGAGGAAGTTTCTGATACTGCAACTTTAGATCAGAAGTCCTCTTTTAAGTTACTGTTTTTATCCAAAAGAAAAATGCCATTTTATCAATTATAAAAATAGGAAAATATTCAGTTCAACTAACAGACAGATTATAAAGCAGAAAGTAGAAGTCTTCTATAGACTTCCCCTCTGAAGAAGGGCATTCTTCACAGGCTGGTGTCTATTTCCAAGCTTTTATACTAAACACATACTTTTATTGTTAAAGTGTTCTGTATCTTTTTTTTTTTTTTTTAAGATGGAGTTTCACTCTTGTTGCCCAGGCTGGAGTGCAATGGGGCGATCTCGGCTCATTGCAACCTCCGCCTCCCAGGTCAAGCGATTCTCCTGCCTCAGCCTCCCAAGTAGCTGAAATTACAGGCACGCGCCACCACGCCTGGCTAATTTTATTTTTAGTAGAGACAGGGTTTCTCCATGTTGGTCAGGCTGGTCTCGAACTCCTGACCTCAGGTGATCTGCCCGCCTCAGCCTCCCAAAGTGCTGGGATTACAGGCGTCTGCAACCGCGCCCAGCCTAGTGTTTTGTATGTTTATTTTCTCACTTAATATACTATGGAGGTGTTTTCCTATATTCTTCATCCTTAACAGACAATACTGCATTGACTTTATCATAATTTGTTTAAACAATCCCATAATAATGAACATTTAGGCTGTTTTTAGTCCTCTGCTGTTAATGCTATAGTGTACATCCTAGAATATCCATCTTTATAAATTTCTCTAATTTCCTTGTAATAATGTTTTTAGTGTAAAATTGGTGGGTCAGAGATGATTCGTATTTAAAATGGTTTAATATTGCCAAAATATCCTCCAGAAAAAGTGCCAGCTGATCATTCTACCTACATTCCTGCCAAACAAGGACATTATCAAACTTTTAAGTCTTTGCTAAGAAAATGGGCAAAAATACTATTGTGGCTCTAATTTGCTTTTATTTGATTATTGGTAAAGTTGAACATTTTTACATGTATTCTTTGGCTATTTTAATTCTTCTTTTGTGAAATGTCTATTCCTATTTTTTGCCCATTTTCTATTGGTTCATCTTTTTCTCTTTGATTTAGTAAGAGCTCTTTGTATTCTGAGAGTGTTTATTCTCATTGTACATGTGATAATTTCCACACAGGTCTTAAGTTTTAAAGACACCAGTCAAGTTATTCAGATCAAGAAGCCGCAAGTAATAAAGGCATGCACACCCCCACGCCCCTGGTGGCAGCACTTGCTAATTGCAGGTAAAGAATCTCTACTGCAATAAACAGCCTAGAGCACAAAGTTCCCAAATTAGGCTGCAAAATAAAAATCGTCCACGGAATTTAGAAAATCTTAAAACACAAAACAATTAGAATGTCTGAGATGAGACCCAGGCATTAACTGAAAAACACTGTTCTTGAGGATTAACTTTTATAACTATCACCTACAAAGTGATGATAAAAATCAATACTCACCTGAATGGCCCACAGAGTGAAAATGTAAATATGACTTTTCTCTGGGGTACAAAATTTTTTAAATTTTTAAAAAATTAAAAAATAAAATGTAAATAACTTTTCAGATCATGAAAGTGCCTTTCAGTGTCCTGCAGTTATATGGAGTCCTGGAGTAAGAATACCTTAAAATAGTATCTCAGTGATTCAAGTGTTAATGTGCTGCCTACACTAAAGAGAAGAGTCACTGGAGAGAAGGCCAATTAAACAATGAGGAGCCCTGCAGCCAAGTGCAGAGTGGTAAACACACATGGAGCATCTAATCACAGGCTGGGTTTCTCCACTGGAGATGCTTCTGGGTATACAGTTGAGCCAAAGTGAAATTTGTACACATCGCCCCTCAAACAGGGAATGATTAACTTTGAGTAGCAACAAAAATACCTTATCTCGGCCCCAGAACCTTGACTGAGGCTCTGAGTACTGAAGGATGTCAAAGGCAGTCTCTTTGATGATAACTGGATTCAAAATCCTGAAATGTTTTGGCTGCAGTGGGATTTTTTCTGCCACCTGCTTCCAAAAGAAGAGTCGTACCCAGAATGGCTAAGGAAAGCAAGCAAGCAGTTGTTAGTCATCCTTCTAGGGGAGGGGAGAAAGCATTCCCACTCATCAGACCAAGGCTGTGGGTGTGACCCCATGTGGCCCTGTGCACTGCCTTCTGAAGCAATCTACTCCTATAGATTGCAAAAGCTACGCAAATCCGGCACTCCAACTCAAAAAAGTAACTCTGAAATAGCCACTTCACACAGGCGGCACTGGACAAAGAGATGAATTGCAGAACCAGCTTGTATTTGTTTGAGGTAGACATTCCTCAATGGTGCTAACACCATCATTTTGTCTAGGGAAGCCCAAGTGAATAGGTCCAATTTAAGGCTATTAAGTGCTGAAACTGCCCTCACCTCGCATCCTCTCTCACTTACTCTATTTCCTAGTCCCATGAAGTCGTTTCATATATGCTTCATCTTCCAACTAGAACTTCTGCCCAATAGAAAATCCAGAAGACCATGATGACTGATATAGAATCAGCTTTGGAAATACAAATTTGTCATCACATGGAGTTTACGTGAAAAGTTGAATACGTCCCATTAGTTTCACAGACAGCTAGTTTGTGCATATGTCTATACATGTGCATACACTCCTCGACAGCTGACCTCTGAAATGTATTTGAATATAATGGGTGAGACTATAAAGTAATGTGACCAATAAAGACAAAAGGAATATGACCAAGTGAGGGCCATCTCCTCCATAGCTGCCCTTCTGGAATGCCATGAATTTATTCCAACAAGGGAACCACTGACCAAAGCATTTTTGGAGCTCTTTAGAGTATTCCTTGATTTTTATATGCTTTTGAATACCCTCAAAAAGGCTTATATCCATCTAAGTAAGTCTAATTTCTGGAACTAGCCAAAAGCTATGCAAGTTCATGTCTGGAGAACAAGGTGGGTGAACAACCTCAGTAACAGCAATTTTGGTCACAATCTGGATATTCCCATTAAGCAATGATCACCATTTTCATGCGACTCTTAATTAGGTCTGGCCCATCCATGCAGAGTGTACAGCTGTACACAGACATAGGAGGAAAGCACCCACTCCTGGATTGACACAACTGCAGCAGGGCCTCTTTATAACCATCTCACTCCATTCCCGCCACCAAAAGGAAAAATACTCCCACTGTATGGTACTTTCCGATTTCAACTGGGGGGCAGGGTCTCATTTGTCTCTCAGGAGTGTGAAATTTCACCCATGAAATCAAAAGCACTGAGGAAGTGCCGGTGCTGAGACCGCACCCAACAAATCTCCCACTAGCTCCTAGTATTTGTTCAGTTTAAATTATAAACACCCTCACCACTGTCTCTACCAGGAATTCTCCAACCTGCCCATGTGCAAGAACCACTGGAAGAGGGCCAGGTGCAGTGGCTCATGTTTGTAATCCCAGCACTTTTGGAGGCTGAGGCGGGTGGATCTCCTGAGGTCAGGAGTTTGAGACCAGCCTGGCCAACATGGTGAAACCCCATCTCTATTAAAAATACAAAAATTAACTGGGCGTGGTGGCAGGCGCCTGTAATCCTAGCTACTCGGGAGGCTGAGGCAGGAGAATTGCTTGAACCTGGGATGCGGAGGCTGCAGAGAGCCAAGACTGCACCACTGCACTCCAGCCCTCTAGCCTGGACAACAGAATGAGACTCCATCCCCAAAAAAAAGAATTGCTGAGGGGTTTCTACAAAGAGAGTGATCATCATTTGAAAGACAACACATAAGTATGCATTCCGCTCTGCGTGTTTAAAAATAAAAGGCTATAATTACAACTAAGTAAGACTCCTTCACTTTTTACTAAGGCAGATTTAATAGAAGTATTAGTGCTTACCAGGGTTTCCTTTTTTACCATTGCTTGAAGCCAGTTGAAATCAACACTCTTAAATAAAACAGCAACAAATAAGTCATTGGAATAATATTCAAGGTCAGACAGTGGTGCGCCCTCTGGATAAGTCATCCTTATAGTAGTTTTATTTCCAACATGTTCTGAATATCCCTCAACTGGTGCACTGTTTAACCTATTTAAATAAAAAGGACAAAGACACACTGACAAAGCAGGCCATCAACCATCTCTGTACACCAGGCAGTATCCATGTCATGTCCTCCACGTCTTCTTATGACTAAGAATGAGTGCATGGTTTGCAGCCTCATCTCCCCTCCCAGCTCTGTCTTTCTAGGATTTCGAGGAATGCAGCCTTTAGTACTTGAGCGAACACTTGTATCTAATCCCTGAATGTCAAGCAATTTCATCTAGCCCTAATATTTTTACTCAATCTAAGCATATTACATTTGGGACTTTCTCTGGGTGCCAGTAAAATATCCTCAGAAATTTTCCATTGTGCTCAGATGTTAGTTCTTGCCAGAATTTCAAAAAAGGAATCAGAAGGGAAAATCTAGTCCACCATGCCTGGCTGACTTTTTGATTTTCTGTAGAGACAAGCTGTCTCTATGTTGCCCAGGCTGGTCTTGAACTCCTGAGCTCAAGCGATCCTCCTGCCTTGGCCTCCCAAAGTGCTGGGATTATAGGCATGAGCCACTGCGCCTGGCCAGAAAACAATTTTTAAACAGTGAAACCAAAAAAGAATCTAGGATGACTGCCTATTGGCTATCATGGTGAGTCTGAACTTCTCTGTGTGCCTTCCATGTCCCAGCCAGCACTGCCTTCCAGGACTCACTGGCCCCAAGCCCCTTCTCCAGAAGCCAGGCCCCTCATTGACTCAAGTCTCTTGCTGTGTCCTCTTCTTGCCCCTGTCTGGGAGTTGTGGTCCTTTGCTGTTTTACTTGAATCTACCCACCTTCCAAATCTCACTTCCTCTGACAAGGTTCTGCCACTTACTGTAGCCAGCAGCATGCTCCTCCAACTTAGGGTCAGTATGACAGTTTGGAGCATCCAACCATTTTGTGTTTTTGTTTCAACTTCTCAAACGTTAAGTCCCTTGTGGGCAGGGACTGTGAAGAGCTTCCTGTGTCCCTCACTGTTCCTGGAGCCACACTGACCAAGAGCAGTGCACTGAGTTCTAGAGGAGAAAGGTTGGTTTTAAAAGCGATGTACCCCAGTCTGGGCAATTCGGAGAAACCCCATCTCTACTAAAAATATAAAAAATTAGCCACGCGTGGTGTGTGCCTGGGGTCCCAGCTACTGGGGAGGCTGTGGTGGGAGGATCTCCTGAGCCTGGGAAGTTGAGGCTGCAGTGAGCTGAGATCACACCACTGCACTCCAGCCTGGACAACAGGAGTGAGACCCTGCCTCAAAAAATAAAATAAAATAAAAACAATAAAAATAAGTAAACAAACAAACAAAAAAAACCAATGTACCTTATCACAACATCGAACTGGTTCAGGGTGTGGCCCAGTTCTAATCCGTGCAGTATTCCTCCGCTTCCAATAACCACACAGCGCCGACAGGTCTTGGCTTTCAAGTGTTCAGGGAGGTCGTGCTCTGGCAAGAGTTCCAAGAGGGTCTGGACTTTACTGGAGAACTTCCGGAACCCAAAAGGAGGATCGTACTTGGACTCAGCTTCACTGTCTTTGGGGGCCTTCTGCACAAAAGGGAGTAAGTCCACGCTATACCTGTGCTCAAATAACAGCGCCATTGATGTCTTGGCAAACTTGGGACGACATTCCTTCTGCAAGACTTGCTGAGCATATTTCTGAGCTCTCTGGAATGAAATCACACCAATCTGGGTTTTAAAAACTCTCCTGCATTAAAAATATACTCTTCTAGATGACAATTTGTCCTATGATGTCTGATGTAGCTCCCGTGTTGATTACTGTCTTTTAACACAGAATATTTGCTTTTTAGAGTTAAGTTTGGCTCAGAAACTTGAAGAAACAACCTGGGAGAATCACATGACAAGGAGATAAACACAGCAGGGTATTCATTTCATTGCACAGGCAAAGCAAGAAGGACTCCCGCCTCCCACCCCCAGCCTAACACTGTTCAAATACATTTGGGGTGAAAATGTACTTCGGGGTGTCTAAGACTTCATGTTTCATAAAATTCTGATACATGCTACAACATAGTTAAACTTTGAGGACATTATGCTAAGTGAAGCCAGTCACAAAGAGACAAATACTGTATGACCTGACTTATATGAGGTATCTAAAGTAGTCAAATTCATAAAAACATGGTTACCAGGGTTGAAGAGAGGGAGAAAAGGGGAGTTGTTTAATAGGTACAGCGTTTCGGTTTTGCAAGATGAAAACATTCTAGAAATTTGTTTCACAAGAGTTTAAATATACTTAATGCTGCCAAATGGTACATTTAAAAATAATTATGATGGTAAATTTTATGTTTTTTTTAACCACGATTAAAAAAAAGGTTTCATATATCAGGTTCTCATCTAGCAGGATGACAAACAGGCTTATTTATCAGTTGAGATACAGAATGTCACAGTCTAGAATGCAAATTACCTGAAAGAATCAGGGAATGTCCCCTTAACACAGAAATTGCATTGGTTTCAAAGCATTTTCCCAGCCTGCATTTCCATATGCATTTTAATGTTTTGCCTCAGCCAGGAGCTGCGTGAATGCAACAAAACTCAGAGGAAAGGCGGGCATGGCGGGTCACACCTATAATCTCAGCACTTTGGGAGGCCAAGGTGAGAGGGTTGCTTGAGCCCAGGAGTTCGAGGCTAGCCTGGGCAACATGGTGAGACCCCACCTATACAAAAAATTTTTTAAAAAATGGGTCAGGAGTGGTGGTGTGCCCCTGTGGCCCCAGCTACATGGGAGGCTGAGGCATGAGTATCGAGTGATCCTCAACCTGGAAGGTTGACACTGTAGTGAGCTGTGATTGTGCCACTGCACTCCAGCCTGGGTGACAGAGGGAGACCCTGTCTCTAAAACAAAAACAAGAACAAAAACATGACCATCCTGGCTAATACGGTGAAACTCGTCTCTACTAAAAATACAAAAATTAGCCGGGCACGTGGTGGTGGGCACCTGTAGTCCCAGCTACTCGGGAGGCTGAGGCAGGAGAATGGTGTGAACCCGGGAGGCAGAGCTTGCAGTGAGCCGAGATCGTGCCACTATACTCCAGCCTGGGCAACAGAGCGAGACTCTGTCTCAAAAAACAAAAAAACAAACAAAAAACCCCCCAAAAAACAAAAACGCAACCTTGGAGGAATATGGTATGCGTGTCCATTCACCCCAGTCTTCCTCTTGGCTCAGCTGGACAAATGCTGACTCAGAACCCCTGTCAGGTAGTTCTTCCTATCTTTGTGCTTTTTTATCCTTGTCTCCATATTTAGCAGCCTTGGAATTGGCCCTGCATTACTCCTCCTATTCACTACCTTCTCACAGGCAGAAGTGTGTGTGTGTGTGTGTGTGTGTGTGTGTGTGTAATCCTATATTTACTGGGATATTTATTAGGAATTCAACATATCTTTTCAACTTTGTCAGTATCATTATGAGGATTATTACTGGGGTATAGGTTTAAATGTTCATCCCAACTATGCTTTTCCTCAAGGCCTTGTTATTTTTATTTTCATTTTCTGATTTTTGCTTAACACATTTTTTTAGGAATGCATCTATCCTATTATAACAGAGATACTTAATATATTATAGCTTTGATAAGTTGTTAGCATCCGTGAAGAGAACACTGTCTACATCCGAAGAATCTGGCCCCATTTCTGAAAAAGGAACTGATATTCTTGGAGCCTCAGAAACGCTGCTGCAGACACCATGCATAGCCACTGCCTCAGTTCACCCTCACGACACTATGGCACCTTGCAAGACGATCATTAGTATCTTCACTTTGTAAGAGGTCTGAGCTGGCCCAGCAAACCTGGCTCCTAAAACAACAGCCTCTACCTATAGAAATCAGCACACAAACACCACCATTGATAACAAATGTTTAAATACGAATTGGCATCTTCATGAGGAAATCAGCAGGAAAGCCAAGCAAGGAATCTGCCTTGACCCTGAGCCCCCGAATGGAGGGGCTCACCCCTGGCCAGGCCTGCCCAGCAGGTGATGCTCCGGGTGCTTAATGCCAAGCTGGTGGAAGCGGGACACACAGAGCGGCCACACACACTGCACATTCATCTCAAAACCCTAGGCCCGAAGGTCATGAATGGCAATTTTTAGAGACCTAAAGGCCTAACCCTCCACTAGAGAATCATATCCTAAGTATCTGGTTTTACAAATCTCCTAGGACAGAAAGGAACATCTGAGAAGTGGCAAGAGGGACCCGGAGAAGCTCACTGATGGCCACGGGACTAGAAAGAGGTGCGTGAGCGAGCTGGATGCTCGCCAGGCTGCCAGGTCTCCTCTTCAGAAGCTGCATCTGGAAAGGAGTGAAATTTCATTCCATTTCCATTCTCACCAAGAGGTTAATTTCAGGTTTCAAACTTAATTTTCTTCTTTTTTTTTCTTTTTTTTTTTTTGAGACAGAGTCTCGCTCTGTCACCCAGGCTGGAGTGCAGTGGCGCAATTTCAGCTCACTGCAACCTCTGCCTCCCAGTTTCAAGCCATTCTCCTGCCTCAGGTTCCTGAGTAGCTGGGATTACAGGCGTGCACTGACACACCCGGCTACTTTTTGTATTTTCAGTACAGACGGGGTTTCACCATGTTGGTCAGGCTGGTCTCAAACTCCTGACCTAGTGATCCACCTGCCTCCACCTTCCAAAGTTCTGGGATTATAGATGTGAGCCACCACGCCCAGCCCAAACTTAATTTTCTAGACTGTGGGTAGGGCACATTTCTCAGTAGTCACCTTCTGACTGTGACCCCTCCTGCGCCTAAGTGACAGTGGATGCAGTAGTAAATCCTGAGTGAGTTTCTACATGTCCTGGCAACGTCTAAAGCCACAGCAATTCCTTGTCCTCTTTTGTTTCAACTCGTTTAACAGATCTCCACTGATTGCCTGGAGACAGGGCTTTTTCTGTAGAGAGCTCACACAGAACTCCATCTCATAGCCACTCAGAACAGGAGGACCACATGGGCCATGTCCTCCACTCTGGGATGGTTTCTGTTCTTGCTTCAATGGTGCACAACCAGACATCATTGTCTTGGGGGCTTCCTCAGAGCTTGTCCCACATCTTTAAGTAAGTTGAACCGGCATCTGCTTCAGCTGCTCTCTTCCCCCTCCACTGCTTGCCCATAGCTCACAGCTCAGAAGAAAGTGCCTCAAGGCGAGTGCCGCACCTTCAGGAGCTGCAATGAAGAGAGGAAGCAGTGTGACTAGGCTGTGAGGACTCCAGAGCTCCCAGGAAGGCCTCAGAGGCGTCAGCTGGGGCCTGGGTGGCATTCATCCAGATGAGGCTCACTGGAAGCCAGGAGCTGGTGACTCTCTCGTAAAATACAAGAACTCCCGTTCGTCTTATATCCAGGGACAAAAATAAAGGTTTCAGTTTTTAACATCTTCCAGGCTGCGCTTGCAGGTTGCCCACAATTAAGACAAAGTAGACATCTGGTAGTGCCAATTGTTAATGCTGTGGCAGTGTGCCATAAAAACATCATGTGAAATTCACAGAAAGGTATTAAAAACAATCAAAGTAATTTTCCTCAGCAAAATCCCCACTTTCATTTCCACTCTGAAATCTTAAGGACAACCCTTCTCAGAAATACAAGTAAGTGGCATAATTCTTAGTAAAAGGCAATGTTCTATTGCACTTATTATTTTTTAAAAATCCGGAACAGGGCAGAGCATTCAGATTGAAAGAAAACTTGTGTCTGGCATTAATGAGATGTGGGAAGGAGCTCAATTCTGCCATGGATCACGTGATCTGGGGGCATCAGTGACCTTGTGGAACTTTCATTTCCCACACCTGTAAACTCTGGTGCTGGTCGCTTCTTCGCAGGTTGCTCTGATGCCCTAAGCATTTTGCCCAGTACCTGGCATGTGTGGAGACTTGTATGATATCACACAAGGACAATAACTGAGGGTCACGTTATTGACATATTTTACTCACATTTAAGTTATAACTCTTACCCAGTTAGAAGCAGAAAAAAATTTAAATAACCAAGTCATGGAAATAACACTACACTATAAACTCAACCAGTTGGTGGAAGCCTGGGGTGGGGTTGAGGGTGGGGACTGACTGCAGAGGGGCTCCGGGGAACTCGCTTGGGCCATGGGAATGTGCTAAAGCGGGATTGTGGTGACAGAGGCGTGGCTGCATAAGTTTTTAATACTCATCAAACAATGGGCTTCAAAGGATTAAATCTTATGTAGATTTCATCCCATCAACTGTTAGAAAAAAAAATAATCAGGAGATCTGGAGGCTGGACTCAGTTCTAGATTGATTTAACTAGCAGCGTCGTCTTTGTTAAAGCATTTCTCCCTAGGTCGAGGCTTCAGTTTTCTTACCTCTAAGATATCCCAGGAAGGCCTGGAAAGCGGGGAGCAGCACTAAGGAGAGAAAAGACTCGGTTTGAAGATGCTGGTGCCTGGGCTCACTGAATGCTTCAGCAGGGAGGGCCCTGCTTCCTTTAAAGGCACGGTGTAGGTCTGCAGAGTCCGAGAGAAGACGATGAAGAAGCGGCTGAGTCCATCTGGCCATAATTAACTGCACGCAATGCCATCCGCAGGGAGATAAGGTCTTTAGCTCTCAGAAAGGAGAGAGGGCCAAGTTCAAAATGCTGCTACTACACAGCCCAAACCGAAACTGACATCAACGTGCCCTCGTCTCTCTTAAAACATCTTTTGAGTGCAATTTCACATCTGAACCACACTTTCAAAGTGTCCAGGCATCCCTTCAGAGCCCACTGGTAGTCTTTTTAACAACTGGCACATTAAGGGACATATTTAAATAGAAAATACAAAACCCACAACTGCCACAGCCACACTTCCTCTGCTGCAGTAATGAAGGCGGGGACCAGCGTCACCAGACAATGCTCAAGTCTAGCAGGGCTGGCAGGGTCCCACTCACACTGTGGGCTGCTGAGTGGAACCAACAGAGCTAACAGGGCCCCACCCTTATGGCTCTGAGACCTTCTTCTGCCCATATACATCCACGATAATTCAAATTTGTCCACGTGCTCTTGTGGTAAGGATCAAATCTCCACTGACTGCCTGGAGACGGGATTTTCTTCATGGAGAGCTCACACAGAACTCCATGTCATAGCCACTCAGAACACGAGGACCACACGGGCCATGTCCTCCACTCTATTCTTGCTTCAGTGATGCACAAATTAAGGAGCTGCTTCGTGCTTAGTGTAGCATTCAAGGCCTTTTGCTATCTGGCCCTGTCTCATTTTCAGTCCCATATCCTGTGATCCCTCCTCCCCAAATCCTCAGTGATAGGCAACTCTTGCCATTCCTCTCATGTGCAAAGCATTCTGAGGCCTGCACTTCTGCACAAACCACCTCTTCTGCGTGGAAGGAAGCAGGATATCCTGTCAGGACCGTTTTGAAAAGTGGAGCATTTTAACAAGGTCAAAATGTTAAAAACCTACTTAAAAAAATTCTCTAGTAACACAATAAGACACCCTCAATTCCACCATAATTATAGCAGGCTTTCACTTTCTATTTTACTAGTTTCAAACTCACGGAGTTTTACAAACATGTTTGACTTACACAGCTGCCCCCCATTCCTTCCTCTTTCTCTATGAAAAATTACAGGGGACTTTCTCCTTTACTTATTTCCGTATTACTTGAATTTTTGGTGTTTTTTTTAAATAATTGAAAAAAGTAACCTTTTAGAAATCGCTCAGCACTGGGGTGACATGGTAGATGGACACTGTGGGCTGCTGCTCAGTTTTGCTTAAGTGGCTTTGGCTCCTTCTCCAGGCAGGTAGGTGTAGGACCAGGGAGGCCAACTCCCCCATCAGAAGTCCTCCCAACCCCCCTCGTCAGTGATTGGTCAGGAGTCCTCACTGAAGCCCATCAAGGAAGGGCATTGGCATCTATGAAGGCTACTATTGGTCCAGCCATGAGCTTAGGTCTAAAAATTGGCCCAGTAGCCTAATGAAAGGACTTACATTCCATGGTTCAGGGAGAAGGGGCAGGGAGCGGGTGCTGGGCTTTTCCCTGTCTACCAGTGGATGTTTAGGTTGAAGAGAACTATCAGTCCTGTTCCTCACATTAAACCTAAGGTGCATTACTGATGTACTCAAAGAATTACAAGTTATAACCGGATTTTCTGTACAATCTAGAGTTCACAGGTAATGGAAGATTACACTGTGATTCAAGTACTATCTCCCCTTCCCCCTGAAGTTGAATATATGTAAGTGCATATTAAGTAATGTAAGATGTTAAGCACACAGCCCCTGTCTCCCAAGACCTGGCCTGGAAAACAAGTGGGGAAGATGAACAGCTGAAATCCTACAATGATAAACATCAGGATTAAGGCATGAGGGGGCTCTCTCACACACACAGAGGGACGATCAGGGATAGCCTCTTAGAAGGGGTAACCGCTGAGCTGAGACTTGACTTAAAATACGAGTAACAGAAGGGCGAAGGGCAGGGAAAGGCTCTAGGCAGCAAAGAAAGAAAGAATGCAGCAAATAGAGGAAAGTTCTTTTCAACAAATGGTCCTGGGACAACTGGAGAACAACATGCAAAAGGATGACCTTGGACCCTGACCTCACACTGATATGGTTTGACTCTTTGTCCCCACCCAAATCTCATCTGGTAGCTCCCATAATTCCCATGTGTTGTGGGAAGGACCCAGTGGTAGATGACTGAATCATGGGGGCAGGTCTTTCCTGTGCCGTTCTTGTGGTAGTGAATGGGTCTCATGAGATCTGATGGTTTTAAAAATGGGAGTTTCCCTGCACAGTTTCTCTCTTTTGCCTGCTGCCATTCATGTAAGACGTGACTTGCTCCTCCTTGCCTTCTGCCATGATTGTGAGGCTTCCCCTGCCATGTGGAGTTGTAACTACAATTAAACCTCTTCTGTAAATTGCCCAGTCTTAGGTATGTCTTTATCAGTAGTGAAAATGGACTAATATACCATATACAAAAATTAATGCAAAACGAATCAAAGACCTAAATGTAAGAGGTAGTATGTTATAAACATACTAGAAGAAAACTTGGGACTAAACAATAGTTTCTTAGATATGACACCAAAAGCATAAATGACCAAAGGAAAAATAGGTAAATTGGGTTTCATCAGAATTAAAGACTTTTGTGCTAAAAATGATACCCTAAAGAAAGTGAAAAGACAACTTAGAGAGTGGAGAAAATACTTGGAAATCACATACCAGATATAGGGTACTGGTATCCAGAACACAGAAAGAACTCTTACAATTTAAGAATAAAAAGTCAAATAGCCCAATTAAAAATGGGCAAAGGATCTGAATGGGCATTCCTCCAAAGAAAACACACATACGGTCAATGAGAGCACATGGGAAAGATGCTCAGCATCATTAGCTATCAGCAAATCAAAACCACAATGAGATATCACTTAACATCTATCAGGATGACAGTAGTAAAAAAGGAAAGATAATAACAAATGTTGATAAAGATGCGGAGAAACTGAAACTCTGGTACCTTGCTTACAAGAATGTAAAATAATGCAACCATTTTGGAAAACAGCTTGGCAGTTCCTCAAAAAGCAAAACATAGTTACCATATGACCCAGCAACTATATTCCTAGTATATACATAAAAGAACTGAAAACAGGTACACAAATACTTACATACACATGTTCACAGCAGCATTATTCATAATAGCCAAAAGTGGACACAACCCAAATGTCCACTAACTGATGAATGGATAAACAAAATGAGGTATATCCATACAATGAGGTATTATCCAGAAATAATAATGAAGTACCGATACATGCTACAACATGGGTGTACCTTCAAAACATTATCCTAAGTGAAAGAATCCAGTCACAGGAGACCATGAAATGAATAACATGAAATGTCCATAATAGGCAAATCTATACAGACAGAAAGTAGATTACTGGTTGCCTAGGATTTGTGGGGAGGGGGAAATAGGGAGTGACTATGAATGGATATGGAGTTTCTTTTTGGGATACTAAAAACCTTCTAAACTTAGATCATGGTGATGGTTGCACAGTTCTGTAAATCACTAAAACCATAGTGTATTGCACAAAATCACTGCACTGTATCCCTTTTTTTTTTCTCAGTGTCTTGTTCTGTTCTGTTTTATGGGCTGGAGTGCAGTGGCATGATTATAGCTCACTGTAATCTCAAACTCCTGGGCGCAAGTGATCCTTCTGCCTTAGTCTCTGGAGTAGCTAAGACTACAGTTGTGAGACACCACACAAGGCTAATGTTTTTATTTTTAATAGAGATGATGTCTTGGTATGTTGCCCAGGCTGGTCTCAAACTCCTGGCCTCAAATGATCCTTCCTGCCTCGGCCTCCCAAAAAGCTGGGATTATAGACAGGAGCCACCATGCCTGGCTGTACTGTATGCTTTAAATGGGTGAACTATGTGGTGTGTTAATTATATCTCAATAAAAATGTTTTAAGGGCAGGGCATGGTGGCTCATGTCTATAATCCCAGCACTTTGGGAGGCTGAGGCAGGAGGATCACTTGAGTCACTTGAGTCCAGGAGTTTGCGACTAGCCTGGGAAACACGGTAAGACCCTGCCTCTACCAAAAAAAAAAAAAAAAAAAAAAAAAAAAAAATAGGCACGTATGGTGGTGCATGCTATAGTCCCAGCTACTCAGGAGGCTGAGGTGGGAGGATTGCTTGAGCCTGGGAAGTTGAGGCTGCAGTGAGCAATGATCGGGCCACTGCACTTCAGCCTGGGTGACAGCGTGAGGCCCTGCTGAAAAGAAAAGAAGCTGGGCTCAGTGGCTCATGCCTGTCATCCTAGCACTTTGGGAGGTTGAGGCGGGTGGATCACCCGAGGTCAGGGGTTTAAGACCAGCCTGGCCAACATGACAAAACCCCATCTCCATTAAAAATACAAAAATTAGCTGGGTGTGGTGGCACATGCCTGTAATCCCAGCTACTCGGGAGGCTGAGACAGGAGAATCACTTGAACCCAGGAGGTGGAGGTTGCAGTGAGCTGAGATCATGCCACTGCACACCAGCCTGGGAGACAGAGTGAGACTCCGTCTCAAAAAAAAAAAAAAAAAAGAGAAAAGGAAAGAAGAGAAGAGGTTTACCCAAGGACCTGTGAGGGGTTGAGTGTGCCTAAAATACATAGAGTTGGGACAATGGAGGTGGCACAAAAAGACTGGAGAGATCAGTAGGAACCAAGTCATGAACGGTCTTCTGGGCCAGACTAAGGAGTCTGGGTATTTTCCTGAAGGTAAAGGAGAGGCACCAAAGAGTTTTAAGGAGGGAAGCAATATATTAGATTCAAATTGTAGAACACGACTACTCCGGCCACAGTGGGGCATGGCTGGATGCAGGAAGGCAGGTGAGAAGACACACAACCAGGGAAACAGGAAGAGCAGGTGACTCTAAAGGGCAGCCCTCGCTCACTACACCTTTCCTTAGAATGCCACGTACTATGTATTTTTACAGACATAGTCCCTACTCTCAAGTAACTTATACTTTAGATGGCAGGATGAGAGGCTCGTATGAATTAGGATAATACCGATGGAATGTGGCAAGCTTCAGAGGAGCTTGGAAGTAGCAGTGAGGTTCAGTCTGAAAGTCACTGAGTTGGGGACTGGTTAGGCTGCATGCAGGTGTTCTTTGAGAGCCTACCGTTTGAGACAACTCCACCCAGAATTCAGAACTTTGAAAGCCCCAGGTTACGAAACCAGCCTCCATCTTCCAGTCAGGCACTGGCAAATTGCTGAGAACCACAGAATCTCAGACCTGGAAGGGATCAGAAAGGCCCCTGAGCCCCTCCCTGTCTAATGTCTGAATTCTACCTACAGGACCCCTGGCTTTTTTTTGAGACAGAGTTTCACTCTTGTCGCCCAGGCTGGAGTGCAATGGCACAGTCTTGGCTCACTGCAACCTCCCTGTCTTGGGTTCAAGTGATTCTCCTGCCTCAGCCTCCTGAGTAGCTGGGATTACAGGTGCCTGCCACCACGCCCAGCTAATTTCTGTATTTTTAGTAGAGACGGGGTTTCACCATGTTGGCCAGGCTGGTCTCGAACTCCTGACCTCATGATCCGCCCACCTCAGCCTCCCAAGGTGCTGGGATTACAGGTGTGCGCCATCACACCCGGTCAGACCCCTGACTTTCTTAAAGATCCCCAGAGAGTCACCACAAAGGTGGTCTGTTTATCCCATCTTTGGATGCCTGGGACCGTCAAACCTTTCTCCTTTGAGATTGGCTGCCATCCCTATACAGAGCTCTGCCATTAAGGCCACCTGGGCAGGCCCATCCTTCTGCGGTCTGAACCTCTGGCTCATTGACACTGACTGCCATGTGCCCTGTACCAGGTCTTCTCTCCTTAAGGCTACACAGATGTTCCTATCCCTTCCATGATTCCTCAGGGAGGTGATCTTGAGTTTCTCCTCTGGTCATTCTTAGAAATCACTAGGATTCCTTAGGGGAGCCTTAACAAGTAACAGCCTAACAACCAGAGCACTTGACTGACCACTGCAGAGACAAGCAGACCACGTGGCTTAAGTTCAAAATGATCACAGGCAGCCGGGGCACAGGTTGACACAGATGTGCCTGGCTGGACAGGAAAACTACTAAGTTGATTTCCCCCAGGGTATTACTAAAACACACCTTCTCCACCCTGTGCTTGTGGAATAGTATTCTTGGCCCTTGTACAGGAGAGCGCACCTCTCTCCTCAGCTGACCCAGACTTTAGAACAATCACTTTACAGTTGGTCAGATGGTAATGGACAGGAAAAAGAGGATGCAAAGAGAAAGTGGAGAAGGGCAGCAGAGAAACAAAGGGAAGAGTTCCCAGTCCATCAGTAAGCCATACCAAGTGCCATCATTTAAAGACTTTCTCAGAAGACAAAAACAGAGACAGGATGTCTAAAACCTTTATCCAAGAGAGCTGTGAAGCGCCGTGGAATTGCAAAGGACTGGGGGAGGTATGTCTGCAAGGCCAGACAGTCCAGGAAGAAAGGGAAGCCTGAGCAGAGGGTACTGGACACATCCTACTCGACCAAAGCAGATGTGTTAATGCTGATGAAATGACATGAGCCAGCAGACACCTGAGGACACCTATGCTGGGAAGGCTGGCCCTGCGACCAGCAAGACCCTGAGACTCAATAGTTTTGCAGGAGCCAAGCTGTGCCTTTGCTAACTGAGCTCTTCATTTATTTGTTTATACCTGTCTGTACCACAAAAAAAATTGGAGGCACTTCAAAGGATGTACAAATTAAAGTAGAAACGTATGAATAAAAATTAGGATCAAGAAAGGAATTTTGTATATATTCTCTTACTCAACTTCTACATTTCACAGTTGAGAAAACTGGGACTCAAAACAATCAAGTCACCTGCCTAGGGTTTCACCATTACTAAGTGGCAGTTAGATTTGAATTGGGTAAAACATTTAAGCTCTTTCCTCTCTGCACCATGCTGCTTTTAACTTTGGGCTTCTCTGTGGACACTCCCTAACCAGGCAGAGAGCAGAGTGGTCAGGAGCTCAGACTCTGAAACCACACCACTGAATTCAAGCCGGGCTTCACCACGTACTGCCGCTGGTGACCCTGGGCAGGTTACTAAATCTCCCTGCTCCTCAGTTTCCCTGCCTGTGAGATGGGGATGATTGTAGCACCTACATCCCCAGGAATGTGATGAAAGTTAAATGAGCTAATATTACTAATACACTTTTAGAACAGTTCCTGGCACACGGGAGCACTAAACCACATTATAAACTAGCTAAACTAGACGTGAACTTGGGTGAGCAGCTCAACCTTTCAAGCCATCATCTGTAAGATGGAGATGATACTGGGATATCTCCCAGTCACAATGACTAAAGGAGATAATATATATAAAGCATCCATACATGTCAGTTATCATCCCTCTCATGCTACTTTATTTAAAATCATCTCTTCCTCCATCCTGGGCTAAATGTTATCAGATAATCCAGCCACTAAAATAATCAGTGACATAAGCATTTGATATGTCACTTGATTTGGAAACATAAATGTAAGCTGAAAGAAAAATCTTGCAATGCAATGTGAATTCATTAAAATTAAAAATAAAACACAGGAAGGACAGATGATACTAAGAGAATTTCTGGCCAGGCATGGTGGCTCATGTCTGTAATCCCCGACCTTTGGGAGGCCAAGGCGGGAGGATAGCTTGAGCCTAGGAGTTCAAGATCAGCCTGGGCAACATGGCAAGACCCCATCTCCACAAAAAATAAAAAAATTAGTCAGGCATGGTGGTGCACACCTGTGGTCCCAGCTACTCAGAAGGCTGAGGTGGCCGTGTTCTTGCCACTGCACTCAACCCTGGGTGCAGAGCGAGACCCTGACTCAAAAAAAAAAAAAGGGAGAAAAGAAAAAAGAAAGAATTTCTTTGTTGTTTACTTTATAGCATCAGGGCAAATTAATTCCAGGAGAGGAGCCCTAGAGCCTGTTGGGTTGAGCCCACCTCATCCCACACCCCAGCTGCAGTAAATGGGAGAAGGATACTGTGGAGTAGTTAGTGGTGGGTTTTTAGAAGAAGGTTGTCTTTGGTTTTGGAGTGCTGAGATTAAGTGCTTTCCCCTCTGAGTTCAAACTTTTATTAACATATATTTGTCACACAGTAGACTAATGATATTATAGTTTGAGCATATGCTTGGCAATGTTTTCATTTAAACCACACCAATGGGATATCTAACCTTTACATGGTCAGGGTCCACATAATGCATTTTTTTCATGTCACATTCTTCAGTAGTATAATTTAACTTGAGGATATAAAGGATCCACACTCCAAACACAAGCAATGTACATCTGGAAAAAAATCAATTAGGTATTATGATGTAGTCATGTGAGAATCATGAGATGCAATGTGAAACTGAAAACGGAATCCTAAATGAGTCTGCCTGCTATGCAGCATAAAACTACAATCTTTAAGTTGACATTGGGGTGAAAGGAAGGGGCCATTTCCTATTTTCCTGACAAGATAAACTAGTCATTTATGACTGTCTTTGTTATAAGCAAACACAGAAAAAACTTTTTTTGCAAGAGCACTGTAACAAAATCTGAATCACAATGTCAATTATTGAACTTAAAATCAAGTAATAGACTTGAACTACAGAATCTCGGCTTCAATCTTTTGTGACCTGAAAATTCTGTCAGTCCTTAAAAAAAAAAAAAAAAAAGAAAAGAAAAGAAACAGTTTATTCACAGTACGTCTAAAGAATTCTACCCGGAAGTGAGGCCGACTGGGAAATGAGACAGGACCATTAGTTACCCTTAAGATGACCTAAAAAATATTTTTTACAGATCTGATAAATTCACACTATTATATAGTTTAATACACACACACACACACACACACGACTTGGAGAAAAGAGCTGAGTCTAGTCTTAGTTTTAGAAATCTCATTTTTACTAAGTTCTCCAGTGACACAAACCGCAAGCTAAAAAGTTTCAACCAAAATTTAAGAACCACTGCTTTAAACAATTCTGTTCTTGAAAAAACAAATGCAAGAAATAAAGAGAAAGTAATCCATTTTCTAAATAAAGGGGCAGTTTTTTTTTCAAAAAAATTGCATCTAGCATAATATATTATACATAATAGATGCAAAATATTTCTTAATATTTGAGGATGAGAATACAATGAAGTGTTGCTGGGAGTGTTTTAAAAACTTTAAAATTCTCATTTAAAACAGGCTTCCCATGACAACTTGGACAAGTTGGGATTATGTATAATGATAAGTGAACAGGATGCTATCAATTTGTGTAAAAGTGGGTTTGGGCACGGGGCATGGCAGAGCACACACACACAAAATATTTCTCATATACACAAGAAACCGGTGACACTGGTTATCTTTAAATATGGAGGGTAAATGGGGAGCAGGGATGAGAAGGTGTTTCACTGAGACTCTTTAATACCTTTTGAATTTTCAATCTTGAAAACCTAATATTACCTATTCTTCTCTTCAGCCCCAGAAAAGGTGTTACATTCAGTGCATACACTTCCCTTATTTTGATTTAAAAAAAAAATAAAAGAAAAGGGTGTGAAGGCAAGCCCAGTGTCTGTAGCACATATCAGACTGTGCCTTAATTCCTGGAGCGAGTCCACCTCACCCACAGCCTAAGCAGCACAGGGCGCAGGTCTATCTCCCCTGCTGCCTTGTGGCTGGCGCCCAGCATGACGTCATGAACGTGGTGGGCCTCAATAAATATTGGTTGGTGACTCAAGGGAGGCTGAATGTAACATAAGCCTTATTCTTATAAATTTCCTTTTCCCCTACACTTCCTAAGTCAGTAAAGTGAGACAGAAGACTAGATTGCAAGGTTGGATTTCTATGTTTAGACATGAAAAAAGGGCAATTTTCAACTAGGTTTGACTGGTATATATGTAAAAAAAGACACCTGCCAAGTTCCTCCTTGATTAATTCTATCACTTATTAGGATATAAGGGTGACCTGGCTCAAACACCTGTCATCATTTTTAGTATTCGATATTTAACAGTATTCAAGGGCCTTCAGGGAAATTTAATTAACCATATTTTAGATTAACTTACAATAGCTAAGGGAAAAGCCCTCTTTTGTTAAATAAGGGCATGAAGAGCAGTGCACGGTGAGAGCTGCTCTCCCAGGCATCCAGGCCAAGGTAGAGAGCCTGAGCAGCTACTGGGCACTGTGCACTTACCAAATACAGCCAGCTGTACAGGCTCACTCCGGCTGTGCACTCAGTCTTTACTCAGACGTGCCTTTGAATGTCTGAGGCATCCTTTGACCAAGCATGCCTCTCCAACATTAGCCATCTTGAGGGCTCTCACTGAATTTTTCTCCTAGTTCTACACAGTTGACCCAAAGCAGGGGGATCTACAGTCCCAGGGGCGGTACTTACTTGAGGATGTCTTTTAATAACAAGCTGGGCCTTCTCATCTTGCTTTGAGCTCGGGTGTACCATTGCAGGGAAGGCCTCGAGCAATCACTTCTCAGTTTCACATAGGTGTACTCACTTGGCATTGCTGTGAAGAGAGGCGAAGAGGGCAGTGGGGAAAAAGAGAGGAGAGAGTTAGGAGGATGGATTATGGTTTTCAAAGAGCCTTTATATGTTGCATCCATACCATGGAATAGTAACTGGCAATAAAGAAGAATGAACTGTTGTTACATGCAACAAAGTGGGTGAATCTAGAGGGAACTATGCTGAGCTGATACCAAAATGTTACATACTGTATGATTCTCAACATTCTTTTTTTTTTTTTTCTGAGACGGAGTCTTGCTCTGTTGCCCAGGCTGGAGTGCAGTGGCGTGATCTCAGCTCACTGCAACCTCTGCCTCCTGGGTTCGAGTGACTGTCCTGCCTTAGCCTCCTGAGTGGCTGGGATTACAGGCGCATGCCACCATGCCAGGCTAATTTTTGTATTTTTAGTAGAGACAGGGTTTCACCCTGTTAGTCAGGCTGGTGTCGAACTCCTGACCTCGTGATTCACCTGCCTCGGCCTCCCAAAGTGCTGGGATTACATGCATGAGCCACTGCACCCGGCTGATTTTTAACATTCTTAAAATGACAAAATTATAGAAAGGGAGAACAGACTAGTGAGTGTCAGGGGTTGTGGAAGGGGAGGTAGATAGGTAGATATGGCTATAAAAGGGCAACACGAAGGACTCTTGTGAGGATGGAGATGTTCTACATCTTGACTGTATCCATGTCAGATTCCAGCTGTGATATGGTACTATAGTTTTGCAGGATGCTATCATGGGGGAAAATGAGTAAAGCATACACAAAATCTCTCCAGATTATGTTTTACAACCGCATGTGAATACAATTATCCTAAACTTTAAAGTTTATTTTTTTTAAAAAGGACCTTTTACCTTTTAGAGCTACATACAGAAATATCTACAGATCAAATAGCAAAAATGAGATCTGCTTCAAGAACTCAGGAAGGGGATAAGTGGAGGGCCAGGGAGAATAGATAAAACTAACTTTAAGCTGATAACTTACTAAACCTGGGAGATGGGTCTAGGGCTCACTACACAATTCTCCCCACTTCTGTGTATGGTTAAAATTTATATAATAAAAAAGTTTAAAAAGAAAGTTACATTAAAAGCAGAAGTGTTACATCAAAAAAAAAAAAGAAAAAGAGAGAATATGGCAATTTAAAAACACTTTTCTTAAAAAATATGTTGTGTGCCTGCCTATTTATTCTTTTGAAATAATTTTATTAGCAATTTTCAAGTTCTAAATAATATTCCAATAGTACTGTAGTAGGGATTGGTCCGTCTCCCCCATATTCGCTTTCCCCTAACTCAACTTAATACAGCTCTGGATTTTTAGTGGGGCATAGTACCTCCCAGAATGAAGACTACATTTCCCAGTCTCCCTTGGAGCTAGGACTCAAGACTAAGTTTTAGCCAATGGGATATGAGCAGAAGCATCCTGTGCAATTCTCAAGGTGCTTCCCTTGGCATACTCTGGCTTCTCCTGTATCCCCTCTGCCTCCTGACTGAAATATGGACCATGATCTGCCACTCTGGACCACACAGAGAGGACATTACTCAAGGATGGTGGAACAACAAGAGAAGGAGCTGGGGCCCCTGGGACAATCCCATAGGGCAGAGAGCTGCCACTCTACTTCTGGACTGGTCTATGATAGAGGAATAAGCTTCTGTCTTGTTTAAGGAATGGTTAATTAAAGGCAAAATTATATCTTAACTAATATAGGCACTAGTTACTATTATAATAAATGCATATATTAATTTAAGAAATAATGTCTTCACTATAGTTTTTAGTTGGATGGAAGAAGTTATATCTCATTCATTATTCACTTCATTTTTCCCGTTAGGGTTTTACCATCTTCTTTGAAAAAAATCTGTTTATCTTAAACTAAACAGGCATTCAAGTTTTTTTTTTCTGCTACTGTAAACAATCTCTTCCTTAACTCCTTAATTCTAATTCTGTGTAGCAAGAGTTTTTATCATTATGTATAATTCTATCAAAATAGTTTCAATAAGTGTTGAGGGCCTTATTAATAAACCTTTGCTGAAGAATCTGCTGAATTATTAAATGAGAAGTTAGAACAACTGAGATCCTGGAAGGTTTTCAAATACCACAATTCTGTGGTTACTTCATGTACAGTCAGCCAAGTGGTGGGAATCAGCAGGCTACCTGTAGCCTGTGCATATTTAAAATGGAAACTTCTGAGATGACTGGAATGATACTCAGTTCACACCAAAGTGGACCTCCAGAGAACAAAGATGACTGTGGTAAGAGTATGAGAAAGACTCCAGGGCTTCCGCCTCCAGGTGCTCTGTTGCTGAGCCAGACAGTGCTCTGGCTCTTGTTCTACTCTGCCCGTCAGACTATAAGCCTGTAAATATTTTCCGAACTCTCTCTTACCAGCTGGCTTCTCGTAAAGTTGTGATCCTAGGATGTGCTGGTGAAAGACTGGGAGGCAATCTTTCTTTTCCCCTGACTTGGTGAAGCTTTGGATAGCAGTAGTAGCAGGCAAGGGAAGGTGTCTACATGTGACTCCTGCAGCAGTCGTGTGCATTCGGATTCTTGGGTTTTTAGGCAGCAGATGCTGTGGCACTTCCAGTAACTTTGTGACAAGTACAAGCTTCAGACTAGGGGTGACAATGGCTCCCTGAAGACCAAATCCATCTCTCTAATGTGGACCTCTCACCTAAGCCCAGACCTGTATACCTAATGTCTTGTTTGCTATCTTCACCTCAAGCAACATTCCTAAATGGAACCTGGCATTTTCTTCTATTCCTTTCATTCTTTGGTATCTGAACCATCTGTTCAGCCATAAGATGAAAACCTGCAGGTCAACCAGACTTTCATTCTCAACCCCAGTCAATCCCCAGGGCCTGCCAATAATACCTCCTGAATTTTTCCTGTTCACTACATGCCTTTAATAGAAGTCACTTACCTCGAATGCCCTGATCTCAATTTTATCGCCTCAAAGCCGTCTTTCAAAAATACATATCTGCCTACTGGTTCCCAGCTTATTTCAGATTCTGTGACTCCATGTGACAAACCTGTCTATCACACTGCACAAAGAAGTACTGTTAGAAACCTGGATGTGCCAAATTGTTACTTCAGTGCCTTTGCACAGGATGTGCTCACAATCTGGAATCCCACCCAATAATCTGCCTGCTGAGCTACTTTTCATCCTTAAACCCAGCTCAAGCATCTCTTTCCTTATCTCTGAGGTCATTTTTCACCACCACATCCATCCCTGGGCACGTCCCTATCTCTGTTTACCACAATGAACTGAATTTTCTTTTGCAGACTCCTGGAGGAATGAGCTGCAGAGCCAGAACTCTGTTCACCTTTGTATCCCTAAAACCTAGGACAGAGATTGGCACACAGCAGCCCCTTAAGAAACATCTCGAATGGAATGAAATGTGCATTACATGTTTGTAGCCTGTCATCAAACAAGATAAACTTCCAAGAAAAGCATTTTCTCAATACTGATTAAGAGTAAAACTAAAACTGAATGTTAACAGAAATTATAATGGCAAGAATAAAGCATAAACTCTATTGAAACATCTAAAATGGCTGGGTGTGGTAGCTCACACCTTTGGGAGACGGGGATGGGATGATCACTTGAGGCCAGGAGTTTGAGACCAGCCTGGGCAACACAGTGAGACCCTGCCTCTACAAAAAAATAATAATAAATGAAACATCAAAAATGTCCAACAGCAGGAAATTTGTTGGTAAATTACAGCACAAACTACATGAATACTCTACAGTCCTTAAGATCTTGCTACACAGCAGGGTCTCTGACTGACAGCATCAGTGTAACCTGGAAGTGGGTTAGAAATGCAGAGTCTCAGGCCCGCCCCAGTCTTGCTGACTCAGCATTTTAATGAGATCCTGGGACATTCATATGCATATTAAAGTTTGAGAAGCACTAGCTTAAAGTACTCAGTACTTCACATTTATTGACACTGAAAAATATAAGAAAAAGGCAGTTTTATAAAAATCTATGCATCTACACATGTAGTTACCTCCTGGGATATATCTATTAAAGGTATGTGCTCTGTGGTGGGCAGGCATATGCAAACCCACCCCCAAAGGCCAAGGAAGAGGCTGACGAATCCAGTTTCTCAGAAAGAAACGTGTGATGGGGACTTACGAACAGAAGCCATGTCCTGGGTGGCGGCGAGACAGGATAATGGTTGCCCATGCTATTACTCCCCAGACTGAGGGTGTATACACCCAGGTCTTAAATACCATACTGAAGGAATGTATAGGACATTGACATCCAACCCTCAGGAAAATGCAAGAATTTGCCGAAGGGCAGGACTTATGGTATAACGGCAAGACTGTTTTGACCTAAGGGCAAGATTTACAGTAAGTATATGAAAGTAGAAACCTTAGAAGCCTTCCTGGGACTGGGGTTAGTCAGAAGTCAACATGGCAGATTAGCATCCAAGATGGCATTGCTTTAGCCTCCACAGTATAAGAGTTTGACTTCCCAAGAAGTTTCATCAAATCCCTCTACTTCAGCTCAGCAGGCATTACTTCTTCTGATTTGCAAGGGACCATGTGGATTCCACGTCCCTCAACATCACAAGAGAAGGGCCAAGCTGGGAACAACAGACAAACGGCAGAGTGGCCTCTCCATGATCCCTTGGAGAAGCCAGGGCTTATCAGCTGAAAGTCATGATCACCTTGACACCATCTGGACTGTTTTCACTCATTTCTTTTGTTTGCGATTTTCTGTTCGGTGAAAAGGTGGCAGTTGAAGGTTGGATTACATGAACATTGAATCAGGGGCATGCTTTGTTAATTGCTAGAATAACTGTGTCATAAATTTCAATAGCAATTATACTTTTGCTTTTTGGTTTGAGATGGGATCTTGCTCTGTCACCCTGGCTGGAGTACAGTGGTGTGATCACAGCTCACTGCGGCCTCAACCTCCTAGGCTCAGGCCATCTTCCCACCTCAGCCTCCTGAGTAGCTGGGACTACAGGCACACACCACCATGCCGAGTTAATTTTTGTATTTTTTTTTTTTTTTGTATAGACGGGGTTTTGCCATGTTGCCCAGGCTGGTCTCTAACTCCTGGGCTCAAGCCACCCACCAGCCTTGGCCTCCCAAAGTGCTGGGATTACAGTTGTGAGCCATCATGCCCAGCTGGCAATTAAACTTTTTTTTTTTTTTTGAGATGGAGTCTCACTCTGTCGCCCAGGCTGGAGTGCAGTGGCGTGATCTTGGCTCACTGCAACCTCTGCCTCCCGGGTTCAAGCAATTCTCCTGCCTCAGCCTCCCGAGTAGCTGGGACTACAGGCATGCGCCACCACACCTGGCTAATTTTTGTATTTTTAGTACAGACAAGGTTTCATCATGTTGGCCAGGCTGGTCTCAAACTCCTGACCTCAGGTGATCCACCCGTCTCAGCCTCCCGAAGTGCTGGGATTACAGGCGTGAGCCACCGCACCCAGCCGGCAATTATACTTTTAACCAACAAAAAACGATCAGACTGCAGGGGAAGAGTGTTCACGTAGCCATAGGTAATTATAGGCGTAGAGGCATCTGGAAGAAAGTACACCTGTCATCAACAGTTAGTACAATTGTTTTGTCTTTGTTTTTTTAGAGATAGGGTCTTGCTCTGTTGCCAAGGCAACAGTGCAGTGGTGTGATCATAACTCACTGCACCTTCAAACTCCTGGGCTCAAGCGATACTCCCACTTTGGTCTTCTCAGTAGCTGGAACTATAGGCATGTGCCATTGCACCCAGCTATCTGTTTATTTGTAGAGATGGGGTCTCTCTCTGTTGCCCAGGCTGGTCCCAAACTCCTGGCCTCAAGCGATCCTCCCGCCTCACCTCCCAAAGTGTTGGGGTTAAGGGCGTGAGCCACCATGCATGGCCTGGTGGTGCAATTGTGAGTGAGTTTATTTCTTTTTGCATTCCTTTTTTTTTTTTTACTACCTGAATTCCATACATTACCAGTTCTATTTTTGAAAAACTGAAACTATTTTCACTTAGGGAGGAAATCCTTAAGCTACGATTGAAATTTAAGCTATGAAAAGACATTTGAAAATCACCCAAATAAAATATTTTTAGGATCCCTTGATCATCTCTTTAGTATGGGACAAAAATATCCCCAAAATTAAGCATTTAGGCTTAAAAAGCAGAAACAAATCATGAGGAACTTCACTAAGAAAGGACCACACGTTTGCTGAACTGGAAAAAAACAGATTTATGGAGGTGCAAAATAAAGGATGTCAGCACTCAGCAAGTCCAGTTTGCCTCAGCGGGCAGGAACTGGGTTGCTCCCTTTCTGTGGAAGCCTCACTGGGCTTCCAAAGAGATGGTGAGTGAATCCCAACGGACAAAGGATGACAGAGGCCCCTCCCTTCAGAAGGCTCACACTTTCTCACCTGATCTGTTCTGGCACTGCAGCTTCAGCTAGAGACACAGGGTGTCACAAATAGCTCCCCACACTGAAGCCACCCAGCCAATGGTGAGCGCGCACACACACGCACACATAGCCTCCGTTCAGTTAAGCAAACGAGACCCTCTCCTTAATTCAATTAACTTACATAATGTGAATGCTTGTGTTAGAATAATAAAACTACAGACATGCCCTACTTACCAAAATTGCTTATGTGGATATTCCTGTATGCATGCTTTCTTTTTTCTTTATAACACTAATCATGAGACATGTGATTCTTCATAAGTTTTTTACTTTTGAATTACACGTTTGTCTTGTCTCCCCCACTAGAATGCAGATTCCATGCAAGCAGGGGTCTCTGCTTTGCACACCACTGTCTTCACAGTGCCTAGGAAGGGAAGAGGCATATAAAGGGCATCCATATCTGTTTACTGAATAAATACGCAGTTTCTTATGAGGGTTTCGGAGGCGATGGTGGTTATAGGCCTTCCTCCAAGGCTTTTGTTGGCAGGCCATCACAAGGCTGGCCTGTCTTCTTCTGTCCTGTGGCTCCCTCCTCGTTCTCCTTTTTCATCTCCTAAGAGTTAGGATCCCCAGGGCTTAACAATTTGATACTCTTCTCACTCAGGCTGCCAGGAACAGCCTCCGCATCATGGCTTCAGCAACCACCTTTATGCAGAAAAGGCCTGACTTTCAAAATTATATTTCTCTACCCACATATTAAAATGTAACAGATTCTTCTTAAAGAGCCCATATGAAGAAATAATTCTTTTTTGTGTGCTTTTTAAAATGATAAATAATCGTACACTTTTTTTTTTTTTTTGAGACGGAGTTTCGCTCTTGTTGCCCGGGCTGAAGTGCAATGGCACCATCTTGGCTCACTACAACCTCTGCCTCCTGGGTTCAAGTGATTCTCTTGCCTAAACCTCCCACGTAGCTGGGATTACAGGTGCCCGCCACCATGCCCAGCTAATTTTTGTATTTTCAGTAGAGACAGGGTTTCACCATGGTCTCAAACTCCTGACCTCAGGTGATCCGCCCGCCTTGGCCGCCCAAAGTGCTGGAATCCTACATGTTTATGGAATACATGTGATATTTGGATACATGCATACAATTTACAATGATCAAATCAGGGTAATTAGGATATCCATCACCTCAACCATTTATCTTTTTTTTTTTTTTTTTGAGACAAGGTCTTACTCTTTTGCCCAGGCTAGAGTGCAGTGGTGCAATCATGGCTCACCGCAGCCTTGACCTCCCGGCTCAAGCAATTTTCCCACCTTAGCCCTCCAAGTAGCTGGAACTATAGGTGTGCACCACCATACCCAGCTGATTTTTTTAATTTTTAGTAGAGACGAGGTCTCACTATGCTGCCAAGGCTCATTTATCATTTCTTTGTGTTGGGAATATTTCAAATCTTCTCTTCTAGTTACTTTGAATTACACAACAAATTACTGTTTACTATAGGCACCCTACTATGCTATCAAACACTAGAACTTATTTCTGTATTTTCAATAATTCTTAAGGCCCTAATGAAGAAATATAAGGGCAAATTTGGGCTTTCAGTCAATTTGTAAGACATTTAACTTCTTCAAAATTAAGAATTAACCATTTAATGTAAGAGTAGAATAAATGCCATAAAGCAGTACATGATGAATTGCCAAATTAACTATACAGATAATTACTGGTGCATGAGTAAGGCACTGATATTTATTGAGAGGGATAAGCCGACATATGATCTAGTGAACCTAAAAAAACTTATATCACTGGATTGCTGTCTGCATTTAACCTGCCAGAGGACACACATGGGTAGACACAGAGCTGAGAACTCCAGCCCACATCTATGCACCTCCACACCCATACTTTTCCAGCAGCAGGGTGGTCAGAATGGGGAGGACCTGGAACAAGAGGAGGGTATTTGTAATGTCGGGAGGGGGCTGCTTTCTAAAATAGTGAAGTCACACCAGGGCACAGACGGTTATAAACAAAAATCTGAAGTTGGGAAAGCAGAGAATAAACCAACATAGCTGCAGTGGACTGTGTGGGAAGGCAAGCAGGTGCAGCTTATAGGCTAATATGGCCAGCAGAGCACACTCTGTGGGGTGGGAGGATTCCAAGAGCAGAAGGACTTCCCAGCACAGCAGGAGACAAGCCTAGTCTGCTGCATGCTGGGTGGGCGACAAGGCAGGATCCTGGGCCCTCCCTACTGTGGTGTCCAGGCAGGAGGGGAGCCCGAGGCCTACCCTGGTGAGGGGGACGGGGAAGGAATGGGGACAGAGGTCTCTGAGCCAGAACAAAGGCAAGACTGATGACGAACAGAAGACAAACAAAAGCAAGAGTGGTGATGAACAGAAGCAGAACAGGGACAAACCTCGGTCCCAATCAGAGAAAGAAATAGGAATGGAAGTCAATTGTTGTCCTTGAGGGGAGATGATGAATTTGAGATGATAAATTACCACATGAAACTGTCCACGAGGCGAGGCAGGCGGATCACCTGAGGTCAGGAGTTCGAGATCAGCCTGGCCAACATGGTGAAACCCCATCTCTACTAAAAATACAAAAATTAGCTGGGCATGGTGGCGCACGCTTGTAATCCCAGCTACTTGGGAGGCTGAGGCAGAAGAATCGCTTGAACCCAGGAGGTGGAGGTTGCAGTGAGCCGAGATTGTGCCACTGCACTGCAGCCTGGGCAACAGAAAGAAAAGCTCCATCTCAAAAAAAAAAAAAAAATGTCCAGGAGGTACTTGGGAACGTGCACGGGGCCGGCTGGAACTTCTGCAGCAGGTCTGACTGAAGTAGGCCCCAAGCCACCCACTGTGCAGAACAAATGAACTGCCCTCTCCCGTGCACCTAGACTGGTACCTACCATCTGTGCACCTGGTACCCGTGCACCTAGACAGGGACCTACCATCCGTGGGGAAGGGAGAAAACAGCCATTCAAGTCACCGTTGGAGTTTTGTGTTTGAGAGGAAGAATTCCACTTGGCAAAGGAGAACGGAAGACAAGGCAGGAAGCCTTACCTCAGCCAAGAAGACAGTGTTGGGATGCATGCAGGTTAAAGCCGCCTAGCGACCACATGCAACAGCTACAACTACAGCAGCGGCATGGGGCGGCCGAGAGGAGGCAAGACATGGTGTGCTGTGGGCAGACAGAATGAAGGGGCCAAGCAAGTCCTGCCCCAAGGTGGGGCTGGGGGGTGCAGGCAGGACGAGAGCAGCGTTGTGGCCCTGCTGTGGCCACTGAATGTTGGCTGCTACTAGAACACGGGTGTCCCCTTCTCTGCACATCTGCCTTCCATCCCCAGACACTGAATGACTGACATGTTAAAGGCTGGCCCCCTCGCCTGGAGATGGGACCACCGTGAGAGCAATTCAAGTTCCCGAGCTCTGGGCTGAGACCATGGCTTTGCTCAGCTCTGCCCAGGCCTACTCTCTTCATCCTGGGAACTCCCTCAGCAAATCAGGAGTCAAGTTGGGTTAGCAAGGTCAAGGTAGATTAAGGTAAAGGTCAAAAAGATCATGGATGATGAAGGGCCCTGGAGGATTTTATTCAGGAAGGGGACATGAAACGTGGAGAAAATCATGGGGCAGCAGTGGGGACAAGGGAGGAGGGAGGCTACTGAGGGGCTACCACAGCACTCTGGGCACCACAGGCTCAGCACGGACAGGACCTGGGATGGATCAGATGAGGCGAGAGTCAAGGGAGAGGATGACTCAGGTCACAGGGAGGAAAGAGGAGCCCTCTGTAGAGAGAGGCCATGAAGAGGAGAAAATGCCATGGAGACACTAAGTTCAGCTTGGCCTTGCAGAGTCCCAAACGCCTGTGGGCTGCCAGGTCGGTAAATCCCACAAACAGCTAAGAACCAGGCCTGACGCCCCAGGAGGGACCTTAGCTGGAGCATCAGGAGAAAACAAAAAAACAAAACAAAAAAACAACCACTGGAAGAGGCTGCAAAGCATACAGATTCCCACACTTCATCCCCAGAATGTCCCCCCTGGTGGTAGGTCCAGGTGAGGATGCTGACTGTGCATGTTAACCAAGTTCCCCAGTGTTATGTGGGTGCAGCACTTTGAGAAATCCTGCCCACCAGCAAGTTTCTCACAGCTGGAGGAAAGCCGTGTAATTAACAACAGATTTTTAGCCTACATATTTTCAGATTCTCCTACAAACTGAGCAGAGTTATGAGGACCTACCTTCTGCAATGAAAAAAATTAAAATGTTGCTGTGTGAACGCACAATCAATACTGTACTAATTTTGACCATCAACCAAGATGCAAGCACTTCAGTGATTCTCGTGCTTTTTAATCTACTTCAAATCTACTATTCCTCTAGTGTTGAGAACACATCATTACTGTCATTCAATTGCCTGCTTTTTATAAATGTAAAAGTGTTAAGGCAATTAATTCTGAGCCCTTGGACTATATGAACATTCTCTAAAACTATAATGTTCCCAGCACGCACGATGGGATTTCTCCAAGACTTTACTGAAGAGGTAAAGATGTCAAGAGGGCAGTTACTCTCAGAGCCCAGTTCCGCTTCCACCTATCTCACACTCTCCTCCTCACTCCATGTCAACCAAGGGGGCCTCGTGCTCGACTTGCCCTTCCTCTGCTGCCTCTCTGGATGGCTCCCTCCCCACCATCTCCGTTCTGGTTTTCATTCAAAAGTTGCCTTCCTTGACCACCCTCTGTAAAACACGACTTCCACCCCCTCACTTTCCTGCTTTACTTCATAGCATTCATTGCCACTGATACATATTTGCCTATTCTCTGCTCTCCCTACTAAAATATAAGACTCCCAGCTTAGGGACTGTGTCCATTTTGTTCGCTGCTGTAATCCAGGAACCTAAAAAGTACCTCGCATATAAAAGGCATTTAACAAGCACCTGCAGAGTGAATGAACAGAAGAATGAATGATCAGTGGCCTGCAACTAGATCCCCACACAAAGTTAACCCAAATTCACCACGGTCCTAACAAGAGACCACTGTGAAGACCAGACCTTCCAGGTGTCCAAGTATCATAATCATTGGGCATTTATTCAATGTCCAGATGGCACCAGGCAGATGGAAAACAGGGATTGAGATACTTTTTCAAACAAGACCCACCATATGTGTTTGTTGAGGGGAGGCTAGGGGAACAATATAAAATGACTGTCTCCCCCCCACCATGGAAGAAAATGGCAAACGGATCTTTTTGTTGTTGTTTTTGAGACAAGGTCTCGCTCTGTCAGCCAGGCTGGAGTGCAGTGGCGTGATCACAGCTCAGTGTAACCTCGAACTCCTAGGCTCAAGTGATCCTTCTGCCTCAGCCTCCCGTAGCTAGGACGATAGGTGTATACCACCACACCCGGCTACATTTTTAATTTTTTTGTAGAGATAGAGTCTAAGCTTTATTGCCCAGGCTGGTCTCAAACCCCTGGCCCCAAGCAATCCTCCCACCTCAGCCTCCCAAAGTACTGGAATTTGCAGGCGTGAGTTACCACACTTGCCTGATTTTTTTTTTTTTTTTTTTTAAAGAGAAGAGCAAAGAGATGAAATACTCAACTGTTTGGCTATTTGATAACAGCCAAATCACTCAATCTCTTTGAGGATGTTTGGTAATCTGTAGAAAGCAGGGTTGGGTGACAACATTTCTATGGCTCCTTCCTCCAATAAAATGTTACGATTCTCACTCATCTACATTTCAAAGGAAGAACAAGAAACATGAAGCTTAGCTTACTCAATTGATGCTAATATGTTATAGCCATCTAGGGGAGAAAACCAGAAAGCTGGAATAAGTGGGAGAAGTGGATTTAAGACAATAAAAATGAAAGAGAGTGGGGGAACACTGGGGCGGAGAAAACAGAGTGGAGGTTGAGAGACAGGAAATTCTGGGAAGGGGGAACTGGAAGGAAAAGACAGGAACAGGAAGAGAAGCCCCAGCACTGTTCTTCTTTCTGTTTCCCGGGGCTAGGGAGTTTCAGAGGAACTCCTCTTTGCGAATTCTTATAAGCAGACCTACCCACAAAGCGATTACAGGCAGCACCTCAGAGATCCTCCTCTGATTCCAAGACCTGCCGCCTGCTCCCCTCCCCACAGGAGAGGTTCCAGCCAGAAGCGTAGAAGGTTGCCCTAAACTAGGTTTTAAAAGTGGGGCTGAGGAAGGACCCTCTTCATCATGCAGGACATAATAAATTCGTGATTTCTGCCAAAACATACAACCTGAGTTCTGTCAAGGTAGTGGAGAGACCCATCTTTAACTGGCAAATGCTGAGGATTTGGGTAAAATGCACCCTCCAAGAGGTCCACCAAAGCACCCTGGTGAAGTGCACTGATCTCTGGGCATAAACACCCTCAAATGTGTTTAAATATATTTTAAAACTTATATTCTGCCTGGGAAGCCTCTTTCAGGGGCAGCTGTAGGGCTAGTCTAAACCAGGTAAATGTATGGGTCAGAGTTGGTTGACCAGATGCCTGAGGACAGCTACAAGGACTGCAGTCCCCTAAAATAGCAGTGGCAATGGGTGGTTGGGGGCTGGAAGGAACCTTCAGGTTCAGCAAAGCCACACTGTTAAGTGTTCCTCCACCCTGTTTTCTTTTCTTTTTCTTTTTCCTTTTTTTTTTTTTTTTTTTGAGACGGAGTCTCACTCTGTTGCCCAGGCTGCAGTGAGGTGGCATGATCTCGGCGCCGCAACCTCCGCCTCCCAGGTTTCAAGGGATTCTCCTGCCTCAACCTCCAGAGTAGCTGGGATTATAGGTGCGTGCCACCGCACCCAGCTAATTTTTGTATTTTTAGTAGAGACGGGGTTTCACCTTGTTGGCCAGGCTGGTCTTGAACTCCTGACCTCAAGTGATCTGCCCACCTCAGCCTCCCAAAGTGCTGGGAGGTGTGAGCCACCACGCCCGACCCTCTACACTGTTTCCTGATGGTACCAGAGGAGACAAAACAAATTCTGCAAGAAAGCTCAGTGCTGTGGGCGTGACTTCTATAATGACCACGGAAAGGGCAGACACTGAAAAGCCCTATGGTGGCTTCTGATGCTAGACTGGCCACAGCACCCAAGACCTGGAGGCTGCAGTTTTTAAACTTTATCTTGAAATAATTTCAAACTTAAAGTTGCAAAAACAGCATAAAGAATTTCCATCTGCCCTTTAACCAGACTCCCCAGTTGTTACCATTTTACCACATTTGTGCTGCCATTCCATTGGTATACTGTGTGCATATTTATTGGACCATTTGAAACTTGAAGACATGATGACACCTACCCCTAAATATTTTAGTATTTCCTAAAAACAAAGACATCCCCTTTAAACAACCACAGCATAATCATAATTAGGAAATTAACACTGATTCAGTACTGTTACCTAAATACCTTATATAAATTTCTCCATTAGTCCCAGTGATGGCCTTAGAACAAAAATAGCAAGAATATATGTCATTTTCTTATTTTCTGTTACAGGGTCCAGTCCAGGATCATTTGGCATTCACTGTTATGTTCCTTTAGCCTTCTTTAATCTGAAACCGTTCCTTTATCTTTCATGACCTTGGCATTTTTGAAAAGTACAGCCAATTATTTTGTAGAAAGTCCCTCAACTGGAGTTTGTCTAATGTTTCTTCATGATTAGATTCAACTTATGCATTTTTGGCTGGAATATCACAGAAGTGATCCTGTGCGCTTCTCAAAGCACTTCTCAGGAGGCATGTGATGTTGATTTGATTAAGGGTTAAGGTGGTAGATGCCAGGTTCTTCCACTGTCGAGTTGACTATTTTCCCTTCGTAATTAATAAGTGACTTGATGGGAGATACTTACAGACTAAGTAAATATCCTGTTTATCATCAAATCTACTTGTTTCAGTATCCACCAGTAGATTCTTGCAGGAGAAGGATATGACTCTGTGAGGTCAAACAAATTCAAACCTCAGGAATGAAACTAGGGCTGGATAAAACAGTAGGTGATGAACAAAAATTAACATGTAAGACTCCTATCAGACTTAATTTCCCCATTTATGTTCACTCTTAGCTATTAAGAAAAAAAAATAACCTTTAGATTTTCTTTTGAGAATACAGTATATATGAGTTGGGAGTATGGTAATTTCTCTATTGGTGCTTCCATGTCTGCTAGAAACTTAGCCCTTCAATTCACAAAGTGTCCAGTGGCAGCAAGAAGAGACACCCAGGTCCAGAGAGCTAACAGCTGGAGCCATCCTCACACCAATGCCTGATTTTCCAAGGGCAACGCTGCACGGCTCAGCTTGGTGATTCCCAGCTCACTGTGGCACAATGTAGGCAGCTACATTTAAAAACAAGAACTCTACTCTCAACTGATGACCAGGTTTAGAAACTCTGATTTGCCTTACCCAAGAAATATTTTAAAAACCCTGTTAGGACACAAGTAGAAATTTCAGAAAATAATATAAGAACAGAACATTTAAAAATCACTGTTATCTTACAACCCAGTGATACCCACTGTTAACATTCTGGTCTGTATTCTGTCAGCCTCTGCTCTTTGCATAGATATACTATCATGACGGGGGTCATGCTATCTACACCAGCCTCATTCAAGGTGCATTCCACTCGGGAATGAAGTCCTACAAAAAAGAACAGATTTTTCTCAATTCTCCCAGGAATGATCTATAACTAGAATCATTCCAGAAGCAAGGAGAGAAGTTAATTCATAACATACAATGGTCGCCTGACAGTATTGGGACAAAAGTCTCTTGTAGAACCTCAGTTGAGAAGGGCTGGTCTGTATGGTTGTCTAATTTTCTTTGTTTACCTAACAATCCTTTAAATAAAAATTTCATAAGCTTCTTCCATACACCAAGCACTGGGAATATAAAAATAAATAAGACACAGCCGCTTTCCTCTTTAAATGAATAATCCAGCTAGGAAAACTGAAAATGCCCAAATACTCGAAATACCAAATAACGCTGTGATAGAGGAGCTACAGTAGACCTTGTGCATCCTGGGCAGGAAACCACAGGCTCCATCAGAGGAAATCAGGGAGGCCTCCCTGAGGAGGTTATGTATGAATGGGTCCTCGAAGAATGACTAAGACTCTGGAGACAGGACAGAGAGAGGAGGCGGCATTCCAGACAGAAGGAAGGTAATGCCAAGACACACAGAGAGAGGTGTGTGCTCGGGCCAGATTACAGGGGCCTGGGGAACAGTGGGCAGAAGACGCAGCTAGGAAGGAACCAGGCTCTCTTATGTTACACAAAGGAGGATGGCCCTAAGTGGTTCTTAAGTAGGAGAGTGGTGAGCTCATACTGGCATGAAAGAGGCCAAGGGACAGGGTAATCAAAAGACCACTGAGATCAGTGCAGTGAGGGGTGACGGAGGAGCTGAGCCACAGCCAGAAAGGCCGGAAGGTGGCCAACCAAGAGATGTGGAGGAGGAAGGTGCCACAGGACTTGGTGCCCAAGCCAGGAGGGGCTATTATTATAGCACTGGGCCAGCCAAGACCCATCCTGTGTAACAAATTCAGGTGGCTAAAGAGGGGAGTCGCAGGGGAGAAGGTATGCAAGAAGGCTTCAAATGTTACTGTTTCTCAAAATGATTTAATGGTGAAGGTAGGGGTGTCCCTCAAAGAGAAAGAGGCCAGAGGGAGCAAGACATGACACTAGGGGTAAACTGAAGAAATTGCCCCTAGAACTGCCCCTCCCCCTGGGGTCCCATCAAGCTTTTACATAATAGCTTTCCTGTGGTGGGCCTGTGTGACAGCACATTATACACGCAGAATCTGCTATGAGAGAACAACTCTGTGGCAACCCCATGAATACCCCAAATAAGGCAAAATCTAGAAGCTAAATGTTTAATGGAACATTTCCCTCTTAACCCAAAGGAAATACAAGTAGTTGGGCTGAATAAATAATACTTAACAGGAGAAAGTGAAAGTCAGCAGAACTGACAGTTAACAAAAAGCAATTCTGGGACCCAGTACCCAAAGGCTCCAACATATGGGCCTTTTACTAAACTTGAGCAGAATGGGGAACACAGGGTATCAGATGATGGGAAAGTTTGTGGGCAATTTCTAAAACAATGAAGATCCCACTGCCGCAGAAAGCATAAGGTGAAAGTTCTTAAGGTTTTGGACTATAAAAGTGATATCACCAAATAGGATCTTAGAAATATTCTTCAGGGAACAGCTGTCCAGGTGGATGGGAAGGGAAGATAGGGAATTTGCTAGGCAGTTTTTTCCAATAACCCATGGTATTCAGTAATCCTGTATGTCTTATAGGAACAGAAGAACCAGAGGAGTCATAGAAAGCCCCAAATCAGAAAATAATGACCCTAGAAAAGGAACTGGAGGGACAGTGACTGGGACAGTGACAACCCGGAGTTTGGCAGGACCTGGCAATTTAGGGTTGGAAGGAGAGGGAGGAATTGTACAGGAGACAAAAGGAGATTTTGTTTGGGCTGCTTAAAACTCAGAACAAGTTACATTTCCATTTCTAAAACCAACAACATATATTCAGGTCTAACTAAAACATATAATTTTCTTTTACACCCCACTCACATCTCTTTTACTGTTGGCTCTGAAATTCTGGGAAACCAGCATTTGGGCAGGCTCCCCAACAGACATAACAGTTTTTAATTATACAACCCATTTTTGATCAAATAGGAGTATGTGCCTGGGGAGATAGCAACAAGAAACACACGCACTGTCCCTCCTTCAAAAAGCTCTCATAGGCTGGGCATGGTGGCTCATGCCTGTAATCCCAGCACTTTGGGAGGCTGAGGTGGGTGGATCACCTTAGGTCAGGAGTTCAAGACCAGCCTGACCAACATGGCAAAACCCTGTCTCTACTAAAAATACAAAAATTAGCTGGGCTTGGTGGCGTGCACCTGTAGTCCCAGCTACTCGGGAGGCTGAGACAGGAGAACCAGTTGCTCCTGGGAGGCTGAGGTTGCAGTGAGCCAAGATGGTGCCACTGCACTCCAGCCTGGGTGACAGACCAAGAATCTGTCTAAAAAGAAAAAAAAAAACTCTCATAATCTCATTTTAAAAAATAGACAAGTAGGTCTATTTTAACTTATCTATGTTGGACATGCGGGCAGAGTGTCAGATGATGTTTCAGATTTGGGGTGTATGTGTGATATGGTTTGGCTCTGTCCCCACCCAAATCTCAACTTGAATTGTATCTCCCAGAATTCCCACGTGTTGTGGGAGGGACCCAGGGGAGGTAATTGAATCACGGGGGCTGGTCTTTCCTGTGCTATTCTCATACTGAATAAGTCTCATGAGATCTGATGCATTTATCAGGGGTTTCTGCTTTTTCTGCTTCCTCATTCTCTCTTGCTGCTGCCATGTAAGAAGTGCCTTTTGCCCTCTACCATGATTGTGAGACCTTCCCCAGACATGTGGAACTGTAAATCCAATTAAACCTCTTTCTTGTATAAATTGCCCAGTCTTGGGTATGTCTTTATCAGCAGTGTGAAAATGGACTAATACAGTAAATTGGTACCAGTAGATGGGGCGTAGCTGAAAAGATACCTGAAAATCTGGAAGCAACTTTAAAACTGTGTAACAGGCAGAGATTGGAACAGTTTGAAGGGCTCAGAAAAAGAAAGGAAAATGTGGGAAAGTTTGGAATTTTCTGGAGGCTTGTTGAATGACTTTGCCCAAAATGCTGATAGTAGCATGGACAATAAATATCCAGGTTGAGGTGGTCTCAGATGGAGATGAGGAACTTGTTGGGAACTGAAGCAAAGGTGACTCTTTTATGTTTTAGCAAAGAGACTGGCAGCATTTTGCCCCTGCCGTAGAAATGTGTGGAACTTTGAAGTTGAGAGAGATGATTTAGGGTATCTGGTGGAAGAAATTTCTAAGCAGGAAAGCAGTCAAGAGGTGACGTGGGTACTGTTAAAGGCATTCAGTTTTAAAAGGGGAACAGAGCATAAAAGTTGAGAAAATTTGCAGCCTGACTATGTGACAGAAAAGGAAACCCCATTTTCTGGGGAGAAATTCAAGCCAGCTGCAGAAATTTGCATAAGTAGCAAGGAGACTAATGTTAATCCCCAAGACCCTGGGGAAAATGTCTCCAGGCAATGTGAGAGACCTTCACAGCAGTCCCTCCCATCACAGGCCTGGAGGCCCAGGAGGAAAAAGTGGTTTCATGGGCTAGGCCCAGAGTCCCCATGCTGTGTGCAGCCTAGGGACTTAGTGCCCTGTGTCCCAGCCACTCCAGCCGTGGCTGAAAGGGGCCAATGTACAGCTTGGGCTGTGGCTTCAGAGGGTGGAAGCCCCAAGCCTTGGCAGCCTAGTCAAGAACTGAGGTTTGGGAACCTCTGCCTAGATTTCAGAAGATGTATGGAAACACCTGGATGCCCAGGCAAAAGTTTGCTGCAGGGGCGGGGACCTCATGGAGAACCTCTGTTAGGGCAGTGCAGAAGGGAAATGTGGGGTCAGAGCAGCCACACAGAGTCCCTACTGGGGCACTACCTAGTGGAGCTGTGAGAAGAGGGCCACCGTCCTCCAGACCCCAGAATGGTAGATCCACTGACAGCTTGTACCGTGTGCCTGGAAAAGCTGTAGACACTCAACACCAGCCCATGAAAGTGGCTAGGAGGGAGGGCGTAACCTGCAAAGCCACAGGGGCAGAGCTGCCCAAGACCATGGAAACTTACCTCTTGTATCAGCATGACCTGGATGAGAGACATGGAGTCAAAGGAGATCATTTTGGAACTTTAAGATTTGGGCCAGGTGTAGTAGCTCACACCTGTAATCCTAGCACTTTGGGAGGCCGAGGTGGATCACTTGAGGTCAGGAGTTCAAGACCAGCCTGGCCAACATGGTGAAACCCCATCTCTACTAAAAATACAAAAAAAAATTAGCCGGATGTGGTGGCACACACCTGTAATCCCAGCTACTTGGGAGACTGAGGCAGGAGAATCACTTGAACCCAGGAGGCGGAGGTTGCAGTGAGCTGAGATCGCACGCCATTGCACTCCAGCCTGTGCAACGGAGAGAGACTCTGTCTCAAAAAAAAAAAAAAATTGACTGCTCCACTGGATTTCGGACTTGCATGGTGCCTGTAGCCCCTTTGTTTTGGCCAATTTCTCCCATTTGGAATGGCTATCCCAATGCCTGTACCCCTATTGTATCTAACTTGCTTTTGATTTTATAGGCCCATAGGCAGAAGGGACTTGGCTTGTCTCAGATGAGACTTTGGTCGGTGGACTTTTGGGTTAATGCTGAAATGAGCTAAGACTTTGGGTGAGTGTTGAGAAGGCACGATTGGTTTTGAAATGAGAGGACATGAGATTTGGAGGGGCCAGGGGAGGAATGCTATGATTTGGCTCTGTCTCCACCCAAATCTCAACTTGAATTGTGTCTCCCAGAATTCCCACATGTTGTGGGAGGGACCCGGGGGAGGTAATTGAATCATGGGGGCCGGTCTTTCCCATGTTATTCTCATGATAGTGAATAAGTCTCATGAGATCTGATGGGTTTATCAGGGGTTTCTGCTTTTGCTTCTTCTTCCTTCTCTCTTGCCTCCACCATGCAAGAAGTGCCTTTTGCCCTCCACCATGATTGTGAGACCTTCCCCAGCCACGTGGAACTGTAAGTCCAATTAAACCTCTTTCTTTTGTAAATTGCCCAGTCTGGGGTATCTCTTTATCAGCAGTGTGAAAACGGACTAATACAATGTGTGTCTTAGGAAAGGGTTCCCAGAGGAAAGAACGTTTCTGCCCAGGCCTGAATAGGAACTGGAATGGGATGGGAGAGGCAGGTGCCTCGGGAGCAGGGACAGTGGGGACGGATGGCAGAATGTCAAGTGCAGCGTGCCTAAAGAACGCCAAGTGCAGTGTGCCTAAAGGGTCTACCCAGGAGGGCACAGCACCCTGAGACGCTAGAAAAGCAAGCAGTCCATGCCACAGGGGGCTGCAATTTTACTCTAAGAATAAAAGGGAGCAACCAGTGGTGAGGTGGTTTAAAGTGGAATTGGATTTTGGAGACCTCTCTCGAGGCTGGACTGGAGATGGGGAAGTCCTCTCACGAAGCAGGACCAGTTAAGAGGCTGCTGTGGAGCTCCAGGGAAGTGATGACGGCACTGCCCAGGAGCCCACTCACCTGACAGGATGGAGCCATCTCTCAGGCCCCTAAGATCACCCTCGCCAATTTCACCAGTAGCTGTTCCAAGGGGCAGGCTGGGAATGCACTACAGACCACAAAGACATGGATACGACAGCCTCATTTACCACCTCTAGGCCAGACTGCCTGAGTCTGAACCCAGCTCTGCCCCCTATGGCTTCTTAACCTCTGTTCCTCAATACCCTCCTTTATAAAATGGGGATGACAATGGTACCAAACACTGAGGGCTGTGGTGAACATTACATTAGTTAGTATATATAACATGTCTACAATAGATGAGAATAAAGTGAGTAGGAAAGCACTTATTTCTTTTTGTCATATCTATGTTTTGTAGCATGTGGGTTCATTTGTGGGGGCAGGGAGTGAATTTACTGTGAAAAGCAGAATATAAAGCAGCTCATTAATAATTTACATAGTGTGCAGCTGTGTTATTAGGTGCATAAGAGTTTAGAAATGGAAACTTTTTGGGAAATTGAAACTTTGATCTACCTGTTTCTTTTCAATTTTTAAAATGTAGTTACTAGAAAATATAAAATTGGACAAGTGGCTCAGGTTATGTTTCCACTGGACAGTGGTGATCTAGACGAAGGATGAGCAAGAAGCCCACATCAGTCCCTAAGTCCTGGGTGACAACAACTGGACTGCAGAAAGTGACAAGCAAAGAGAGGAGAGTATCAGAGGCCATACTTGTCCTACTCTTTTCTGCTAGAGTATAGATTAGAGATGAGAATAAGATGTTTATGAAAAGCAAAAAGGGGGTGAAGAACAGGGCAGAAGAGGATAAAAACACAGAGGCTGAGGAGGAGAGAGGAAGGCTGAGGAAGAAACGACACGTGTAACAGAAAAACTGCCCCTGCTCAGAACTCAATACACATAAGCTCTGAATTATGAAAAAGAGATGGTCTTAAAAACAGCCTTAACAGTCAAAAGACAGAAGTACTATTCCACCAAAGCAGACCTTTCTAATCTGTTATTTTTATCAAACTGATCCTATCCTATCACATGATACTTAACTGTTATAATCCCAGATGTTAAAAATTGAAGGAAAAAAGGAAAGAATTCATGGGTACAGGACTTGGTGAACCATCCAATAACTTAATCCTGAACATTTTTCCATGCTGTAATAACGGGACAACAAAAATGTCTTACATGGCCTCAAAAACCCAAATAAGAAATGGGCTTTTCCTCTAGGTCACGGATAATTTTTAGCAGAAATGCAGAGAAAGCAGGCCACAGAAGTAGACATAAAGTATAGGAAGTGCAGTATTATGAGAGCTCAGAGAGGAGTGGTTTGTTTGCAGCAACAAGGGTGGGAGTTGAGACCAAGCCAGGCAGTTTCACCAGAGAAACACTTCCCTTAGGTCAGAGGCTCTTGGGGAGCTAAGGGTTCCTCACAGCTCACCTTGCCCTGCTGCCTGACCCACTGGGAGACTGGGGCCTATAGGTGACCACACTTGCTGGCACCATACACAGCCAGGTAGAAACTGATCCTGACTGCCAGAAGGACTCCTGATTCCTTCCCCAGTCTCCTTAGAACTGTGGCCCTCATCAGCGAACAGTGAGGAACTACCAGTGTGATCATTTCAAAACTGGAATAAGGTCGGGCGCGGTGGCTCACGCCTGTAATCCCAGCACTTTGGGAGGCCGAGGTGGGCGGATCACGAGGTCAGGAAATCGAGACCATCCTGGCTAACACAGTGAAACCCTGTCTCTACTAAAAATACAAAAAATTAGCCGGGCGAGGTGGCAGGCGCCTGTAGTCCCAGCTACTCGGGAAGCTGAGGCAGAATGGCGTGAACCCCGGAGGCGGAGCCTGCAGTGAACTGAGATCGTGCCACTGCACTCCAGCCTGGGCGACGGCGAGACTCTGTCTCAAAAAAAAAAAAAAGAAAAAAAAAACTGGAGTAAAATAGCTGTGCCTGTGGCTCCTAAAACAGCAATACCATGCCTAGGTATGGACCTATCAGAAATGCAGACACATATGTACCAAAGCCAGACACTAGAGTGGTCACAGCGGCACTTTCTGTAACAGACAAATGCTGCAAACTGCCCAAATGTCCACTAACAATGCGTGACTATGTGGTATATTCACCCAATGGCCCCTATCACCAATGAGAGTGAACATGCTTCAACCATGGGCAGCATCATGAGTGATTCTCAGAAACTCAATGCTTAAGGAAAGAAGGCATACACTAGCCAGCCAGGCGCAATTGCTCACGCCTGTAATCTCAGCGCTTTGGGAGGGCAATGTGGGAGAATAGTTTGAGGCTAGGAGTTGCCAGAGACCAGCCTGGACAACACAGTGGGAGCCGTCTCTACAAAATAAAATAAAACAAATTAGCTGGGTCTGGTGGTGTGTGCCCGTAGTCTCAGCTACTGAGGAGGCTAAGGCAGGAGGATTGCTTGACTCCAGGAGTTCAAGGCTGATCCTGGGGGAGGCCGCGACTGGAGTACAACACAAGGGGAGCTCCCAGGGTCCCGGCCAGTTCTGTTTGTTGATCTAAGTGCTGAGTGCATGGGCATGTTCAGTCTGGAAAATTCATTGAGCAGGACACTTATGGTATGTCTACTTTCCTAGTATCTATGCTATACTTAAAAAAAAAAGAGGAAAAAAAAGTTTTGTCTGTCTGGTGTCCAGGTAAGACAAGCCTGGTAGTGTCCTTGAAGCCTCAAAGCTGATTTTTCTCCTGCTCCCTTACGCATTTCACTTGCTTCTCCTCTGCACGTGTGCTTAAGCTGGCTGTCTCCCGGGCGAGCCTGCGTGTCACCGTCATATTTATGGTTTCCTCCCACACCAGGCCTGTGATTCACCCCACTTTGGATGCCTTTGCTAACTTATGCCACCCACACTGATCCAGCCCTTGCTTTTCCTTCCTCAGCAGTTAGGCAGCTTGGAGCATCATTAACATGTGTATATTCCCAGTTGTTTTACTTCTGCCAGAGCTTCCCAGCAGACTAAAACCACGGAGCATGCCCTTCGGGAGTGATCTCAGTCCTCCATCGTGTCCACAGGCAGTGCGGATTAAATCGCTCCTCAGGAGCCAGGAGGGTGTGGAAGGTGAGCTTTATCCCTTCTCCCAGAAACTGCTGGCTCCAAGACACCCACCTCAGCCCTCCAGGACCTGGAATGGACTCCCACAGAGGACTCACCAACCTCTTTTCATTCATTGCCTCCCGAGGCCAACCTGCTAGATAAATTCCCCTCATTGCTGCAAATAGTCCCACAAGGCAAGCAGGGAAGAACTAGAGGAGCAAACCAAAGAACAAAGAGTGTGTTCTTATTCTGCCACGGATATATCCTTAACGTTCATCACCAATCTATTTTGATAACATGCAACAATTTACAATTTATGCCAAAATTATAAGAACTGTCCAAATAGTCGTAAATGTGAGCTCTCAAAATTTCTGCCTGTCAGCCCTCTCTCTTCCATGAGCCCCTTCATGCCTTCCTATCTCACCTGTTTCTTTTCTCGCCTAGACGAAGAAATGCTGATCATAACCCAGAATATCCAAGGGTCATTTCATCTTACAAAAACAGCAGCATCCATATAACAGGCACATGGGTAAAAGACTCAAGACATGCTGGTTATATGCTCTCGCAGTTCGTATGAATCTCTCCTTCTCCAAGTGACAGCTGGAATTCAGGTGCTTCTAGGCTCTGTTACTAGCAATGTTAGACACTCCTCGAAGCTGTCAAGCTCTCAGGATTACACAAGTGAAACCACAACCTGTCCTGACTGTATTCAAGTCTGTGCCCCTTCATGCAGCAGAAATGGATTCCTCTTCCACAGTTTCAGCAGCTGTATCCTTCCGTGGAAAAGGATTAGCAGCCATAAGCCCGGGGGAGGGCAGCTAAACACCAGAGGGCAGGAGATGAGTCTCCTTCCTCTCTGTGACACCCAGCACGGCCCTGCCACGAGGAGCAGGCAACCACTGGTGCCAGATGAAGCGCAGCACATAAAACCATTTTCCCCTTCAAATGAACGATGCCTAATTAAGCAAAAGCCGCATGCATGACTTAAGACATGAGGATATAAAATTCGTCTTCCGAGTCAGCTAGAGATTCTGCAGGATCCTCTACCCTCGTAAACGTATTTTTTTATGATTAGAAAAACCCGGGGCCTGGAAGGGACCTCGGCCATCGGCAGGGTAAGCTTCTCAGGAGAGACCATGAGCCCGAGCCCCACAGGGGGATCAGTGTCTGCCAAGGTCACCAAGCGGGTGTGAGGCAAGGGCAGGGCTCCTCGGGGATGCTCTCGGAAAACCCTGCGTTACTTACACACGCAAGGCGTACAATGAATGCACACCCGCGTCAAGCCACGGCTTACAATTCAGAAGAAATCAAAAGGTCGCCAAAACCTGTCTTCTCCGCAAGGCTGGCTGCAGAGAGGGTGCAGGGAAGGTCACCGGCAAATTTCTACCAGCGGCCCCACATCACGCCTCCCCGATGGATGCAGAGAGAGGTTTCAGGAGCTGCTAGTAACCTTGCAGGGGGTTCCCTAAGCCCATCCCAGGAAAACGAGTTAACTCGGCTCTGCTAACTCCGAAGCTTCCAGCAATGAATTAAATCCCGAGCTGCAGCGGAAAGCGGCGGGGAAAGGGCCACTGCGGCGGGACCCGACACCCGGCGGTCCGCCCCACCCTCTACCGCGTACACACCTGCGTGGGACCCCCCGCCCGGTCCACACGGCCCGGGACCACGACCCTCCGCCCGCGCCCCAGCCGGGCTCGCCTGAGGGTGTCGTGCCCTGGGCGCTGCCCGCGGGGTTCGAGGCGGAAACGCCGCGCCCAGCCGGCCCGGGAAGAGACAAGTCGCCGCCGCAGCCCCCAGCCCGCGGGCCCCCGCGACGCCGAGGAGGGGGCTGCGCCACGTACCTCGGCCGGCAGGTGCCGCCGCTGCCTCGGTCCGCGGCTGCAGGGGACGCCGCTCCGCGCAGCCCGCCGCCTTCGTCCGCATACTAATGAGGGGGCGCCGGCCGGCCGCCAGCCCGGTACCCCGCGCCCCCACCCGCCCCCAGCGCCGCTCTCGCGCCCATTCAGCTGGGGGCCGCCGCTCCCCCGCTCAGATGCGGAGGAGGGGCGCGTGGGCGGGGTCTGACGTCACGAGGACGCGGACGGCCAATCGGAGAGCACGATGCCTCCGCGGCGGCCCCCGCCCCCGGGCGCGCGGCCAGTCAGCCCTGCGGTGCGGTGGGCATTGCCAGAGCAGGGCGCCCCCTGCAGGGACGCACCCGGGGCGGGGGCCAGGCTGGGGCGAGCCCCCCTTGGTTCTGGAGAGGAAATGACATACAGTTTGTGAAAGCATAAATATTCGTGAAAATAAGAAAATTCAGGAAGGAAACAAAGCTTAAGGCAGTGATTGATAGGTTATTTCTTGGACACAGCTGAACGTATACTGTGCGCCTGCAACTTTCCGGTGGTTTCGGACCGGACTTCAGTGAAGCCAGTGAAGTCGGTCGACTTGCAGAACTTCCTTTCAGAGGGGCGTACACAGCACCGCGGCCGTGTGCCTGTGATCTCCTTCTGAGTTTGAAAAAGAAGATCCTAGACACCGAGCCAAATATGTTTGCATAAACCGGGAGACTTGTGGCTCTATTTTGTAACAGCTTGGCGCAGGGCAGCTGGTTTGGAGATGTCTCTGTTCTTCCCTTGGTGGGGGTGCCGGAAAAAATGTGCTGCCTGGGCGATCGAGGTTGGGGCAAAAGCGTTGCAAAGGAAAAGGTGGGAGGACTCTACTTTCACATTTCCCAAAAGAGTTTTACCATAAGACTATTTCTGGATTGTTCTAACGTGAGGATATTGGGAGCATTTTGAAAATACTGGAGGAAAAGCTGTCACTGGGCGATTTAAATCCGGTAAGTTGGCCAAGGCAGAGCAGCTGCTGGGGTCAGCGACAGCTGACCCTTGCAGCTGAGTATCTTGCCCTCTTAATCTTGGAGATCAGCCCAAGGCCCATGTGTTACAGGAAAGGGGTCCCGATCTAGACCCCAAGAGAGGGTTCTTCGATCTCACGCAAGAAACAATTCAGAGTAAGTCCACAGTGCAAAGTAAAAGCAAGTTTATTAAGAAAGTAAAGTGGTGGCTGGGCACAGTGGCTCACGCGTAATCCCAGCACTTTGGGAGGCTGAGACGGACAGATCACCTGATGTCAGGAGTTCAAGACCAGCTGGCCAACATGGCAAAACCCCGTCTCTACTAGAAATACAAATATTGGCCGGGCGTGGTGGCGCAAGCCTGTTGTCTCAGCTACTCACGGGGCTGAGGCAGGAGAATCGCTTGAACCCGGGAGGCAGAGGCTACAGTGAGCCGAGATCGCCACTGCACTCCAGCAGGGCATTCCTGAAAATAAGAGGAGGGACATATCCAACTAAGGTACAATGCTTGTAATGCTTGTATATATGGGCAGATGTCTTCTGCTACAAGGGTTTGTGATAAAGGATTAATTTTCCCTAATTACTATATTTTGCAATAATCAATATTATTATTTTTAAAGCAAAATTAGGAATGCCTTTGTTCTCCAGATATCGGGATATCTGGACTCTCTCAAGTCTGGGTCTGTTTAGTAAGCATTATTAATTTGTTCTCTTAACCATAAACACCTAGAGGCTAGGAATGCCTAGCTTTCAGGAAATGCAGCCTAGCAAGTCCCAGCCTCATTTTTCTAGCCCTCACTCAAAATGGAGGCGCTCTGGTTTGAACACTTCTGACACATGTGCTTGATGCAACACTCTTTACCTCTCTTTGTCTCCCCTGTCCTTCCCCTTCTCTTCCAGATTCCCCTTGTCGGCAAAGCCAGGCGCTGATAGCGTTATGGCTGCCATGAGAGTCAGCAGTATCCCAGCTTCCAAGGATGGGTGTAAGGTGGGGGTGAGGAAGAAAAGGAACTTGAAGCTGCCTCCTGTCCCAGAATCACAAGACATCTGTTAAGCCCTTACTACCTCATTCACTCCACTCACATTAGGTTGACCCACTTGGGCAGCAAGACAAGCAGGCCTGCAAACTTCCTTTTCTTCATCAGCCACAGAGACATCCTCAGCTATTATTCTGGATTAAGGCAGAGATCTCCAAACAGCAGACTAAGATCAGCCTCTAGATCTCAAAGCCTTACTGTTATCTCTCCAAGTCAGTGGCTGATCTCAGAGAAGCTTCTGAATAGTGACTAGCAAAGAGTCACTCAGGCTACTTACAAATCCAGGACAGCAGCGTTTTTTTTTTTTTCTTTTTTAGAGACAGATTCACTCTGTCATCCAAGCTGGAGTGCAGTGGCACGATCTTGGCTCACTGCAACCTCCACCTCCTGGGCTCAAGCAATCCTCCTACCTCAGCCTCCCAAGTAGCTGGAACTACAGGTACCCAACACCATGCCAGGCTAATTTCTAATTTTTTGTAGAGACAGCAGTCTCCCTCTGTTGCCCAGGCTGGCCTCAAACTCCTAGGCTCAAGTGTTCCTCCTGCCTGGGCCTCCCAAAGTGCTGGGATCACAGATGTGAGCCACTGCATGCAGCCAAAACCAGTTATTTTTTGGCTGGGCATGGTGGCTCGCACCTGTGATCCCAGCACTTTGGGAAGCCGAGGTGGGCAGATTACTTGAGGTCAGGAGTTTGAGACCAGCCTGGACAACATGGTGAAACCCTGTCTCTGCTAAAAGTACAAAAAATTAGCTGGGCATGGTGGCATGTGCCTGTAATCCCAGCTACTCAGGAGGCTGAGGCAGGAAAATTGCTTGAACCCAGGAGGCAGAGGTTGCAGTGAGCCGAGATCACGCTAGTGCACTCTAGCCTGGGTGACAGAGCGAAACTCTGTCTAAAAAAAAGAAGTTATTTTTTATCAATATATATTAACATGCAATGGATTTATTATTATTATTATTTTATTTATTTATTTTTTACTTGAGACAGAGTCTTGCTCTGCCACCCAGGCTGGAGTGCAATGGTACAATCATGGCTCACTGCAACCTCCACCTCCCAGGTTCAGGTGATTCTCCTGCCTTAGCCTCCAGAAGTAGCTGGGATTACAGGCACGTACCACCATGCCCAGCTAATATTTGTATTTTTAGTACAGATGGGGTTTCACCATGTTGGCCAGGCTGGTCAAGAACTCCGGACCTCAGGTGATCCACCCTCCTCAGCCTCCCAAAGTGCTGGGATTATAGGTGTGAACCACAATGCCCAGCCAGATTTATTATTTTAATGACTTAATAAATATTTTAAAATTTAAATATTTAAATTAAATTAAATATTTAAAAATTTCTCAGTTTTAATTTTTAATTTGGCAAATATCAAGAGAAAGACCATGTCAAAAAGATTCTTTGGGATCCTCAGTAATTTCTAGGTGTGTAAATTGATCCTGAGACCAGAGTTTGAGACTTACTGGTCTCAGCCACCCAGATAGCCCCATTGCCCCATCCTCCTTGCCACTAGGAATGGTTCATGGGTAGCCACAGGAACCACACTGATCCAATCAGAGGAAGTCTCAGGAATTTATTGGATGCTGGGGGAGAGATGCTTTCATGTTCTGCTAGACAAGAACTAGGCAGTAAGTAGCCTCAGAAGCTGTTGGTAAGACAGACATCTTGGACTACAAGAAGAGCTTATTTTAGGAAGAAAGTAATGCTGTGGGAAGCAGAAGACCACGGTTAGAAAGAAACCATTTCCTTTATGACATTTTTGAGTCACTAAATCAAACCAGTCCTGAAGTCCATCTTGCCTCCGTACATTTCACCTGTATGAGATAGTAAGTTCCTCTGTGGTTTCAACTAGCCAACCCCAGATGCCCCAACTGATTCGCTATGTACCTACTTATGCAACACAAGTTGCAATGATGAAATGAGGCTGGAAGGCAGAGAAGGGTCCAGGAGGAAAGTACCTAGCTCAGGCAAATGGGATCTTCAGCGGCATATGATCGTAAGCAGCAAGATTATAGCAGATTTTTACTTCTTATTTTTATTTTTGCTTTTCTGTATTTCCCATATTGGTCAACATGCATATGTATTGCTTTTACACTGAGGAAAAATTAGAACCTATATTATTACTTTTTTTGATAGTGCAATGACTGGCAGCGCAATATTAGAGAACAGGTTGGGGAATGGGATATGGCAATAGAACTCTTAGGCTAGAACTGCTAGCAGGGAAGAAAGAAGATTTGCAAGGGATGCAGATGGGCCCCAAAACCAAACTTACTTTCATTTACAGCTTTGCCAAGAGCCAACCTCAGAGATTCCAGGGGATGAACAAGAATCCCCAAAGGTTAAGAAATCATTAATTATGCCTCAGTCTAATTGGCTGGAATATTTGCAGGGAGAAAAATGTGGCCAACGTGAAGATCATATGTCAATACTGGAAAAGACTTAGGATATAATATTAAGTGAAAAAAATTAAAAAGGCAACACATCGTATGCAAACATCTATCATGTGGCCAAAAACTGGAAGAGAACTTGGAAAAAGAAAATAGTTGTGTTAGGGTGGTGGGATCACAAGTAATCTTTCTTCCTTTTTAACAAATCTGTTTTAATGTTGTTATAATGTTGTTTTTTGCAATAAGTAAAAATGTAGGGAGTCATTGGTTCAAATTACTGAGGTCTCAAAGAGGTCTCTCCAAACGGCCTGTTTCTTTTTGCCTGCCAAATGGCCCTCATCCCATGCCATGACAGAAGCTGTGCCTTCCCTGAGGGCCCAGTGTCTTTGAAACTGTTAGGGGTGATGCTGATGTGACTGATTTGTAGGTGGCCAGAAGGAAAGGCGGGAAGAAAGATGTTGGTGGCAGCCAAGACCGAGGAAGTCTGTGAGGCAGGAGGGGTGAGGGGTCCCTTGCCCTGTGACATAACCTTGTCGTGTTGGAGTTTCAGGCCCAGGTTACTTACTGAAGCATTGTCTTTTTATGTTGGACTTCTGTCTGGTCCCCCTGAGACGTTGTCTCTTCCGCAGGCCCTCGGGGGCTGGAGCACAGCTGTAGCCAACAGAACACAGGCTCTGTCTGCTGCCCTGAAGCACAAAGGAAGTTGGTCTCTTGAGGTTTTTCTAGGAATGTTTTCCTGTGAGCAATCACAGGAGAAGCGGGAGTAAAACAAACAAAGGAGGGAAAAAGATGACACAAAAACATCATGGGAAGGCTGGCGGTTGGCAGAGGAGGCTCAGATTGAGGAAACAATCCCTCATGGAATGAATTCTTCTGTTAGTGGAGTGATGCATATTGACAGATCCAGGCACATCTTCAGGCTGCCCTTCTGTCTGTCCCTCACCCATATATTCATTCTACAAATATTTGCTGAGAGCCTATTATGTGTGAGGCATCATGCTAAGTGCATAACATAAATTACTTCATTTTATCTTCACAGTGTCCCTTTAAGGTAGGGTCTCTTATCCCCATATCTTACCCAAGGAACCCGAGGCTTAGAGAAACTTAAGGAGATAAAACAACCTGCCCAGGGTCACAAAGTCAGGATTCAAACCCAGGATGTCAGAGTCCAGAGCCTGTTACCAGTAGAGGGTCCTGACAAATCAGTAGTCGTCCAGGTTCTTGGCGTTTTGAACAAAGAATTGGACAAAATGCACAAACAAAGCAACAAAAGAATGAAGGAAAGAAAGCGCAGATTTATTGAAATGAAAGTATACTCCACAGAGTAGGAATGGCCCGAGTGAATGGTTCAAGAGGGCTGGTTACAGAATTTTCTGGGGTTTAAATACCCTCTAGAGGTTTCCCACTGGTTACTTGGTTATACCCTATGTAAACAAAGGAGTGAACCGTGACCAGTCTGATTGGTTGCGGGAGGGGACCAGTCAGAGGTACTTTCCATTTTTCATCTGTGATGCAGTGCAAAGGGAGTGGCCTCTGATCCTTTTGTTACTTGGGTATGGAGAGGTGGGGTTTTCCATCTGATTCAATTTTAGGAAGTCAGTGCAAATCAGCCTTAGGTTCCCTGCCTCCAGACCTTATTCTCTTGCCTCAAGCCTACCTAAGTGATAGGGTTTGGCTGTGTCCCCACCCAAACCTCATCTTGAATTGTAGCTCCCATAATTCCTACATGTTGTGGGAGGGACCCAGTGGGAGATAATTAAATCATGGGGGCAGTTTCCTCCAGACTGTTCTTGTGGTAGTGAAGAAGTCTCATGTGATCTGATGGTTTTATAAGGGGAAACCCCTTTCGCTCAGTTCTCATTCTCTCTTGTCTGCCGCCATGTAAGATGTGCCTTTCACCTTCCACTGTGATTGTGAGGCCTCCCCGCCACATGGAACTGTGAGTCCATTAAACCTCTTTTTCTTTATAAATTACCCAGTCATGGGTATGTCTTTATCAGCAGCATGAAAACAGACTAATACACTAAGACATAGTCCTCACCCTGAAGGATCAAATGGTCTAACAGAAGAGAAAGACACTTCTAACAAACAAACAAACAAAAACCAGTAAAACAACAAGATAAGAGAAAAACTAACAAGGAGCCAAAGGCAGGGTGCAGTGGCTCACTCTTGCAATCTCAGCCCTTTGGGAGGCCAAGGTGGGAGGATCGCTTGACCCTGAGTTTGAGACTAGCCTGGGTAATATAGTGAGACCTCATCTCTACAAAAAAATTTAAAAAATTAGCTGGATGTGGTAGCTTGCACATGTGGTCCCTGCTACTTGGGAGGCTGAGGCAGGAGGGTTGCTTGAGGAGTTTGAGGCTGCAGTGAGCCATGATCAAACCACTGCACTCTAGCCTGGGTGACAGAGTGAGACCCTGTCCTCCCACCCCCAAAAAAAGAGCCCTAGGAGCATCAAGGGGGCACAGCAGAATCCGTCTTGGAGCTCAAGGCCACCTCTTAAAGGGGTGAGACTGGTTTTGAAGGATAAGGTAGGTATACTGATAGGCATATTAGTTTCAGGCTATACTTATTTTATTTCTGTGTAATACATTACCACAAATTAGATTAAAACGACACATCTTTATTATCTCACAGTTTAAGTCAGGTACAGTATAGCTGGATTCTCCACCCAGGGGCTCACATGACTGAAATTGTTACCAAAATAGGGCTTTGGTCTAAGTCCCACTACTCCCAGCACAGAAAGCCAATCACTGAGACAATAAGTATTGTCAGTGAAGAAGGCTTTAGTCTGTTGCTACAGCCAAGGAGATAGGAGAACAGTTTCAAATCTATTTCCCTGACCTACTAAAATTAGGGGTTTAGGCCAGGTGCAGTGGCTCATGCCTGTAATCCCCGCACTTTGAGAGGCCGAGGCAGGCAGATCACCTGAGGTCAGAAGTTCAAGACCAGCCTGGCCAATGTGGCAAAACCCTGTCTCTACTAAAAATACAAAAATTAGCTGGGCATGATGGCATGTGCCTTTAGTCTCAGCTACTTAGGAGGCTGAGGCAGGAGAATCGCTTGAACCCAGGAGGTGGAGGTTTCAGTGAGCCGAGATTGTGCCATTGCGCTCCAGCCTGAGTGACAAGAGCGAAATTCCATTTCAAAATAAATAAATAGATAAAAATAAATAAATAAATAAAATTAGGGGTTTAAATACCAAGGAAGAAATGTAACCACGGCTGTGAAAATAGGAATTAGGAAGGAGTAAGGAAGAGGAGTTGGTCAACAGTAAGCAAGTGGTCTTCTGGCAGATGAGGAGTCTGGCATCTCATTGTCCAGATTCAGTGATATGTAAGTTTCTGTTCCTTGATACTACCTGGAAGGCCCGATGGTTTCCAGAGAAAGGAACCCAGATAACAAAAATGTAATTTCTCAAGTTTCAAGACTTGAGGGGTCAATTTCCATGTTTATTCAAAAGAAACAATAAATATCAGTTCTATGGGACAATTGGGCCAGTTTTCAAAATCAAGATGGTGGGGCTGGGTACAGTGGCTCACGCCTGTAATCCCAGCACTTTTGGAGGTGGAGGCGGGCCAATAGCTTGAGCCCAGGAGTTCGAGACCAGCCTGGACAACATGGTGAGACCCCGTCTCTACAAAAAATACAAAAATTAACCAGGCATGGTGACACATGCCTGGTCCAGCTACTTGGAAGGCTGAGGTGGGTGGATCACCTGAGACCTGGAGGTCAAGGCTACAGTGATCCATGCTCATGCCACTGCACTCCAGCCTAGGTGACAGAGCAAGACCCCTTTCTCAAAGGAAAAAAAGAAATCAATCAAGGTGGTGGTCAGGGCTGCATTTCCTATCTGGGCTCAGTGTCCTCATCCAAGATCATTGCTTTGTGGCAGAATTTATTTCCTTACAGTTATAATAGGATTGAGGTCCTCATTTTCTTGCTAGCTGTTGGCCAGAGACCCTCCCCCCTCAGCTCCTAGGGTGGCCCCATAGGAAGTTCCTTGCCATGTGGTCCCATGGGAAGTTCGTGGTGTGGACACTTGCTTTCTTCCAGGGCAGCCAGAGCACAGCTCTATCAATTTCTCTTCTGCTGCCATTCAGACAAAACTCTCTGCTTTTAAAAGGCCCATGTGATTAGGGCAGGCCTGCCTAGATCATCTCCTTATTTTAAGGTCAACAGATTTGGGACCTTAATTACATCCGCAAAAGCTCTCCGCAGCAACACTTAGATTCATGTTTGAATGACTGAAAGTGTGCATATCCCGAGAGCCAGGAATATTGGGAGCTATCTTAGAATTCTGCCCACCATAATATGATTTAGCAAATGGAGAAGATGAGGAAGGGTTGTCTAGGAAGAAGAAATAGGATATGCAAAGGATTCTGGGGAACTACTGGAAAATGATGCTAGAAAAGTGAGTGCCATGTCTCTAGCAACATGGCAAAGCAGATTCTGGAGAAATCTGCCAACTCAAAACCCCTAAGATACTGGGGAAACTATTAAAACATGTTTTGTAGCAAGGCTGGGCTGGCAGGAATGGGAGGAAACTCCTCTGAGGTCGAACAATGAGAAAGTGTTAATCCCGAGAGGTGAGCAGGAGCCAGCACTTGCCCTGAAGCCACCTGCTAATACTGGCCAAGCAGCAGGCTGGAGATAGGAGACAAAATCTAGACTGGAGCAGAGGGTGAAATCAGATTGGAAATCCTTATGCACACCAGAGCCCTCAAAGGGTGGAAATTTCAGCAAGGGTGGTTGGACTTTTCTCCCCAAAGGAAACAAAGGAATGCTTGCCATAGATAGTCAATTTGCCTTAAGATACCTCATTTTAGCTCAGAGTGGAACCAAAACAAAGACAAAAGTTTCCCCTAAGAATTCCTAACCAAAAGCCCACATTCATGCATTTGGGACAGGAATTCATACCACCTTTGTGAGTGAAAACCTTCAAGCCAAACATTATTTTAAAGTGGTCCCAGGTTGGTAATTCCCTTAGACACTTGTAAAAAGCAAATCACCTGTAGCAGCATGCTCTCTAGACCCAAGACTAAGACAGTTCCTCCAGAATTCCAAGGAATTTGAATTTGCAGTTTAAGACATCACTTAACTGCAAAAATAATAAAATGGCAAAAATTGGCAAAATAATAAAATGAAGATTCAGATAATGAATTAGAAGACTCAAAACATAAAATAAGGTTGTTCAGTATGTTTCTAGAAATAAAAGAAGGTATTGAAAGTATGAGTAGGAAGTAAGAGACTACCAACAATAATTCAGTAGGCCAGTTAAACAATAAAAGAGAGAGATAAAGATACAATTAGTGAATTGAAAGATGGACACAAAGAAATTACCCAAAATGCAACACTGACAGAAAAAAGGTTACAGGAAATGCAAATGAGACTAAGGGATGTGGAGGATAGAATAAACCAAAAGTCTAGCACATGCCTACTCAGATTTCCAGAAATAAAAAATAGAGAAAATGGTTCAGAGGCAATAACTAAAGAAATAATGATGGAATTTTTTCCAGAATCAAAAATACACAACCTTTAGATGTAAGAACTCCCCAAAATCAATAAGCAGGAAAATTAACAGAAATATTAGAAACATCACAGTGAAACTGCTGATCACTAGAGACAAAAAGGAGATCTTAAAAGAAGCCACAGAGAAAAGACAAATTATCTACAGGGAAATAGAAATTATGCTGAAAATTGCCAGAAGACAGGGAGTGTCTGCAAAGTTCTAGGAGAAGATAACTGTCAACCCTGAATTGTAGAAACAAGGAAATCTTTCAAGATCAAGGGCAAACTAAAGGGGTGTGAGGCAATAGTAAGTGGGGACAATAGGTAGTAGGGACTATGGCAGCTGGAGAGCTCCATCTAAAGGGGACAGCCCCTGCTCAACTTCTGCCAATTGCTGGCTTATAGGAGTCAAACACTCTGTGTCGCTAGATCTTTAGATTTTTCAAGAAAGGTCAGAAATCTGGATTTTTAAAAGTTGAATTATCTCAATTTTTAAATGTTAACAACAAATTTTAAAATGTATTTAATTGCAGGGCAGACAAATACTGTGTGGGTGAAACGAAACTTCTATGTGGAGGGCCTAAAGGTCTGATAAAAGTGGTAATGTGGAAATGGTAACATGGTAGAGTATGCAAGATCAACTGGAGAGGGGACCAGGCCTCTGCTGCTTCTTCAAACACTAGCTTTTCTGGCCAGTTTTTGTTTTAGTGTTTTCTTAAACTCAGGGATGCACTTACATTCTCAATTGGGCCTGTCAGGTGCTTAGAGGCAGGAGCTTCATTTTCTCTGAACATTCCATGGAAAAGGGCATAGTGCCTGGGTTTTAGTGGGTAGGGCAAACAACCTGGTAGAACTTAGTTATTTCTTCTTCCTCCCCCAGTCTCATTCTCAGACAATTGGAGATGTTGTTTTGTCCCTTCACCCCTTCAGGAGATCTACGCCCTAGGGATTTGGGTTTCCCTTGACTGAGGTATGGTGGGATGGAGCAGTACTAGAGGGGTGGGGCTTCCTGGAGAGGCCAGGACCTGTGTCCAGTTCCCCTGAAGTGCATGATAGAGATGTCCATGAATACCCAGGTACTGACCACTAAACGCCACAGCTGTGCAGGAAGTTGGAAGTCTTATGGTCCAGACTGTGGCTGGGCTATGCATGGTGGTGGCATCTCTGTGGGCCCCAGGGCAGCTTATGTCAAGTGCCAGACTAATGGTAAGTAGGAACAAGAGTACCAACCACAGACCAAGGAGCAGGCCCCTGACCTATTTTTCTGACTCTGTATAAGAAACAGAGGCTAAAATAAGCCATCTGGTCAACCAGGTAGAACCAGATTTAGAACAAGAGCACTGTTACTGCCAATCCCACGGGATTGCTTCTAAGCAATCATAATGCCAATCACATTGCAAAATGTTTGTGGATTGCAGAAGCTCCACCAAGAATGGAGACTGAAGCAAATGGGAGAAGGGAGATAGTGGAAATGGGAGAACTAATCAAGCCTTCAGTCATCAGGGACACATCATCTCTGCTTATCCCAGAGAACATCATCCTTTGTGGCCATTTTTCTAGGGTCAACAAGAAAAAAATCATACCTTTTCATTTTCATATACACTTAGAACAGTAAATGTATTCACAGAAATATAAGAGGCATACTAGAAAGTTACAAAACCATAAATGTATAGCTCAATAAATTTTCTCTAAGTGAACATACCATGTAGCCACCTAGGCCAAGAAACAGAACATTGCCTGTCTTCCTGAGCCTGCCTCATGGCTCTTTACGGTCACCACCCTCTCAGTGTTTTCCTGCTGTGGCAGCCACTCCTCTGACTTCCGTTACATAGGTTAGGTTAGCCTGATTTTGAACTTTGTATAAAAGAAATCCTATAGTGTGGACTCTCTGTGTCTGCTTCCTTTCACTCAAAATGGCACCTGTAAGGTTCATCCATGTTGCTGCAGGTAGCTTAAATGTGTTTATTTTCATTGCTGCAGAGCATGAATAGATCACAGTATTTTTTCAATCCCCTTGGTGGATATTTGAATTGTTTCAAGTTGGAGGCTATAGCAGATAATGCTGCTATGAATGTTCTTGCTCAAATCTTTTGGTAGCCTTGTGGGGTTTGTTTGTTTGTTTGTTTTGTCTGTTTGTTTGTTTTCGAGACGGAGTTTCACTCTTGTTGCCCAGGCTGGAGTGCAATGATGCTATCTCGGCTCACTGCAACCTTCGCCTCCTGGGTTCAAGCAATTCTCCTGCCTCAGCCTCCCGAGTAACTGGGATTACAGGCATGTGCCACCATGCCTGGCTAATTTTGTATTTTTAGTAGAGACAGGGTTTCTCCATGTTGGTCAGGCTGGTCTTGAACTCCTGACCTCAGGTGATCCACCTGCCTTGGCCTCCCAGCCTTGTGCTTTTTTTAATCTTTAAGAAAAAAAAAATCTAAAAAGAGCAGTGGAACAACTAGGAGTTCTGTGATCATCTCACCATATTACTCACGATCATAACATTGTACTGAACTAAGATGGTCTGAAAGTACATTATCATGGTTCCTGGTATTTTCCTTGTACTCGGTACAGCTGCATGTAGACACTTAGAAACCCAGAATGTCAGAGCTGGAAGAAGTCTTATATATCATCCTACCCAGAATTTCCCAAATTTCATCTTTACATACATCCTCTTTGTGATTTTTGTCATATCCTCATACCACCCATACTATTATATTTTTCTTTAAATTGTCTTTTTTCATTTAAATATCTGCTTTAGCTTTATCCTAAGCAATAACAGCTGTGTACTCATAGGTTTGATATGCAAGGTATATTCTTTTTATTACCCATTAAAATTAACATACAACTATTACAATAAATGTGTCAGCCTACCACCTGTGTGAGATAGTTTCCACTGACTCCTCCTTCTGATCCACTTCCCATCCTGCTCTGTCTCAGAAGCTGCCCTCCACAGGCTAACCTCAACTGGTTCTCTTGTCTTCTGGCTTCGGGGTGTATTCAGCCAAGAGGCACTGGAGGATAGTTAGAGGTTGGGATATTTATCACCCTGACCTCCACCCTACCCTGCCCCAGTTGGCAGTAGCTGCATTCTCTAACAAAGGCCATGGGTCTCATCAGGCAGCCCCTCTCTCATGGCTGTAGAAAGAGTTTCAACCTTTTGCTCCTTCAGGTCCAAGAGTGACAATGCTTCCAGCTGTTGCAAGTCCCCCGAGTTTCCCCACCTCTTCTTGGCTCCCTTAACTATGCCCACCCCTTTATAAATAGTCCCTTCATTAAGCCCTCCTCACCTACCCCCTTTCATGAGGCCATCTGTCTCCTGCTAGGGGGATGCAGTATCAAACCCCACCAGTGGTAGGCACACATTTTTCACACCCATATAGGTGCCAGCTGAGACCCAGGAGGGAATTCCTTATCCAACATCCCCCAGCCTGTGAGTGCCAGAGCTAGGAACAGTATCCCTGGTTGGATGTGTTTCTCCCCATACATACTGCTTCTCAAGGGAGAAATTGGTCAGTTCTGTTAACAATGCCCAAGTGTTCATATTGTAATGTCCTCTTATGAATCTCTCACTCTTACACTTTCTTCCCCATCCTAATCCATGTTCTGCTGGGCCCCAGATGTAAATGGGATTGTGGCCAGCTCACCTCTTTCCTCCCCTTCCCCAGGACTCCCGGATGTCATGCATCAGCCCTATGAGAGTCTTGCCTCTTCTTCAACACACCTGTGTTTCACCGCTGTCCTTTGATCAGGAGTCCTGTCTGGCAAAGGTGCAAAGCCCCCTACATCTCTTCCTCTCAAAACCTGCTGCCCAACTTTCCCTCTCTTTCCAGAAATAATAATTCCCTCCCTGTCCTCCCACAACTCTACTTAGCACTGGCTTGAATGGTGACAAGTAGTGTATGTGTTTCCCTGACTACACTGTGACTGCTTCTATGATCACACTGAATTCCTCTTTGTATCATCAGCATCCCCCACCAAGTCTGACTCAAATAGGCCCTTCATAGGGCTACGTTGAGCAAGCTGCATTCATTAGGCCATTAAGAACATTAAAGCACAAAAGACGTTCTAATGGGTGACAGATGAATGCTCATCCTGGTAATTTTTTTTTTTTTTGAGACAATGTTTTGCTCTGTCCCCCAGGCTGCAGGGCAGTGGCGTGATCTCAGCTCACTGCAACCTCCACCTTCCGGGTTCAAGCGATTCTCATGCCTCGGCCTCCCGAGTAGCTGGGACCACAGGTGTGTGCCACCATGCCCAGCTAATTTTGTGTGTGTATGCGTTTTTTTTTTTTTTTTGAGATAAGAGTCTCGCTCTGTCGCCCAGGCCAGAGTGCAGTGGTGTGATCTCAGCTCACTGCAATCTCTGCCTCCCTGGTTCAAGTGATTCTCCTACCTCAACCTCCTGAGTAGCTGAGATTACAGGCAGCTGCCACTACACCTGGCTAATTTTTGTATTTTTAGTGGAGACGGGGTTTCACCACGTTGGCCAGGCTGGTCTCGAACTCCAGACCTCAGGTGATCTGCCCACCTTGGCCTCCCAAAGTGCTGGGATTACAGGCGTGAGCTGCCGCATCCAACCTCCTCCCAGTAATTTTTTTAACAGTGATTTATTTTAACATTGTATACTAGAGACGTGATCTGAGTTGGGGGTAGGACAGGGGGTGGCCTTGCTCAGTCTCTTGTTCTTCCCAGAGAGGTCTGAGGGAAAGGGGTGAGGCGTGGTCACCCAGACTCATTCTGGGTCCTGGGTTTTCCAGCTGAGGTTCTTAGATGGGCAGCCTTGGATCTGTGCATCTCTGGTCATGGTGTACAAACTGCTAAGTGCGTGTGCACTGTGCGTGGGGGGTGAGCCAGGAAAGCTCTGAATTCCCAAAGGAGTCCAGCTTCAGAGAACACTTTAGCCTTCCTCCTAGAGATAAAAGAAGTCTTGTTGGTGTCCCCTCCTGAGGTTGGGGCCAGAGTTCCCACAACTTATAAATTGTTCCATCCCCTGGCGTTTTCCTCTGTGCGTGGATCTCCCCTACCCCACGGACCTTGAACAAGGGTGGCTTTGGCCTCAAGTGGCAGCCCATCTGGGCTCTAGGTGTTTGAATGCAGAGTTATGGCTGTTTCTTTATCTCTTTCATAGTTCCTGTAAACATCTGTCCAGGGCCTGAGCTCAGAAGGCAGAATCCGTCGTGGAGCGTGTCCAACTCCTACCCCAAGAGCAGCCTCCATGTTTACCCACGGACTGGGCTCACACACAGGCAGGCAGCTCCGAGCTCTGAGCACCTCAGCATCCTTGGACTCTGAGCTAGCGTGGTCACATGTCGGGGGGACAGAGTTCCCCAGCCCTTACCCTGCAGTCTTGCTTCTGATAGGGAAACCTTGAGCTCGTAGTGACTGTGGGGCTGGCTCTCCAGGACAAGCCCCTCCAGTGGAGCCAGGAACCAGGATGGAAGGTTGGGTTTGGGGGTGGACTGATGGCCTGGAGTTCACTGCCACCTATTTTCTTTTCCTCTTTTTCCATCTCACCCAGAGCTGTGGGAAGAGGCCTTGACAACAGGTGAGATTTGGGGCACCTGACTGTGACTTCAACCCAGCAGGTGGGGTTGGCCCAAAGCAGTTCCCCAGCTTGTCCTCTCAGGTCCTCTGGACACCCTTCCCCACCACACATAACCCTGGACCTTCACAGCTCCCACACCACCATCCACACCTAGGAAAGGACATCGGACTGGAGGTCAGGGGCCTAGGATTCAAGTCCCAGCTCTGCCGACAGCTACCAGTGTATTCTTGGGCAAGTCACTGAACCTCTGTGGGTCCTGATTCCCTTACCTGTAAGAGAGTGATAATCATAAGGCCCTCTGCATTGCTCTAAGGATCAAGATAATGCTTGTGAAAGTCTTCACTGTACTCTAAAGTGTGATTAATATATATTCTTTATCCTGGAATCTCCTATCTCCTTTGAGTCCTGTTAAATAAACCATGATGTGAATGGTTAGTAATGAAGTGTTTGCCCCCTTTCTAGACAGTTATTTGTACTTGTAACCATAACTTTCAATGCCTTTATTCAGCGATAAGAGTACGGAATTAATTCCAAGTTCAGACCGGGTGTAGCAGCTCACATCTGTAATCCCAGCACTTTGTGAGGTCAAGATGGGAAGATCGCTCAAGTTTAGGAGTTTGAGACCAGCCTGAGCAACATAGGAAGACACTGTCTCTACAAGCAAACAAACAAACAGACAAAAAAACAATAAATTACCTGGGCATGGTGGCACATGCCTGTAGTCCCAGTTGCTCAGGAGGCTGAGGCATAAGGATCACTTGAGCCCAGAAGGTTGAGGCTGCAGTGAGCTGTGATCACACCATTACACTCCGACCTGGGTGACAGAGCGAGCCCCTGTCTCAAAAAGAAAAAAGAAAAAGCAAAAAAGAAAAAATTTCAAGTTTACAGGCAGGCTGGGGAGGAGGAGCAACTTCCTATTCAGTGGTGCTGCTTCCTTCGCTGGGCAATTTGCTGGCATTGCCCTCTGTCATCCTAAGGCGATGGACCTTGTTGCTATGTAAGGGAAGTCCTTACCCAGAAGGCTGAGAGGAACAGAATTTCCAAGGACAAAACACTTGCCAAGAAGCCCAGCTTCACAAATTTCCTCTATTTGTCAACCCCTTGGTACATAGTTGCTGCTTTGATGAGGCTGATTTCAGCTGAAATACCACAGCAGTGGGAAAAGGATATAATTCTTTCCTTGCATTCCAGTGTGAGGCTGATGTAGGCAAAGAAACCTGCCAAAGCATTTAGAGACGCATGAAGTCCCCTGTTGTGTTTAAGGTCTTTTTCTCCACTTGGACAGGTTGGCAGCCACTTTCCTTCTCTCTTGCTCAATCCTTCCTCCTGCATTCCATCGGAGTTCTTGTTTCCCATCCAAAGAGCTCAATTCCTTTCTGAGCAATTCCTGTTTTCTAGTCTTCCATCTCTTCCTATTGTACAGACACCAGTTCATCAGAAAGAGTTTCCCAGTTAATTTTGATGTAGCCCAGCGTCACCTCTTACAGTGTCTGGCTCAGAAATTAATTCTTCCTTAAGTCTAACTCAATCCCCCATGTTCCTCCCCTGTTTCTAAACTCTCAGCAGGCTCCCCATTATCTCCTGAACTAAATTCTGTCTCCTAAGCCCAGCCTTAGAGGTCTTCCTCCTTCTGGTCTCCAGGGCTAGATGCACTGTCTCCCCTGGCTGATGCAGCCTCATGCCGGGGTGTGTGGCCTTGGAAAGGGGAATTTGACTTGTACCTACTCACCCCCAGGGTCCTTTATCAGGCACCTGTTGGTCCCAGCCAGCCTCTTCAACCTCATTTCCTATTTTTCCTTCTACCCTTGCCTGGTGGCTGGCCCAGTGCCCTACTCACCATGTCTCTGAATGGCATCACACAATCCTGTCTCTGCACCCTCCCTCCCTCCCTCCCTCCCTCCCTCCCTCCCTCCTTCCCTCCCTTCCTCCCTCCCTTCCTTCCTTCCTTCTTTCCTTCTTCCCTTCCCTTCCCTTCCCTTCCTTCCCTTCCTTCTTTCCTTCTTTCTTTTTCTTTCTTTCCCTTCCTTCCTTCCTTCCTTCCATCCTCCCTCCCTCTTTCCTTTCCTTTCCCTTCTTTCTTTCTTTCTTTCCTTCCTTTCTTCCTTCCTCCTTCCTTCCTTCCTTCCCTTTCTTTTTGAGAGGGAGTCTCGCTCTGTCATCCAGGCTGGAGTGCAGTGGCATGATCTCGGCTCACTCGAACCTCCGCCTCCCAGGCTCAAGGGATTCTCCTGCCTCCACCTCCCGAGTAGCTGGGATTACAGGCGCACACCACTACACCCAGGTAATTTTTGTATTTTTAGTAGAGATGGGGTTTCACCGTGTTGGCCGAGCTGGTCTTGAACTCCTGACCTCAGATGATCCGCCCGCCTCGGCCTCCCAAAGTGCTGGGATTACAGGCGTAAGCCACCGTGCCCAGCCTCTGCACATTTCTTATATGATTCCTTCCACCCCAAATTCTGTAAGTCCTCTTAAAATTCCCTAAGGCCCACCATGGGTGACACTTCCTTATTAATTAAGCATGTGTGGATGGTACCAGGTCAGACTGTAGGGGGTCTGGACTTGCTGCTTCCCACAGAACCCAAGCAGCAGTGTCTTTAGGTTTTTCCTCTTGTGCTGTTCAGACTCCCCAGAGAGGAGTCCTCCAGGGACCTGCCTGGAAGGTGGGGTGAGGCTGCCAGCACGCTGTGGCCCCTGTGCAGTGAGAAAGGCTGGGAGTCCCTGAGTTTAGCAGTCAGTGACATCTGTCCTCCATCTCTGTTTTCCATTCCACACCCCACACTTCACCAATCTTGGGCTCCAGTCCGGAGACCTGCCTCTATCACCCTTTCCAGAGAGTAAAGCTCCAGACGCCCACTGAGGGGAGAGAAGGGAAGGTGACCAGTGGAATGGAGTTGAGGAGGGCATTAAGGAGCCTTAGAAAGACCTAGAAAGACCCCCATAGATTGCTCACCAAGTGTAAATATGGCTTACTAAGTAATTGACATGCGCTAACTGGAACTACTTCACACACAGCTCTCCTCCTAGTCCCTTCCATGTTAACAAGCCGTGAACCGCCTGCCACGTCCCCACGTTCCTGGGACTTCCAAGTCTGTCTTTTCTTTTCGTTTTTTTTCTTTTTTTGTTGGGGTGGGGGACAGAGTTTTGCTCTTGTTACCTTGGCTGGTTGCAATGATCTCGGCTCACTTCAACCTCTGTCTTCCCGGCTCAAGCAATTCTTCTGCCTCAGCCTCCCAAGTAGCTGGGATTATAGGCACCCACTACCACACCTGGCTATTTTTTTTGTATTTTTAGTACAGGTGGGGTTTCACCATGTTGGCCAGGCTGGTCTCGAACTCCTGACCTCAGGTGATCCACCCGTCTCAGCCTCCCAAAGTGCTGGGATTACAGGTTTGAGCCACGGCACCCAGCCCCAAGTCTGTGGTTTGAGGAGGCTGTGGTGTCAAACAGTGGTTCTGGCCTTCCGCAATTCAAGCTCGAGACTTGGCTTTCAGTCAAATATTCCTCATTTGTTTGCTTTCCTGTTTCCAAAATGTTATTGTTGTTATCTCCCCATAAAATCCTTTAACATAAAACATCACTGTAAGCCATGGTAGTGGACTCACGGAGGTTTACATAGAGAGTTGTCCACCTGCACGTCCCACGACAGCCAAATCCCCAGGCCTCCCCCATGCAAGGCCACACCCAGAGCCATGTGCAGATGGGAAGACAGGCCCCCGTAGGTTCAGGGCATACTTGGTCTTATGTGGGCTTGTTCTCAAAGCAGTGAATCAGCAGTGTAAAGATGGGGGCGGAAGGGCAGATGCAGCTCACCCTTGTGTCTCATGTGGGCACGCCCAAAGTTCAGCAGTCTTGGCAGTTTGGATGGAGGAGAAGAGCTGCAGGCCCTCCACCGTTTCTACCCCCAGGCATCAGCATCCTGAACCCACTGACACGCTCATACACGACATTAATCTGCCCTTCTAGAAACCATGCCTGTTCTTCTAGAAACCAGAACCATGTGTGGGTTCTGATGCCTGAACTTGTGTCTGAGCCAGCCCAAGTTCTTGCCAATCTCTTCTTTTCTGCACCTGGGTGACAAGGTTTCACAGTTTTCCATTTATGTACCTTTCTGGGCTTCCCATGCACAGGTCTTGTCATAACCTGCCACACATCAAGGTTCTGGAAAGTGGAAAATGTGCAGGGGTTTCACCCTCAAACTCAAAACTGCCTCTAGGTAAGCAAGGCTGGGCCCCTTGGAGGTCTCCCACCCTTCAGAAGGCTTAGGGCCTAGACAGGGTCACCACTAGCCTTTGAGCAAATTAGAAAAAAGCGCTTATTGGAATTTGCATAATCAATATACAAAGCTCTAATGACTATAAGGAGAATGTATCCTCTTTGATGTGGTGTCCTTGTGCAGTGCACCACCTGGGCAACTGTACACAGTGGCCTTGAGTCCAAAGTCACAGCAGGCCAAGTGGCCTCTTTTGGTCTTTCTTCTTAGCTCACAGTCAATATTACCTTTATCTTTCCATCCTGTTGCTTAGGAGAGGCCTGGTGGAAAAAGAGTCATAACAGGCAGTGAGAAGCAAGAATGTTGTTTCAGTTATAATAAAACTGAAATCTATAGCTAGACACCCAATATATGTCTATTTTATTATTTTTAAACTAATAGACTTCGGTTTTGGGATCAGTGTTAGGTTTGTAGAAAAATTGAGCAGAAAATACACAGAGCTCCCACATACTCCCTCACCACCACCAAGTTGCCCGTTATTAACATAGTATAGTACATTAGTTACAACTGATGAGCCAATCTTGATATAATGATATTGTTAATTGAAGTCCATGGTTTACATTAGCATTCACTGTTAGCATTGCACATTCCATAGGTTCTGACACATGTATGATGACATGGATCCACCACTGTAGTATCATACAGAGTAGTTTCACTGCCCTAACAATCCCCTGCCCCACCCTCCCTTGCCTGGAACTCCTCACTACATTATTTTTTTAATCCTACATTCCCTGCTCCTTAATCAACACTGACGATTCAGACCCCAACTCCATTCCCTTCCTCTGTGGGATAGAGTAGGAGAGGGAGGGGTGGAGAGGGGCTGGGAGCTCCCCTTGGACGCCAACCCTCCTCAGCCTTTTGTTCTTTTCTCTGCTCACCCAATTTTCCTCTAGGAAGGAGATCAGCTGCACAAATCAAGAAATGCTAAAACTACTGCTTTCTTCCCCTTCCTCCTCCTCGGGCAGCCACATCAGATCAGAAGTGAGAGTTGTAGGCACTCACTTAAGAAAAGCATCCAAGGCCAGGCGGTGGCTCGCACTTGTAATCCTAGCACCTTGGCAGGCCCAGGCACAAGGATCGCCAGAGCCCAGGAGTTTGAGACCAGCCTGGGTAACACAGTGAGACCCCATCTCTATAAAAAATAAACAAAATTAGCTGGGCACGATGGTGCACGCCTGTAGCCCCAGCTATTCTGGAGGCTGAGGTGGGAGGATTGCTTAAGCCTGGGAGGTAGAGGCTGCAGTGGGTCAAGATCATGCCACTGTACTCCAGCCTGGGTGAGAGAGTGAGACTATCTCAAATAATAAAAATACAATAACGGCCGGGCTCGGTGGCTCACGTCTGTAATCCCAGCACTTTGGGAGGCCAAGGCGGGTGGATCATGAGGTCAGGAGTTTGAGACCAAACTGGCCAACATGGTGAAACCCTGTCTCTACTAAAAATACAAAAATTAGCTGTGCATGTCTCTAATCCCAGCTACTCGGGAGGCTGAGGCAGGAGAATTGCTTGAACCTGGGAGGTGGAGGTTGCAGTGAGCCGAGATTGTGCCACTGTACTCCAGCCTGGGCAATAAGAGCGAGATTCCATCTCAAAATAAATAAATAAATAAATAAAAATAAAATAAAACAAAAAGAAAAGCATCCAATGAAGACATAAGTCTTTTAATCTTGTGACATATTAAAACATTTATAAATACACATTTTACTATTTTATCTGAATATTGGTAGAAAGCATCTGCTGCATTGTATTGGCAAAGGACACTGGTTGAAAATAGGGTTTGGAGGCCAGACGTGGTTGCTCACGCCTGTAATCCCAGCATTTTGGGAGGCTGAGGCAGATAGATCACGAGGTCAGGAGATCGAGACCATCCTGGCTAACACGGTGAAGCCCAGTCTCTACTAAAAATACAAAAAATTAGCCGGGTGTGGTGGCATGCGCCTGTAGTCCCAGCTACTCAGGAGGCTGAGGCAGGAGAATCTCTTGAACCCAGGAGGTGGAGGTTGCAGTGAGCGGAGATCAATCCACTGCACTCCAGCCTGGGCGACCGAGAGAGACTCTGTCTCAAAAAAAAAAAAAAAAAAAAAAAAAATAGGGTTTGGGAATCCTGTTTTGCCTTGTGTAATCCTGAGAAAGAGTTTCCAGTAACAGTCAAACCATGTTCCTGCCAAAAAACAACTCTCAGTTGTCCTGTTTGTGATGCAAAGACAAAACCATGTGGGCAAAATGATAATCAAATATTTAGGAACTTAAAGGGCGTTGGTGACTGTTAGTAGGATGCACTGAGTTATGCTGCAGTAACAACCCCCAAAGGTCAGTGTCTGAAAACATTGATTTCTTGGTCACATTACATGCTCCTCCTGCATTTGCAGGGGTAATGGAGGTGAACAGCTGAAGTGTTCTGCCAACTACTATTAATCAGAAGGATGTTGGCCATGAAGCTAGCCTTCGATTAGATTGTGAAGAGGTCTGGAGAGGGACGTGGGCAGGGCTGGCTTTATGGGCATTAATATATATATTTTTAAATGTAGTCTCACTATGTTGCCCAGGCTGAAGTGCGGTGGCTCTGTGTGATCATAGTGCACTACAGCCTCGAACTCTTGGGCTCAAGCAATCCTCCTGCCTCAGTGTTTGGAATAGCTGAGACTATAGGCATATGCCACCATGCCCAGCCTAATCATTTTTGAACAAGAGCTCTGCATTTTCATTTTGCACTGCACTCTGCAAATGACTATATATAGCCATCGTGGTCCCAGGGGAGGGGCCAGGAAAGCCAGAATGATAGGCGGGCACTCTGGGAGAGGGGAGCAGCAATGATTTACCAACGATCTGAAAGTGTTTCAAATCATTTAACAATTGGTCTGATAACCAGTACGTATGAGCTGAATATCAGCTCTCTACATGGGTGGGTTGACATGATAGTCCCTGGAAGAGGCCCACATTCATTAAGACAATCATTTGGGGTAAATGTGATTTTTTGTTTCTTTTTTTTGAGACAGAGTCCCGCTCTGTCGCCCAGGCTGGAGTGCAGTGGCACCATCTCGGCTCACTGCAAGCTTCACCTCCTGGGTTCACACCATTCTCCTGCCTCAGCCTCCCAAGTAGCTGGGACCACAGGCGCCGACCACCACGCCCAGCTAATTTTTTGTATTTTTAGTAGAAATGGGTTTTCACCGTGTTAGCCAGGATGGTCTCGATCTCCTGACCTCGTGATCCACCCACCTCGGCCTCCCAAAGTGCTGGGATTACAGGCGTGAGCCACCGTGCCCGGCCTTTTTTTTGAGACAGGGTCTTGCTCTGTTGCCCAGAGTGGACTGCAGTGGGCTGAAGTGATCCTCACACCTCAGCCTCCCAAGTAACTGGGCATACATCACCATGCTCTTTTTTTTTCTGTAGCTATCTGCTTAGGAACAAAAGGAAAGGCAGTTTCTTGAATGAGTCAGCTTTCAGCTTAATTTTTTCCTTTAGGCATAGTGAATTGGAGTCCCAGGTTTTTATTCTTTTCATGAGAGCAAACTTTTGTTTGCAAACAGCATTATCATTTTCATTACTCTGCGGTTGTTCTCTTTAAAAAAAGAGAAAAAAGAAAAAAATCCCTTAGCCCAGGATTAGCAAGTATCCAACATGCATACTCCTGCTTTCCCCTTCTTATCCTCTTCTTAGCAAGGGCTGTCATGACTGGTTAACCATATTACTCCCTCCAGCTGGTCCTGGATGTAGCCACAGAAGCCTCTACACAACACTCCAATCAGTCGCTAAGAACATAGCAGGCTGGGACCAAGGAAAACCCCCGCCTTCTCAGTGCCAGCCTTTAGTCAGATCCTGAAGTGTTTCTGCCTTGTGACAGCCGTGCTACAGATATTGTTGTGTCATAGTTTGTCTGGTCTTTGTTTTTGGATTCATGGGACAGAGTTTCTAAACCCTTGGAATTTTCTGAGTGGTAGAAGAATATTTGTTATCCGTGGTGAGCCCCTGGGATTACTCCTGAGTTTATGCTAACAAGGTGACTAATGGCGGGCCCATGGAGGCTGGCCAGGCTGGAAAGACCAACTACATATGTGATTAGAGGGTTGGAATTTGAGCCTAGAGGGGTAGGAAGCTGGAGATCAAGTTTGATCATGTGGCCGAGTCACTCAATCATGCCTATGTAATGAAACCCCAATAAAAACTCTAGATACTGGCTGGGCACGGTGGTTCATGCCTGTAATCCCAGCACTTTGGGAGGCTGAGGCGGGCGGATCACCTGAGGTCAGGAGTTTGAGACCAGCCTGGCCAACATGGTGAAACCCTGTCTCTACTAAAAATACAAAAATTAGCCGGGCATGGTGGTGCATGCCTGTAATCCCAGCTACTTGGGAGGCTGAGACAGGAGAATCGCTTGAACCCAGGAGGCAGAGGTTGCAGTGAGCTGAGATCACACCACTGCATTCCAGCTTTGGCGACAGAGCAATACTTTGTCTCAAAAAAGAAAAACAAAAAACAAACAAACAAAACTCTAGATACTAAGGCTCAGGCAAACCTCCTGGCTGGTGAATACATCGATATGCTGGGAGGGTGATGTGCCCTGGTTTCATGTGGGGAGGACACAGAAGCTCCATGTTTGGGACCTTCCTAGACCTCGCCCTATAAGTCTTTTCATTTGACTGGTTCTGATTTTTACACTTTATAATACAACTGAAATCATAAGTATAGTGCTTTCCTGAGTTCTGCGAGTCATTCTAGCAAATTATCAAACATGAGGGGATAGTAGGAACCCCTGAATTTATAGCCAGTTGATTAAAACTGCAAGTGGCCTGGGGACCCCATACTGTGACTGACATCTGAAGTGAGGGCAGTTTTGTTGAGGACTGTGTCCTTTTTTTTTTTTTTTTTTTTGAGATGGAGTCTTGCTCTGCCGCCCAGGCTGGAGTGCAGTGGCACGATCTCAGCTCACTGCAAGCTCCGCCTCCCAGGTTCACACCATTCTCCTGCCTCAGCCTCCTAATTAGCTGGGACTACAGGCACCCGCCACCACACCTGGCTAATTTTTTGTATTTTTAGTAGAGACGGGGTTTCACCATGTTAGCCAGGATGGTCTTGATCTCCTGACCTCGTGATCCACCTGCCTCGGCCTCCCAAAGTGCTGGGATTACGGGCGTGAGCCACTGTGCCCAGCCGAGGACTGTGTCCTTAACTTGTGGAGTCTGGTCCACTATGGATAGCTAGTGTCAGAATTGCATTGCAATATTGTAGATATCAAAGGCAAGGAGAAAGCCACACTTCCCTGTGGCTGCCATGGTAGCAAGAATGCTGGAGATGAAGATGTCTCCAGGGACAAAGAAAACCTTTGGGGACCTCACTTGCCCCTTTAACCCAGACATTATCCCACCACTGCCAATCTCAGGGGAGCTAGGCTTTAGTAATAAAGTGTACTAAGTTTCCCCATGCCTCAGTAGGTATAAATGAGGTCATAGTTATGACCTTATTTCTCAAGTTCTTCCCTACATCAGCCCTACAAAGTTCCTGTGCCCCATGAGAATTTCTGGGAGTGACTCATATGTACTCATGAACAAGTGTAGCCAGCTCTTTCTGAGGCCTACTGGATGGACACTGCTGCTTCTACTGGATAATACTGCATTGGTTATATTCTGTGTGCCCCTTGTTTTAGTCAATTTTGTGCTGTTATAACATAATACCACAGACTGGATAATTTATAATGAACAGAAATTTATTTCTCACAATTCAGGAAGCTGGAAAGTCCAAGATCAGGGAGTCAGCATCTGGTGAAGGCCTTCTTGCTGTGTCATCCCATGGTGGAACATGGAAGGGTAAGAGAGCACACGCAAGAGACAGCAAGAGCCAAAGGGGGCCACACTCATTTTTCCATTAGGAGCTCACTCCCAACTCCACGATAATGAACCCACTCCCACAATCATAGCATTAATCCATTCATGTGGGTGAAGCCCTCATGACCTATTCACCTCTCAAAGGTCCCACCTCTTAACACTGTTTCACTGGGGATTAAGTTTCCAACATATGAACTTTGGAGAACATATTTAAGCCATAGTATCCCTCCAGACCCTCCTCTCCACCCTCCTCTGCCATGCTTGGTGTCCTGAAATGCTGACCTTTATGAATTGCATCATCCAGTCTACTTTGCCCTAGCTTCTGGTCAGGTTCAGCCAACGAAAGGCACTGGAGGCAGGGGCTAGAGGAGAATGAGATCAGAGTATTTATATCCTGCTCTCTCCCTGCAATGAATTGGTATTCCCATAACAAATTGGTATTCCCATAACAAAGGCTGCAACTCTTATCAAGTGGCCGATATTCTAAACACACCTGCCCTTGCCCCCCTCAGATCCAGGAGAGGTAAAGGCTTCCTGCTGTTGCTAGCTCTGTCATGCTTCACCACCCCTTAACCTTGCCCACATCCCTGCAAGCGGTCCTTCACTACATGCTCCTGAGACACCCAGTTTGAGATGCTGTTTACTTCCTGATGGAACCTTGACCACACAGACATCATTGCTATTTCCATCCTAGCACACGTCCTCAGGCCACTGCACCTCCCCCAGGCATCATCAATAATTCTTCATGTCCTCTTGAAGCACATGTGACATGGCATTCCTGCTGCACAGCCACCTGTGGCAACAAGGAAGGGAGCAGCTCTCCCTGCTCAGCATCACTCTGTTAGAGGATTCTAAGGGGATGAACTGCTTGTGCTCCAATGTCTTCTAGGGTTTTTAGTGAAATGGCTCCTTCTGTTTTACCTTCATGAGGCTGGAGGAGGAGTCCTGAGTGGGGAGGTGCTGAGTTGGAAGGAGCCAAGAGCCATGCTCTAGCAGAGAGGGCACTGCCTTGGGTACAGGTGCTGGGCCTGGGAGCTGACTCTGCCACTAAAAGGCCATGAGACCATGGACAAGTCACTCTCATTTTCAGGCCTCCATTTCCTCACCTGTATCACGGGGGCCGGACTCAGCGATTCTCAAGCTGCTCTGGGCCCCCAGCCTTACTTCTGCCATAGCAGCTCCTGTTTGGTCTATTTTAGAATGTGAGCTTTTGTGAAAATTTCCTTTAAGGAATGGGTTCCACTGCTTTAAAAACACTTGGAAACAACTGGACTAGAAGATCTAAGGTCCCTTCCAGCCCCTACATTTTTGAGCATAAAACCAATCTTGTTTTTTTCACCATTGTGCCAAGGAAGCACTGGTTCCAAGAATTAATGGAAAATAGATGATTAAAGGCCCATCTCCTGCCAGGCTCGCTGCCATGGCAAATCTACCATGACTGGGTAAAAGGTTTTGCTTCACATCCATCCTCAGCACCTTCTCACTTCCTTCTCACTTGCTTCTGCCACTATTCCTAAGCAAGCTAAAGAAAGGGAAATTTTAAATCCATTGCATAAAATGCAAACCAGCCTAGTAAACAAAAATGTGGAAAAGATGGCAAGGGATAAATCATGTGCCTTTTCAGCCTTTATAAACAGACCTTGGGAGCTTTACAAAGGCTTGACTTATGGCAATGGAAGCTGGCAGCCCTCCGTAGTTCATTCCAGATGTTTGGTGCTAGAGAGAATTACAGGGCAGTGGTTAATAGTTTGGGCTCTGCGGTCAGAAAGATATGAGTTCAATTCCTTGTGCTTCCATTCACTAACTGGGTGATCTTGGTTAGATGTGCTGGACTGTAAAATCATCATCATCACCATATCTATTTTATTGAGTTATCATGAGGACTGGGAGTGAGTTAATACATGTACAATGTTTAGCACAGTGCCTAGCACATAGAAAATACCCAATAAATTAGCTCTTTGATGTTATTGTTGTTAGAATTACTACTCCCATTGGCTTCCAGGAAGCTCAGAGATCAGAGCTCAGTTGAATATTCAACTAAAAAAATCCTCCGGCTGGGCATGGTGGTTCATGCCTGTAATCCCAGCATTTTGGGAGGCCAAGGCAGGCAGATCACCTGAGGTTGGGAGATTGAGACCATCCTAGCTAACACGGTGAAACCCTGTCTCTACTAAAAATACAAAAAATTAGCTGGGTGTGGTGGCACATGCCTACAATCCCAGCTACTTGGGAGGCTGAGGCAGGAGAATTGGTTAAACCCAGGAGGCGGAGGTTGCGGTAAGCTGAGATCGCGCCACTGCACTCCAGCCTGGGCAACAAGAGTGAAACTCCATCTCAAATAAATCAATAATAAAAAAAAAAAACTTCTAGGTACCATTTGCTTCCTTTCCATGTCCATTTATGGCATCTTTTAAGATAGTTGTTATTTATCGAGTGCTTATTTTTGCCAGGACTTACAGGCACTACCCTACACCTAGCACAGTGCTTAGGGTATTGGAAATAACTCAATAAATTGTGGCAGAATAAATGAATGATCTTATCCAATGCTCCCAGCAACTCTAAGAAGTAGATATCATTATCTCAATTATAGTAGACTTTTTTTGTTATTATTGTTGACATCTGAGACTACTTCCTGATTGTGGGGAATCTGCCCTTGTGTGAGGGTCTCATCTTGGATGCTGAGAAAGTGAAAAACTCCCCTGGACCTCTGGTAGCAGGAACACAGATATACAAACCAAGTACAGCTAATCAGATCCTCACCTGGGACTTTTTTTAAATTTTAGTTTTTATTTATTTATTTATTTTGAGACGGAATCTCGCTCTGTCACCCAGGCTGGAGTGCAGTGGTGCGATCTCGGCTCACTGCAAGCTCTGCCTCCTGGGTTCACGCCATTCTCCCGCCTCAGCCTCCTGAGTAACTGGGACTACAGGTGGCCGCCACCACCCCCGGCTAATTTTTTGTATTTTTAGTAAGACAGGGTTTCACCGTGTTAGCCAGGTTGGTCTCAATCTCCTGACCTCATTATCTGCCCACCTCAGCCTCCCAAAGTGCTGGTATTACAGGCTTGAGCCACCACGCCCGGCCACCTGGGACTTTGAAATCTAGACTGGGCTGGGCATGGTGGCTCACATGTTTAATTTCAGTACTTTGGGAGGCCGAGGTGGGTGGATCATTTGAGGTCAGGAGTTCGAGACCAGCCTGGCCAATGTGGTGAAACCCTGTCTTTACTAAAAATACAAAAAAATTAGCTGGGTGTGGTGACGCGTGCCTGTAATATCAGCTACTCAGGAGGCTGAGACAGGAGAATCGCTTGAACCCAGGAGGCGGAGGTTGCAGTGAGCCAAGATCACACCATTACACTCCAGCCTGGGCAACAAAAGTGAAACTCCATCTTCAGATGGATAAATAAATAAATAAATAAATAAATAAATCTAGACTGAACAAAGTAATTGGAATTCCTTCTGCGGTTGATGGCAAAGCATTGGTGGCACTGGGGCCAGTAGAGTAGTGTCCCAGGCCAAGTAGTGACCACAATACCAGCAAAGGGCCCAGTGTTCATCTACCTACAATCCATTTTGGAAGGAGGTAAGGTCTTGTAAATAACATCATATGGCATTAATTTGGCAAGAGTTTCTACATCTTGCCAGCCCATTACTTTACCAACATTCCTTTTCCTTCTGTAGTTTGTGAGTTCCCTTGAAACTTAATCAACCTCAAACTCTCTCAAGTGACTCCCCTCTCAGGATGTTTGGCTTCCATCCCCTCAGCAGCCCTTGTTGCCTCTAAGAAGATAAAGCAAAACTTGTGCTGCATCTCTTCCTCCCATTCTTTTCCTACCCATTTTATGCACAAACCATGCCAATGCCAGGCAGTTGGCTGTCTTCTGTTGAAAACAAAAACCTTAGAGTGAGTCTTGTTGCCACATATGTGTGTGCTTGGGTTGAGGGCTGATTCATAAATCTTCCTTAAGAAAAAAAGGCCTCTGGGCAAGCTGGCAAAGGCTGGCTTTCATTTATTTGTTTTTTGTCACCTCCTTGATATCTCCTGCCTTGCTCCAGAAATGTGTTAGACCTCATGGGGAACACTGACAAACGCACATACAAAATAAGGAAAAGAATGATGAATTTCAAATTAGGATACCCGGGTTGGAATGCTGGCTTGGTCACTATCTGCAAAAACTTGGGTAGGTTACCTAACCTTTCCTAAGCTTCAGTTTCCTTATCTGTAAAATGGGCTCAGCTATACTCATATTCCATGGACTGTGGGGAAGTTTCAGTAGGAACGCATCTAAAAGCATCCATCAAAGTGGCTGGTTCAAAGAACCCTCCCATAAATGTGTGTTGCTGTCAATTGAAATTCCCCCAGATGGTAAGGTCCTACACCTCCAGCTACTGGGGATAGGGACATGTGAGAGTTGGGGTACATGGCAACATGGGAAAACCTATTTGCAATTGTGTTATGTTGGTTTAGATCAGTCAAATATCTTTTTCTATTTCTTGGCAAGAATGCTTGTCAAATAGAGCACGCAGGGACCCTGAGCAACCAGGACTGTTGGCATGACAAGCGGGCGAGCAGAGGATGGGGGAGCCAGAAGAGAAGGTGCTGAAAGGAAGAGCTGAAAACAAGCTTGACCCATCACTCAAAGTTGTCTAATAGTCCTTGAATCCAGATGCCTCATGGCCCTAGGAGGGCCAAACACACTCGGGGGTTGGAAAGGAAGCATCACAGTGCTGGTGTCAGGATACCTGAGTTCCAGCCTTGTCTTTGACATTTATGAGGTGTATAAACTGGGAGGGTCACTTCAGCTCTCTGAGCCTTAGTTTTGTGTACTGTAAAGTGGGAGAAATAATACATCCCTCACAAAGGCATAAATAGGCCAGGTGCGGTGGCTCACGCCTGTAATCCCAGCACTTTGGGAGGCCAAAGCGGGTGGATAACCTGAGGTCAGGAGCTCGAGACCAGCCTGGCCAACATGGTGAAACCCCATCTCTACTAAAAATACAAAACCCCCATCTCTACTAAAAATACAAAAATTATCCAAGTGTGGTGACAGGCACCTGTAATCCCAGCTACTTGGGAGGCTGACTACTCAGGAGAATTGCTTGAACCTGGGAGGCGGAGGTTGCAGTGAGCCGAGATCATGCCACTGTACTCCAGCCTGGGTGACAGAGTAAGACTCCATCTCAAAACAAACAAACAAACAAAAACAAGACAAAGGCATAAACAATAAACAAGAGATTGATTTTTTTGGTAACAGCTTTATTGCAATATAATTCAAGTACCATAAAATTCACCACCCCCGCTTTTTTTCGAAACAGGGTCTCACTCTGCTGTCACCCAGGCTGGAGTGCAGTGGCATGATCACTGCTCACTTCAGCCTCGACCTCCTAGGTTCAAGCGATCCGCCCACCTTTGTCTCCCAAGTAGCTAGGACTATAGGTGCACACCACCACACCCAGCTAATTATAAAATTTTGTTGTGGAGACGGGCTCTCATCACGTTGCCCACGCTGATCACGAACCCCTGAGCTCAAACAATCTTCCTGCCTCGGCCTTCCAAAGTGCTGGGATTATAGACATGAGCCACCACACTGGGCCAAAATTCACCCTTTTAAAGTATGCAGTTCTGTTTTTTAGTGTATTCACAGAGTTGTGCAACCATCACCACTATTTCATAGTAGAACATTTTTATAACTCCTAATGGAACCAATACTGTTATCAATCACTCTCTATCCTCCCTCCTGAGAGATCGACTTTAAACTATTTGGTGCTGTACCCATTTTGCTTTGTATAGATAACAGTTGATCATTGCTACACAATAGTCAGTAGTCTGCTCATAAGTAATATCACAATTATTCTTCAGACTTAGTAAGAGCTGGCTTGAGAACTGTGTCAGGAGTAAGTTCGGCAGGGGAATGGTAGAGATGAAGAGGCTTAAAGAACAGTTTGTTTCTCTCTCATAGAATAATCCAGGTAGCTCCAGGTAGCTCACAGCTCCATCTTCCCTAGGGCACGAGCAACTTTCTCAGGATACAAAATGTCAGCTAGAGCTCCAGCTGTTATATCCTTGTTCCAGACAGCAGGATGAAGACAGAGATGAAGATTGCATGCCATTGGCTTTTAAGGAAAGGTCTCAGAAGTTGCCACAAACACTTCTACTAACTTTTTTTTTTTTTGAGATGGGGTCTTACCCTGTCACCTAGGCTGGAGTGCAGTGGCACGATCTTGGCTCACTGTAACCTTCGCCTCCTGGGGTCAAGCAATTCTCCTGCCTCAACCTCCCGAGTGTCTGGGATTATAGGCGCCCGCCACTACACCTGGCTAACTTTTTTTGTATTTTTAGTACAGATGGGGTTTCACCACGTTGGCCAGGCTGGTTTCAAACTCCTGACCTCAAATGATCCGCCTGCCTAAGCTTCCCAAAGTGTTAGGATTACAGGCGTGAGCCACCATGCCCAACCACTTCTACTAACATCTAATTGACCAGAACTCACTAGTATGATCATATCTAGCTGTAAGAAAGGCTGGGAAATTTAGCCTTATTCCAAAGAGCCAGTTAAAAATTGGGGTTTGCATTATTATGAAAGAAAAGACCAGGTATTTGGTAGATGTATCAGTCAGCAAATGCTATAATAATTCTGCATAACAAACCATGAGCATACAACAATGAGCTTTTGTTTTCCTTGCCCTCAGGGCTGTGGGTTGGCTGGGAGGCTCTGCATCAGGCTACAGGGCTGCCGGGCTTGGTGGAGGTATACTGCACTCACACTAATGGAGGGCACTGCAAAATCACATAACAAAGGGTATGAGTGTAAAATTCTAACACCAGAAGCGTCTGCAGAATGATAAACAATGATTCATTTATACAGAGGACAACCAAGATTGCCAGGAAATTCAATGTCTGCAGTCTTGGTCCCCGGAGACCTCCCAGGAACCTGCTGCTGCTGCTGTCCTACAATTCAGCTCCCAGTGTAGCTTCCAGTTCTGATGATCCCACTTCCCCGGTTACAGATTAAGCTAGTCCAGCCTCTCACATGAGCTTTTTAGGCCACAGTCCCTAGTTTCAGCCTAACCAGACACCTGCAGCCTTTTCTCTAAGGTTTTGCCAAGACAAACAGAGTAGTTCAGGATGCCTCTAAGGGAGAAGGAAAGTGGGAAAAATCATTTGGGAAAAATTCAGAGTGCAGAAGCAGCCTGCCTGAAAAGTTGCTGGAACAGACAAAAATAAAACAACCTGGGGAAAATAAAACAAAACAAAACTCAGGCTGGACCTGGACAGATAAACAAACAGGATCCCGCACAGGAGTTCTTTATTCTTTGTCTAATTAGCAAGCTCCCAGGAAAAAATTTTCTCCCTTTTTCAGTCAGATACATGGTGAGAACTTGCACACGGAGGAGGGGGGATTACCTAAAACAAACTCACAGTATACAAACAAGAGAAGCTGTGCTTTGTGCTTACCTAAAAACATACCCACAGCTGCATGAGATAAGGGGCGTCGCACAGACAGCCTTACTGATAAGAGAAGTTACTCAAACTGCTACAGAGATGAGAGGGGTTTCTCAGCTGTAACCTGGCAATCCACTCTGACTCCTCTCTCTGCTGCAGAGAGCTTTATTTCTTTCACTTATTAAACTTTCCCTCCAACACCATGTTTGTGTCTGCGTTCCTAATTTTCTTGGACATAGGACAAAGGACCTGGGGTACCAGTTAAGACAAAGAGAAACTGCTACATTAAGGTGGGTTGGTGAGACTGCAACACCTCTATGTAGGGCCAGAAGCCATTTTCCTCTGCCCCACTTCCCCGGGGGCCAGCCAGAGTCAGACCCATTTTTCCCGTTCAAATTCCCCAAACACAAAAGCTTCATCATGCCATTTTCTATTACAATTGGGCTTGAAGGTACATCTACAAGAGAGTGAAAGCCCAGGCAACTTGTCCCTTGAGTTACAAAGAATTCCGTTTATCTTTCCTGGGGTAAGACTAAGTCTACAGCAGTAAAAATTCAGCACTCAGATTGGTTTTCAAAGGCTGACCTTTCCATTATTTACATTCTTAATGAATCATCCTGCTTAATTGTAATCAGTGGAGCTTAAGGCAAATTTCCAAAAGGTTTGGTCAAACTTTTGGTGTAAATAATCTCAGTGTATCTATTTCAACTTTACTTAGTCCGCTTCCATTAGTAACATGAAGAAGCATTTTCTTGGGTACAACCCAAAGTTAGCACCAATTATGAAATCTATTGGTTAGTTCAGCAAATTAAACAGTTACTTTTGTTGTTGTTTTTTGAGACAGGGTTTTGTTCTGTAGCCCAGGCTAGAGAGCAGTGGTGCCATCTCAGCTCACTGCAACCTCTGCCTCCTGAGCTCAAGTGATCTTCCCACCTCAGCCTTCCTAGTAGCAGGGACCATAGGCACCTGCCACCATGCCCCGCTAATTTTTTTTTTTATTTATTTTTTGTAGAGATGGGGTTTCTCCATGTTGCCCAGGCTGGTCTCAAACTCCTGGCCTCAAGTGATTCACCCGCTTCAGCCTCCTAAAGTGTTGGGATTACAAGCATAAGCCACTGCACCCAGCCAAAATGGTTACTTTCAGTAACAGCTGTGGCCACCCCCTCCTCATGGAGGTTTTTTTGTTTGTTTGTTTGAGACGGAGTCTCACTCTGTCCCCAGGCTGGAGTGCAGTGGCACAATCCCAGCTCACTGAAACCTCTGCCTTCTGGGTTCAAGTGATTCTCCTGCCTCAGCCTCCCGAGTAGCTGGGACTACGGGTGCCTGCCACCACTCCCGGCTAATTTTTTGTATTTTTAGTAGAGATGGGATTTCACCATGTTGGCCAGGATGGTCTCGATCTCTTGACCTCGTGATCCGCCTGCCTTGGCCTCCCAAAGTGCTGGGATTACAGGCGAGAGCCACCACTCCCGGCTTTTTTTTTTTTTAAATACAGTTAAACATACATGTATCTTGTGACCCAGAAATTCCACCTCTAGGTATTTTTACCTTAGACAAATGAAACCTATGTCCATCCACCCTACACAAAAACTGGTACCTAAATGTTCACAGCAACTTTATTCTTAGTAGCCAGAAACTGGAAAAATCCAAATGTAACATCCAACAACAGATAAATGGATACACAAATTGTGGAATATGCATGCAATGGAAAAGTATTCCACAATAAAAGGAAGGGACTGCTAATATACACAACAATGTAGATGAATCTCACAGATATTATGCTGCATGAAGGAAGCCAGACATAGGAGACTGTATACTGTATGATCCCATTTATATGACATTCAACAAAAGGCAAAACCAATCTATGGTGATAGAAATCAGAACAATTGGGGTTGACTGGAAAAGGGCAAGAGGGAACTTTCTAAGTGATGAAATGCTTTCTATCTTAATTGGGGTAATGGCTACATGGTGAATGCATTTGCCAGTAATCATCAAACTCTGTAGGTTAGATCTGAGCATTTCACTGTGTATAAATTATACCTCATTTTTAAAACTTTTTTTTTTAAGTTGGGCTATTTCCTCAAATGTTCCAACAACAAACTGAGGAGATCCATGTCCCAAGTGTTAATGGGGCACTGGTGACTTTAGTGGTGGAGAGGTGGTTTGTCATATGTGGTCAGCAGCCAGCTGGCAACATTTTCATTTTGTGTTGTCAGTTAATCATTTGTGAAAGAATTTTCTGAAAATGGCCGGGTGTGGTGGCTCACACCTGTAATCCCAGCACTTTGGGAGGCCGAGGCAAGCTGATCACGAGGTCAAGAGATCGAAACCATCCAGGCCAACATGGTGAAACCCCGTCTCTACTAAAAATACAAAAATTAGCTGGGCGTGGTGGCGTGTGCCTGTAGTCCCAGCTACTCAGGAGGCTGAGGCAGGAGAATTGCTTGAACCTGGAAGGCGGAGGTTGCAGTGAGCCAAGATTGCGCCACCGCACTCCAGCCTGGGCGACACAGCAAGACTCTGTCTCAAAAAAAAAAGAAAAAAAAAAAAAAAGAAGGTTCCACAGGGTTGGAGGAGACCATGGGTCTCCTGTTAGCTGGGGAGGTGGAAAGAGCTCTGGACTGATAATCAGGAAGCCTGGGGGAGACTTTGCCCTTCCAATAACCTGATCAATAAATCAGTCTGGGGCTCTGCTAACACTCAACCACCAGAAAGAAACAGTGGTGTGACCCTGGGCAATGTATTTGTCACCTGTCCTCCATCCTGGGCCTCGGGGCCTCAGGGCTCCTGGAACAGGATGTTCTTGATGACTCTCCCTGACCCAAATCCTTTATAATCTCCAGGATGTCATCCCTGCCAAGAAGAGCAAAAATCTCTCTTGTGCTGAAGGCCTTGCTTTGTTTGATGTGGCCTGAGAGGCCATGAGTTTTCCCTCACATGCTCGATTGGGCAAGCTGTTTCTGGCACAGAGCTATACCAAAAACAAAAACAAAACAGAAACGGTGCAGAAGTTGCAAAGGAAACTGGGGAGCCCTTTCTCCCTTTTTTGCTAAATTTTCTGTCTTTAGAACATGCTTTCTGCCCGCCCAGCAGAGGGAAGACACTCTCCCGATCAGGCGAGGTGATCACTGGGGCTCTCTCTTCCTCCTCTATGTTTCTGTCCTGCTGGCTGCTGGTGGTCCCAGCCAGGTCTCCTGTTCACTCTGCCCACTTGGATGACCACATACAACGAACTTCCAGGAGTTGGCTAAGGGATGGTCCCCTCCATTCTTTTCTCTCTCTGTCACCATCTCCTCAGTCTCATCCAGAACACTTGCCTCAGTACCTTCATAATACACACCACACATACATGCACACACATAGGCACATGCACACAACCACAACCACATCTACACACCATATCCATGGCATACAGCACAAATACACACCAAACCACCCCTCACACCGCACATACACTTACAGACCACATACAAATACCCATCACATACATGCAGATGCTAACCATGCATAATGGCACACCAAACACAAGCTCTCTCTCTCTCTCTCTCACACACACAGACACACACAGACACACACAAAGCTATTGTTTGGTGCAGGAGCTACATCAGTACCAGCTTCTGTCCTTCCCTATCCTGGAGTGCTTCTCAAACCCCAGGTCCCAGAGAAATGTCACAGAGGCTTATTGTCTCCCTATCTCAACCATGAATAACTGGCTAATATGCATCAGTGATGCTGCTTTGGGCAACCAGCAGAAGAGATGTCCTTCCAAGCTCTCAGCCCACTCCACTCTGCACAATCCTGCCAGTGACCGTGGTTGCTGATCACTTCAGGGAAGTCATTGGTGGAATAAACAATGCACACAAGTAGGACACACAACAGTTGTGTTACTGGTTGTTAAAATATTGAAATACTTCTGTACCAGTTAATGAACACCTGCTGTCCCCAACCCCCTGAAGGTCCTATCCTCTGTTGCTTTGGCCTCTCTTCCAGGCCTTGCTAGGATTCACCAAATAAAGTGTTAACGTGTCTCATACAAGATGTACAATACAAGGTGGAGACAGGGCGGGGTGGACTAACGGTGAAAGAGGCGGTGTTGAGCAGTCATTCATTAATTCCTCCTCCAACAAGTATGTGTGGGGCTTCCATGTGCAGACACTGCTGACCACTCAGGATTCAGTTGCAGAAAGTCAGAAGGCAGTTAGAGTACAGAATGATTAATTCTGCAACGGGGAAGTGTACACCAGCTGCAGGAGCAGAGAGCGGGGGCACTAACTCAGACTTGGAGGGCTCCAAAAATGCTTCCCACAAGGCAAGTGGTCAAGCTGACATTTAAACAAGTCAAAGTTGTTCAAGTAAAGAAGGATGGGGATGCGATGATCATAATCCCAGCACTGTGGGAGGCAGAGGTGGCATATCACCTGAGGTCAGGAGTTCGAGACCAGCCTGGCCAACACAGAGAAACCCTGTCTCTACTAAAAATACAAAATTAGCCAGGCGTGGTGGTACATGCTTGTAATTCTAGCTACTTGAGAGGCTGAGGCAGCGATTCTTCACTTACACCTGGGAGGCGGAGGTTGCAGTGAGCCGAGATTTCGCCATTGCACTCCGGCCTGGGCAACAAGAGTGAAACTGCATCTCAAACTAAAAAAAAAAAAAAAAAAAAAAGAAGGATGGGGAGACAGGTGTCCTAGAGGAAGGAGCAGCATGTGCAAAGGCCCAGAAGCAAGACAGAACCATATTCATTCAAAAAGCAGAAAAGAATTGATCCATATCTGGATGCTTGGAGCGCAAGAAGGAAGGGGTAAAGGGAGATTGGCATGGGTAGGGGCAGGGAAGCACAGAGGCAGGCATGTTTCCTAAGGCAACAGAACAGGTAAGTCCAGAACAAAGGCTCCAAGATAAGACGGCCCGGGGTGACTCTTGGCTCACCACTCCCTAGCCACATGACCCTTGGGAAAGTCACTCAGCTTTTTCTACTTCAGGGGAATCATCGTAGTGCTTTCCTCCCAAGGAGGATGGAGACAAGGTAATGCATGTAATGCACCTGGGATTACCTGGCGTGTGATACCTGCCAATTCATATCAGTATTCTTGAGAACCTAAATCCCTCCAGCAAGTGAGGGATGGTCCCAGAGCAGGGGACAGTCCTGGGGGCTGCAGGTCAGTGCAATGAAACCTAGCCCACTGGCTCTTACCCTTAAAAGAAATACTCTGTGTCAAATGGAAAACTATGTTCCTCATTCTAATCACCAGGATAACCACAGTCCTCTTTGGAATAGCATTTTAAAAGTTGCAACATGGTTATGACACACTTGCTTGTCAATGTCTTAAAACTACCCTTCACAAGGAAGCAGAGTATCCTCGTTTCCACTGAAAATGAAACGGAGACTTCTGCCTGGGAAGTGTAGTCCCTGGAATAGGCCAGGTCCTCTGGCCCCTCGGTCCCACATGAGCTGGAAGGCTCAGCTCCTGCCCCATTCCCACTCCCACCCCTCCCCCACGGTGCCAAGCCCAGCAGGACGGCTTCCTGGGCAACTCCACCATGGGCACACCCCTGGCCCTCAGGGCTGTTGCCTGGAGAACTCATTGGCCTCCTGGGAGGTCCCCAGTTGCCAGGACAAGGCTATGTGGGATGGCTTCTCCAACAACAACTCGACATCTCCTCTGCAGGGGTGCCCCTGACACAACAGCTGGCCACTGGGCCTCCCGGCACCCACCCTGTCTATGCACGGGGCTTGTCATTCTGATCTCAGCAGTCTTCTCAAGGAGCAATAATCTTGGCTCAGCTCTTATCGTGCTGGACTGATGAATGGGGGTGCCTGGTGAGGCCCCAACCTTTCCACAGAGTCCACACATCACTTCAGGTGAGTGTGGGAATCAAGTTTGGAGACCCACGCTGGACAGGCTTATCTAAATCGTAAGTAGCTCTTGGGCAATGCGGAACTCCTTTTTACAGCCCACCCTGCTCTCCTCCCCTATATGTAGGATTCATGGTTGTAGCAAGTGTGAGGATGGACAGGCTCACACCTGTGACCACTGTGTCAGAGACCACATAGACACAGGGCTCCCGGCAAGCTCCAACCTGACCACAGGCTGCTGTCCCAGCCCAGCCTTCCTGCAGGTCAGCCAAGGAAGCGTGTAGGAAACCCAGTGACCAGAGACCCTAACATGTGGCCTTAGAGCTGATTTAGAAACTGGAGAGTGAAGGCATGGAGTGAAGACACTAGCAGAGTCAGGCCCGTGAAGGTGAGGTTAGGGAAGTAAGATTCCCCAAGGAGGGAAAAGTGGAGCTGCCGTTTCTCCTTCAGGGGCTGGCATTACCTTTGGTCTATCTGTGTGTGCTCTGCCATTTATTGACTTGGGTGTCTTTAGACACGTCATGGTCACTTCTCTGACCTTCCATTTTCTCAGCTATAAACCAGGCTATTGTTGACAATAATAATAATAGTAATACATTTAGCATTCTTTAAAGAGTTAAAGGAAATAATGCAGGAGGCCAAAGTGGGCGGATCACCTGAGGCCAGGAGTTCAAGACCAGCCTGGCCAACGTGGTGAAACCTCGTCTATACTAAAAATACAAAAATTGGCTGGGTGTGGTGGCACACACCTGTGTGTCCAGAATTGGTGGGTTCTTGGTCTCGCTGACCTCAAGAATGAAGCCGTGGACCCTCGCAGTGAGTGTTACAGTTCTTAAAGATGGTGTGTCTGGAGTTTGTTCCTTCAGATATTCAGATGTGTCTGGAGTTTCTTCCTTCTGGTGGGTTCGTGGTCTCGCTGACTTCAAGAGTGAAGCTGCAGACTTTTGCGGTGAGTGTTACAGCTCTTAAAGGTGGCGTGTCTGGAGCTGCTGGTTCCTTCTGGTGGGTTCGTGGTCTCACTGGCTTCAGGAGTGAAGGTGCAGACCTTCGCGGTGAGTGTTACAGCTCATAAAGGCGGCGCACACCCAGAGAGTGAGCAGCAGCAAGATTTATTGCAAACAGTTAAAGAACAAAGCTTCCACAGCGTGAAAGGGGACCCTAGCAGGTTGCAGCTGCTGGCACAAATAGCCTGCTTCTATTCCCTTATCTGGCCCCACCCACATCCTGCTGATTGGTCCATTTTACAGAGAGCTGATTGGTCCGTTTTACAGAGAGCTGATTGGTCCGTTTTGACAGAGCGCAGATCGGTGCGTTTACAAACCTTTAGCTAGACACAGAGTGCTGATTGGTGCGTTTACAATCCTTTAGCTAGACAGAAAAGTTCCCCAAGTCCCCATCGGTAGGAGAAGTCCAGCCGGCTTCTCTCACTGGCACTCGCCATGGGACTTTGCAGCACCTAGCTTGGGCACTCCAGCCACCCAGAGGGAGCTCATCCCCTGATCAAGCCCAGCAGGCACTTGCTGAGCCCACGCTCACCTAGAACCCGTGTGTGCGCACAGCCCTGGCTCCTGCCCACACCTTTCCCTCCACACCTCCCCGCAATCAGAGGGAACCAGCTCCGGCCTCAGCCAGCCCCAGAGAGGGACCCCCACAGCGGCAGCTGCGAGCTGAAGGGCTCCTTGAGCGTGGCCAGAGTGGACGCCAATGCCAAAGAGGCACCGAGAGTGAGCGAGGGCTGCTAGCACGTTGTCACCTCTCACCTGCACTCCCAGCTACTCGGGAGGCTCAGGCAGGAGAATCACTTGAACCTGGGAGGTAGAGGTTGCAGTGAGCCGAGACCATACCACTGCATTCCAGCCTGGGTGACAGAGCGAGACTGTCTCAAAAAAAAAAAAAAAAAAAAAAAAAAAGGAAAGAATGCAAGTAAAAGCAATTACAAATGGCAACATGTTAGAGGACTGTTTGTTTCTTCTTCTACCTCTCCAGGAATGTCCTCATTTTTTTCTTCTTTTTATTCAACATTTGCCCACTCAAATCCCAGTTCAAGTTTCCCTACTTGTAAGAAATTTTCTGACTTTTTTGCCCCACAGTAATTCTGACCTTTCCCAAGTCTCTTGCATTTAGTAATTACCACATGATATCACTTGTTGTTAGCTTATCTCCCATCAATGCTCCTTGGGGTGAGGAATTGTGTCTTTACTCTTCTAGTGTGTCTGTGGTTCCCAGCTCAGTGCCAGACACACTATGGTTAATCAATAACTACTTGCTAACCATGCATTTATAATGGATAAATATACACTTACAAATATGTATCCGTATAATATTAGTTTATCAGGATTTAGTTCGTTTATATGAAAGTTGTTTGGAAACTGTGAAGAATAAGCAAAAAGAGTTGTTGGACTTGAGCCATTATTTTGGTCTTGGTTAAGGATGAGTTCCTGAAATAATTTATTGTGAAGATGCACACAAGGTAACCCCAGGGAGCACACCTCCAAGAAATATAGCCAGGGCCCACAGGACCTGGGGAAGCCACACAGCTTTTTATTCTCTGATTCTTTCTCTCAATCCCTCCCTCCCCGTGTTCCTCATTTCTGCCTCTCTTAGCTTGTTTTATGGCCTTGAAAATCTCCTAATCTGCAATAACTCATTGTTTTGGGTTACCATGGTACCAAAAATGGCCTCAACTCTCCCTGATCTTACAACTCCAATGGCCCACATTACTTAACTGGTTTCTGTGTCTGTTATTTCAAATTCCAGAGAGAGAATCTGAATGCTCAGCTTGGATCAGTTCCCTCCTCTGGTTCAATCAGTTGTGACCAGGGAATGGGTCCCCCAGGAAAACATGTCCATTCAGGCAGCACCATCTTCCTGGGGGCTGTGGAGCCCCTCCCAAGTAAGGAGCCTGGTCTACAAAGGGCCACCCTGCTGAACACACTCAATTCCCAGCTACTCAGGCCCCAACAACACACTCACCCTTCATGCAGTCATTGGCTTAGGGCTATTCATTTCAACAATAATTTTTTTTGGCTGCCCTGTACCTTCCCAGAATACTTGAGGCCCTGGAAAGGGAAAGGAAATCTTGAATTATAATGGCCCTGACTTCCAAGATCTTTTTCTAGTGGCTTGACTCAACCATTGGACCGACGGGCCAGTTAAAGGCTAGAACATGGAGTAAGTATGGTAATTTCACAACAGAAATGTGGGAACACAGGCTTGAAAGATAGGCCAACAACACTAGATGGAAATCAGCAGCTATCTTCGACTATCAGATTGACAAATATTAAGAAGAATGACAACATGCAATATTGGCAAGGTGTGGGGAAACAGGTACTGTCATGCACTGGTGATGGGAGTGAAAAATGAAGCAATGCTTCTGTAGGCTACCTGGCAATCTCTACCAAGATAGTAAATGTTCATTCCCTGATCCAGGAATTTATGTAAGTTCAGTTGGCTCTCCAGATCCAGGAGTTTATGTAAGTACAGTCGGCTGTCCAGATCCATGGGTTCTGCATCTGTAGATTCAGCCAATCTCAGATCAAAAACATTCACTTAAAAAAAAAAAAAACTGTGGCCAGGCACAGTGGCTCATGCCTGTAATCTCAGCACTTTTGGAGGCCGAGGTGGGTGGATCACAAGGTCAAGAAATTGAGATCATCTGGCTAACATGGTTAAACCCCATCTCTACTAAAAAAAAACAAACACACAAAAAATTAGCCGGGCGTGGTGGCACACGCCTATAGTCCCAGCTACTCGGGAGGCTGAGGCAAGAGAATCACTTGAACTGGGGAGGTGGAAGTTGCAGTGAGCCAAAATTGTGCCACTGCATTCCAGCCTGGGCAAAAGAGCGAGACTGCCTCAAAAACAAACAAACAAACAAACAAACAAACAAAAACTGTGTCTGTTCTGAACATATTCAGACTTCTTTTCTTGTAATTTCCTAAACAATACAGTATAACAACAATTTACATAGAATTTACATTGTACTAGCCATTATAAGTAATTTAGAGATGAATTAAAGTACACTGGAGGATGTGCATAGGTTATATGCAAATACTTTGCTACTCTATATCAGGGACTTGAAGATCCAGGAATATTGGTATCCATGAGAGGTCCTGGATCCAAGCCCCCATGAATACCAAAGGACAGGTTCAAGGATGTTTGTATATGCATGTGAATGCAGTGTTTTTCAGAGGAGAAAATAAACACACTTAAATGGCAAATAAGCTTTCTCAGGTGGATTATAATATTATAGAATACTATAAACTATTAAAATAATGAGGTAGCTCTATACTAGCATTTAAAGATAACCTTTAAATACACACAAATGTTTTGTTGTGTGGAGAAAAAACCAGGTGATAGGATAGCAATTCATGTAGGATCTGATTTACATAAAAATTTTCACATTCAACTCTGTGGACATTAGACACAGACTGGGAGGAGTTACCAAAATGTTAAAGGCAGGCTAAGATTTCAAGTAATTGCTACTTTTGCTTTTGTATTTTCTGTATTGCTTGAATTTGCATATTTATTTTCATAATCAGAAAACTCAATAAAGCCAGCTTCCCCCTACCTTTGTCTTTTTTAAAAAATAACCCTTTCATTTTAGAATAGTTTTGTATTTACAGAAAACTTGAAAAGATGGTGCAAAATTCCTATATACTCCACTCCCAGCTTTCCCTATTATCAACAACTTATATTAACATGATACATTTGTCACAATTAATGAACAAATATTGATGCATTATTAACTAAGGTACATGCTTCATTCAGTTTTATCGTTGTTTTTGAGACAGGGTCTTGCTGTCGCTCAAATGCAGTTGTGTGATCACAGGTAACTGCAGCCTCAACTTCCTGGGCTCAAACGATCCTCCCACCTTAGCCTACCGTGTAGCTGGGACTACGGGCATGCATCACCACATCCTGCTAATTTTTGTATTTTTTGTATAGACAGGGTTTCACCATGTTGTCCAGGCTGGTCTTGAACTCCTGGGCTCAAGAGATTCACCCACCTTAGCCTTCCAAATGCTGAGATCACAGGCGTGAGCCACTGCCCCCAGCCTCAGATTTCCTTTAGTTGTTACCTAATGTCCCTTTTCTGTACTAAGATTCCATCCAGAATATCAGATTACATTTAGTTGTCATGTTTCTTTAGGCTTTCCTTGTCTTTTTCTTGTTTTTGATGATGCTGACAGTTAAATTTTTTTTTAAATTTTTATTCTCTTTTTTCTTTTTTTTTTTTTTTTGAGACAGTGTCTCACTCTGTCACCCAGGCTAGAGAGCAATGGAGTGATTTCAGCTTACTGCAACCTCTGCCTCTGGGTTTAAGCGATTCTCATACCTCAGCCTCCCAAGTAGCTGGGATTACAGGTGCATGCCACCACACCTGGCTAATTTTTGTATTTTTTGTAGAGACGGGGTTTCACCATGTTGGCCAGGCTGGTCTCGAACTCCTGGGCTCAAGTGATCCACCTGCCTCGGCCTCCCAAAATGCTGAGATTACAGGCATGAGCCACCGCTCCCAGCCAACAGTTTTGAGGAGTACTTTTCAGGTAGATTGTGGATTACCCCTCCATTGGGATTTGTCTGATGTTTTTCTCATGATTAGACTGTGGTTACGGGTTATTCGGAGAAAGACTACAGAGGTAAAGGGCCATTCTCGTCACATCATATCAAGAGTGCATACTATTAGCATTACTTATCACTTGATGTTAACCTTGATCACCTGGCTGAAGTAGTGTTTGTGAAGTTTCTCCACTGTAGTTATTCTTGTTTTCCTCTTTCACACACATGTATGCTTTGAAGGAAGTCACTATGCAGAGCCCACATGGAGGAGGCGAGAGTTATCCTCTACCTTCTTGAGGATGAACTATCTACATAAGTTATTTAGACTTTTCTACTGGGAGATCTGTCACTTCTCCATTTTAAAATTCAATCATTTATTTTTATTAGTATAACTCATAAATATTTATCTCACACTTTGGGTTATAGTCCCATATTACTTTATTTTGTTGCTCAAATTGTTCCAGCTTTGGCCTTTAGGAGCTCTTTCAATTGGCTCCTGTGCTCCTTTGACCTCTTCCCATCAATGTGAGTTGGTGTGTGTGTGTGTGTGTGTGTGTGTGTGTGTATAAAACACTTCCTTACTTTCTGGCACTACATGATGCTCCAGGCTCATCTCATCTTGTACATTTCCTGCCTGTCCTAAAATCAATCTTTCCTTTATGAGAAAAAATAGCGAACATCTGCCTCTGACTAGTCACATAGTTGGCCCTTGCTGTAAAGAGGGAGGATCACTTGAGTCCAGGAGTTCCAAACCAGCCTGGGTTACATGGTGAAACCACTGCTCTGCACAAAAACTTATATATAAAAAACAAAATTAGCCAGGCTTGGTGGCATGCGCCTGTAGTCCCAGCTACCCAGGAGGCTGAGGTGAAAGGATCACTTGATCTCAGAGTTCAAGGCTGCAGTGAGCCATGATCACACCACTGCACTTCAGCCTGTGCCACAGAGTAAGACCGTCAAAAAAAAAAAAAAAAAAAGCCACGTTTGCTCCTTCTGCTCGTTCAGAAACCTCTGACTCAGTGACTGAGCACAGCCCTCTAGAAGAATGCTTTGACCATGATAAGCAGGATAGAGAATAGGTTCCCACATCTCTTGCCTGATTACCACATTTTTAGAAAAGATAAGTTCAATGATTCTAGCCCTTGCCTTTTCCTGTACATAAGACAATGACAGGATGAAGAATTATGCTTCTGTAATCTATAACCAGATGTACTCTTACACCCAAACTTTGATGAGATTTTGCCCGAATGTAACTTCTAAATGATTATTACTTAACAATGACCGGCAATTCTGTTTCAATTAAATGTTTTTAACCTTTTGACATCTTTGGCAGGTTTCCCCAGGATCAAAACCCTAAATTAATTGGTTTTTTTTTTTTTTGGCTTCACATAACTTTGAGATTTTCCAGTTGGGGTTGCTGAAAAACCTAAAAAAAAAAAAAAAAGCATCTGTCATCTTGCACAGATGTTAAATGATTAGACTTATTTGGTAAATTATAAGGAAAGCATTATCAAATCATAAATGATACTAGGTCTTCCAGTTATATTTATGGGTATGTTATTGATATAAATGTTCTATAATTATATAAATTCAAAAATATTCTAATATGTTATCTGTCAAATAATTTTGATTGTAATGTTAAATGTTTTCCAAAGTTACATTTCCAAAGTATGGATGTTATTAATGTGAGCATTCTAAAGAGTAAATAAAATTTATAAAAGTCTGATGGTCCTGATGGGCCACTGTCTGTCATCATTCTGGTTGTTATCTTAAAATACTATATGTAATAGAAAGAACTACATTTTCTTCAATTGAGAACTTTCATCAGATTTTAACCATGGCTATTATAAGTTTTTGTCATCCACAGTTATTGTTTTGAATTATTCTCTAAGTACTCTTTTTTTTTTTTTTTTTTTTTTTTTTGAGACAGAGTCTGGCTTTGTCACCCAGGCTGGAGTGCAGTGGTGAGATCTCAGCTCACTGCAACCTCCACCTCCCCGGTTCAAACAAGTCTTATGTGTCGGCCTCCCAAGTAGCTAGGATTACAGGCGTGCACCACCATGCCTGCCTAATTTTTTTGTATTTTTAGTACAGACAGGATTTCACCAGGCTGGTCTCGAACTCCTGACCTCAAGTGATCTGCCCACTTTGGCCTCTTAAAGTTCTGGGATTACAGATGTGAGCCACTGTGACTGGCCTTAACAAGTACTCTTGAACACAGATGTCTAGTAACTTTAAGATCAATGGACTAAACAAAAAATTCCAGAACTCTAATGAGAGCATTTACGAAGATTGCCAAACAACAATCAGAACAAGAATTACATGGGACTGAACTGATGGAGAACTAAAACGATTTTCATGGGGCTGAACTGATGGAAGGTTACAGTGATTTTTATGACTTCTGTTTGAAACATTGCTGATTCTATTTATATTTTGTTTTCCAAAGTGAAGAATGCTTCTTTTCTTTTGAGCTATTTTTATCTTACAACAATTGGATAAAGTTTACTTTTGTGAACAAAATTAAAACATTTACCTTTCTCTCTACCTAAATTCTTCAAAATTGGACAACTATTCTTCAATGGCTAAAGCCACAGTACTGGTCGCCCACTGACAAGAGATGAATCATTATTCAGGAGAATGGCATGCAGCCTTGTGTTGTGACCTACCCCATGCTGCTAGCAATCTGGCCTGCCTGCAATAAGAAGATTCTTTTCCCCTGCCAAGAGAGGTAACTTCCTGGGAATGAGCCTGATAACATCTGACAAGATTAATGATTGTGCCTCTGTAATCTACCCACCCAAACTTTGATGAGATTTTGCTGTAATGTGACTTCTGAACACAAGCAGAGAACCTCCATCACCCGTATATAAGCTGTGGGCTGAAATACTGCTTTGGAGCAGTCTAACAGAAACGCTCTGAAGGACCCCTCTGGGGTTGGATTCCTCTGTAAGACTCTGAATAATACTAACTTTAAGTGTCTAAAGGCTTTTTTTGTTTGTTTGTTTGTTTTTGTTTTTGTTTTTTTCTTTAGTGGCCATTTCCAAGGAGCCCTGGTTTCTTTTATTGGAGGATGGCATTATTAGAATCTGTGCATCAAGTGTGCACATTACAAATAAGTTAAAGCCAGCTTTATTTTCATAAGGAATGAAAATCATCAGCCATGTAGGTAGACAGGGAAGGCCAGTGGCAGAAGAAGGGTCCCTGTTAGGAAGGCAGGCGGGACGAGACACTTTCCCTGGGAGAAGGGTGTGGCTGGGGCTGCGTCACAGGAAACTTGCAGAACAAAGAGAGTCCACTTAGCCCTGTTCTGACCCCATCTCAGGGTTCCTCCTGAGTGGCCAGTGGGCTGGGGGTGGGAAGAAGCAAGGGCTCTCCTCTCCCTCTCTCTCTATCCCAGGGTCACTCAGAGCACGCGGGAAGGGGCAGGAGTGGGAGGTCCCTCCTCGGTGCCCGGCTGCGCCAGCTGCTGCCGTGTTCTGGTGTACCAGGCCGGACCTTGCGCAATGCCTTTGGGGTAATCTTCAAACCTATGTCTGCTGATCACTCTCTTTAGCTGCCTGGCAGTACCGCAAACCCAGTTGTGGAAAGTCCCACCACAAGGACCTTGACAGAGGTGGAGGCCCTCCCCATGCAGAAGCCAGAGAACTGCGCCCATTCTCCCGGTATCCTTCCGTGGGGCCTCAACACAGGCGTGTACTGCTCAGTGCGCATGTGCAGTCAGGTCTGGTCGGGGCTGGTAGCGGGGCACGGGGAGGTGGGAGCTGACTCTTGCCCAGCCCTGGCCCACGGCAAGGTGTCAGGTACACTTGGTGACCGACCCAATATTAGCTCGCGAGTAGGGTTGCTAGATTTAGCAAATAAAAATATAGGACATACTTGTGCTAAATGGGGCCTGCTTATACTAAAAAAGAAATCCGTGTTTATTTGAAATTAAAATTTAACTAGGCATCCTGTGTTTTATCTGGCAGCCTCACCCAAGAGAACTGTCTGAGGACTGTCTCAAGCCAGAGCAAAGTCAGAGTTGGGGCTCTGCCCATCAGGGTGTCCTCTTTTAAGTCAGGTATCAAGTCATCTCTTACCCAGTCATTTTGCCTGAAATCCTGGTAATATTCAACACTTCCCCGGCTGACAAAAGGCAATTAGAAGTGTCAGCATTTGTTTTGCCATGCGGTGGGGTTGGGGACACTGACTGTGTCATTTACCCTCAGTCCCAAGCACAGCACCAGGGGCTCAATGTCAGGGTGATATCCAAGGAGCTGAGGCGCATGCGCCAAGAGTGTGGAAAATTCAAAGACGGCACCTGAAAAGAGAATCAACTAATCTACTGAGCCAACCAGGATGGGAGAACTGGGAAAGATGAGACAGTGGCCAAGTGTTACGGGACAATGGGGAGGTGGGTGTGGTGGAAATCTGGTGACATAGGCCCACATGCACCTGGATGTGCACCCTTTCCCACTGTGTGTGCCAATAAGGATAAGATGACCTCTGTCCTAACCCTGTATAAATGACATAAACTACAGCCAATAACTTTCCCCCATTAATATGCCTTTCTCAATGAAAGCAAGATATTCGGCTGGATGCAGTGGCTTACACCTGTAATCCCAGCCCTTTGGGACACTGAGGCAGGTGGATCACTTGAGGCCAGGAGTTCGAGACCAGCCTGGCCAACATGTTGAAACTCTGACTCTACTAAAAATACAAAAAATTAGCTGGGCATGGTGGCAGGCACCTGTAATCCCAGTTATTCAGGAGGCTAAGACAGGAGAATCACTTGAACCTGGGAGGCAGAGGTTGCAATGAGCTGAAACAAGCCAAAATCGTGCCACTACACTCCAGCCTGGGTGACAGAGCAAGACTCAGTCTCAAAAAAAAAAAAAAAAAAAAAAAGACATTCAAGCAGGCATAGCAAATATGGCATTTGCCAGTTCTCAGTTGAGAGCTGTGCTCTCTCCCATTGGATATGGACACTGCCTCAGACTCATGCTCAGCACCCTACACTGACCTTGCTAACAATACAAAACCCTTATTCCATCTCTGGTTTCTAGCTGCTTATTTCATCCCTATCCACTTCCCTGATCCCTGGACAATGCTATCGGACTCCCTGAGTCAAATGGCCCTATACATTTATGAGGATTTTTATTCTCTTTGTTTTCTTTCTGTAGCTGGGAAAGTGCTATTTTTCAAAATTTCAAGTCATTGTTCAATCCCTAGACCTGCAGGGAAGATAGCACAAGCTGAGACAGGGAGAGTCTGTACTGGGGGCCAGGGGAGTGATCGTGGGAATGTTCTTACTGGCAGCCTGAGTCTAGATGCTGGAAGATGAGTACCAGGCTTGCTTTTGGACTCCAGCTTTTTCAAAAGTGGGTGGAAAAATTATTGTACTCCTATCAATCACAATGTGACATGTTCATCTGAGTAAAATCCAACTTTGAAATGTTACATATTTTCATGCCTAAAGACTCAATCTAAATAGTTTCTGCTTTGAATTATGTGATTTACTTGAAAATTGCAGTGTACTCATCATTTCCTCCGGAAGCTTTATATCAACCTTTGACCCAAAGCAGAAAAGTTCTGGAGAAAATAATGAAATGAATGTTGGTGGCCTCATTAACATGTTAAGCACTGTGTCTAAGGCAGAAAGGGTCTTCAATAAATGGTAGCAATGTTCATTCTCCTTCATTAATTTTTGACAAATAAACATTTTCAAAATGTATCTCTAGGCTAAAGGAGTTCAAAGAAATAACAGTCACACATGTACTCAGGACTTCCATAGAAAGCTTTAAAAAAAGACATGATAATTATTGTCTAGGGTTTCTGAACCTTGTCACGATTGACATTTTGGGTCAGATAATCTTTGGTGTGGGGGCCTGTTGTGTGTACTGCAGGATGTTTAGCAACATCCCTGGTGTCTCCCCACTAGATGGGTAGCACCCTCTTCTCAATTGTCATAACCAAAAATCTCTGCAGACATTACCAAATGTCCCCTGGAGGGAAGGGCGGTGCAAAATTGTCCCCAGCTGAGAACGACTGATCATTGTCAAATCACCTGTGGTAAGGCTAACCGAAGGCAACAAAACCTTTGTTAAACCACAACTGTCTTAGAAAGAAGGGAGTATGTTATGCAATAGGACACTTTGTTCATCTTGGATCCAGTGTAGCCGAAACAATGTTGAGATAAAAGAACAAGGTTGGAGGTCACAATTCTCAATTTCAAAACTTACTAAAAAGCTACAGTAACCAAGTCAGGGTGGTACTGGCATAAGGACAGACATAGATCAATGGAACAGAATTGACAATCCAGAAACAAATCTTCGTATTTATAATCAATTGATTTTCAACAAGGGTGTCAAAACAATTCAATGAGGAAAATAATAGTATTTTCAGCAAATGGTACTGGAACAACTGCATATCCACATGCAAGAGAATGAAGTTGGACCTCTGTCTTATACCATATACAAAAATTAACTCAAAATGGATCAAAAGCCTAAATGTCAGAGCTAAAAAATTATAAAGCTATTAGAAGAAAACATAGGCATACATCTTCATGACCTTGGATTATATATGACACTAAAAACATGTGACAAAAGAAAAAAAGAAACAAATTAGACTTACTCAAAATTTAAACTCTTTGTACCTCAAAGAACATAATCAAGAAAGTGAAAAGACAACCCACAGAATGGGAGGAAATTTTCACAAATCATATGTTTGATAAAGGTCTTGTACCTAGACTATATAAAGAACTCCTACAACTCAATGATAAAAAGATAAATAACCTAATTTTAAAATGAACAAAGAATATTAATAGACATTTCTCCAAAGAAGATATACAAATGGCCAATAAGCACATGAAAAGATACTCAACATCATTAGCCATTGAGGAGCTGCCAATCAAAATATATATGTTCACCTGATTGATGGGAAAGATGACACCTACAGTATGGTGGGGCAGGGGGCAAAGATGGTCTTTTGAAGGGCAATTGAATAGTCAAATGGACAAAATAAATTGTGACCCCTACTTCACATATTGTTCATAAAAATTCCAGATGGATTGTAGGTCTAAATGTGGAAGGTTTAAAAATAAATCTTTTAGAAGAAAACTTGGGGTAGGCAAATGTTTCTTACAACGACATAAAAATAACTTATTATAAAGGAAAAAAAGAAAAATTGGACTACATTAAGATCAAGAACTGCTGTCCATCAAAAGACATCATTTAAACTGGGAAAGATAAGCATAGACTGGGAGAAGGCATTTACAATATAGGACTCATGGCAATGTGAATGCACCATTCAGGTCCTCCTTTAAGAAAGGACCCCCTGTGGAGCTGTGAGGAGTGTGATGAACTCACGACGTCCTGCTTTTGGCAGGATGCTTCAGGTCCACATCAGCTTTTGAGCCAAGGTCATGCTCTTCTTGGAGGCCATCCTCGGCCAATAATTCAGAAAGGCAAAGGTAACCAACCGTGCTCTTTGCAGAGTATGCTCCAGCCAGTGACTAAAGAAGGCAGTGATACAAAGGCCTAGCTATTTCCACCTGAATCAGGGCTCCTTTGATGGGCGGTCTTTGCTTCAGAGCTCCCTATGGGGTTATCAGAGGCCACCAGGGCTGTATTGCAGATCGATGGCTCCCCTTACCCAATCCCATCTTCTTTCCTTTTCTTTCATAGTGTACTCCACAGTAAGCCTTTTACACTTCTACCACCTCAGTCTCTGCTTCTCAGGGAACACAAACCAGTTCAACTTATATAAAATATATTTTAAAAAAAGAAAAGAAAAGAAACAGCATATATAGAAAGAACTCCTAAAATCAATAAACAAATCGGTAGACAACCCAATAGAAAATGAGCAATATACCTGAATGAGTACTTTATGAAAGAAGATATGCTAATGGCCGGTAAACAAACAAAAATACATTTGTGTTAGTTTCCTGGGGCTGCTGTAACAAATTCCCTAATCATGGCAACTTAACACAACAGATATGTATTCTCAAAGTTCTGGAGGTAAGAAGTCCAAAATCAAGGTATTGGCAAGGCCTTGCTCCCTCTGGAGGCTCTGAGGAAGTTCCATTCCTTGGCTTTTCTCACTTCTGGGGGCTGCTGGCAGTTCCTGGCTTCCTTTGGCTTGTGGCTGCATCACTCCAACCTCTACCTCCATCTTGCCCTCACCTTCTCCAATGTGAATGTCTAACCTCCCTCTGCCTCTCTTTTAAAAGAACACTAGTGTATTCTTATAAATTATTAGTCTGTATTAGTGTATTAGTCTGTTCTCATGCTGCTAATAAAGACATACCTGAGACTGGGTAATTTATAAAGGAAAGATATTTAATGGTCTCACAGTATTATGTGACTGCAGAAGACTCACAATCATGGTGGAAGGCAAAGGAGGAGCAAAGTCACGTCTTACATGGTGGCAGGCAAGAGGGCATGTATGGGGGTACTGCCCTTTATAAAACCATCAGATCTCATAAGACTTATTCACAATCACAAGAACAGCATGGGAACGACCCTCATGATTCAATTGCCTTCCACTGGGCCCCTCCCATGTCACATGGGAATTAGGGGAACTACAATTCAAGATGAGATTTGGGTGGGGACACAGCCAAACCATATCATTCTTCCCTGGCCCCTCCCAAATTTCATGTCCTCACATTTCAAAACCAATCATGCCTTCTCAACAGTCCCCCAAAGTCTTAACTCATTTCAGCATTAACTCAGAAGACCACAGTTCAAAGTCTTGTCTGAAATAAGGCAAGTCCATCCCACCTATGAGCCTGTAAAATCATAAGCAAGTTAGCTTCTTCCTGAATACAGGCATTGAGTAAATAGACCCATTCCAAATGGGAGAAATTGGCCAAAACAAAAGAGCTACAAGCCCCATGAAAGTCCAAAATCCAGAGGGGCAGCCAAATCTTAAAGCTCCAAAATGATCTCCTTTGACTCCATGTCTTATATCCAGGCCACACTGATGCAAGAGGTGGGTTCCCATTGCCTTGTGTAGCTCCACCCCTGTGGCTTTGCAGGGTACAGCCCTTCTCCTGGCTGCTTTCAGAGGCTGGTGTTGAGTGTCTGTGACTTTTCCAGGTGCACGGTACAAGCTGTTGGTGCATCTACCTTTCCAGGGTCTGGAGGATGGTGGCCCTCTTCTCACAGCTCCACTAGGCAGTGCCCCAGTGGGGACTCTTTACAGGGGCTACAACCCTACATTTCCCTTCCACACTGCCCTAGCAGAGATTCTCCATAAGGGCCCCACCCCTGCTCCAAACTTCTGCCTGGACATCCAGACATTTCCCTAAGTCCTCTGAAATCTAGGTGGAGATTCCCAAACCTCAATTATTGACTTCTATTCACCTGCAGGCTCAACACCATGTGGAAGTTGCCAAGCTTAGGGCTTGCACCCTCTGAAGCCACAGCCTGAGTTGTACCTTGGCACCTTTTAGCCACGACTGGAATGGCTGGGATGCAGGGCACAAAGTCCATAGGCTGCACACAGCAGTGGGACCCTGGGCCTGGCCTGGGAAGTCATTTTTTCCTCCTAGGCCTCCAGACCTGTGATGGGGGGTGGCTGCTACAAAGGTCTCTGACATGCTCTGGAGATATTTTCCCCATTGTCCTGGTAATTAACATTGGGCTCTTTGTTACTTATGCATATTTCTGCAGCAGGTTTGAATTTCTCCCCAGAAAATAGGTTTTTCCTTTCTATTGCACTGCCAGGCTGAAAATTTTCCAAACTTTTATGCTCTGCTTCCTATTGAATGCTTCGCTGCTTAGAAATTTCTTCTGCCAGATATCCTAAATCATCTCTCCCAAGTTCAAAGTTCCACAGATCTCTAGGGCAGGGGTAAAATGCCACCAGTCTCCTTGCATAGCAACAGTGACTTTTACTCCAGTTCCCAACAAGTTTCTCATCTCCATCTGAGACCACTTCATCCTGGACCTTATTGTCCACATCACTATCAGCATTTTGGGCAAAGCCATTCAACAAGTCTCTAAGAAGTTCCAAACTTTCCCACATCTTCCTGTCTTTTTCTGAGCCCTCCAAACTCTTCCAACCTCTGTCTGTTAACCAGTTGCAAAGTCATTTCCACATTTTTGGGTATCTTTACAGCAGCACCCCACTCTACCAGTACCAATTTACTGTATTAGTCTGTTCTCACACTGCTACTAAAGACATACTCAAGACTGGGTAATTTATAAGGAAAAGAGATTTAATGCACTCACAGTTCCACATGGCTGGGGAGGCCTCACAATCATGGCAGAAGGCAAAGGAGGAGAAAGGCACATCTTACATGGTGGCAGGCAAGAGCACATGTGCAGGGGAACTCCCCTTTATAAAACCATCGGATCTTGTGAGACTTACTCGCTACCAAGAGAACAGCATGGGAAAGACCTGCCCCATGATTCAATTAATTCCCACTAGATTCCTCCCCTGGCATGTGGGGATTATGGGAGCTACAAAGATGAGATTAGGATGGGGACAGAGCAAAGCCATATCAACTTGCAATGGTTTTTAGGGCCCACCAGATAATCCGGAATAATCTACTTATCTCAAAATCCTTAACTTAATCACATTTGCAAAAACTTTACCACGTAAAGCAACATTCACAGCTTTCAGGAATTAAAGCATGTGATATTTTTGGGGGACACCACTCAGCCCACTACAACTTGTATTATTAGGCATCAGGAAAATCTAAAGGAAATGCAAATTAAGGTCACAATGTGCTGCTACTTCACACCCAACAGAATAGCTAAAATGAAAAAGGCAGGACCAAGCAGAGCTCTCATACACTGCTTATGGGGGTTATGCTGATATAATTCCTTTGTCAAATTGATTGGCAGCACCAACACTGAGTATGTGCATACTCTGTGGCCCAGAAATTCCACTCCTGAGGATGTGTCTAATTCTTTTACACATCTTTCCTCAAGAGGCAGAATCTATATCAAATGCCTTTGAATTATGGAGAGCTTGACAGTTCAACCAATAGAATGTGGTGTTTGTGGCACTATGAGACTCTGCAGACAGAAAAATTTCATAAGAGGCCTTCCACCTTCCATTTCTCTTTCTAGAATGATTTCTCTTAGATTCCTGAGTCTCCAGGCAGGGAGTTTGACCATATCAAGACCTTCCTGCTGTGAGGAAGCCTAAGTCACAGGGGCAGGCTATGGAGAGGGAACCTGAGGTTTAGTCCCAGGTAAGTGCAGGCTTCAACTTATTCCAGCCCAGACACCAGGTTTGTGAGCAAGAAGTCTCCATATGACTCCTGCCCTGGCATTCAAATCACCCCCAGCCATCCAGGTTTCCTAACTGAGACCCCAGGCAAGGTGAAGCAGAGCAAACCATACCTTCCATGCCCCATTCAAGTTCCTCACCCACAGGGCCCATGGGTATAATAAAATGAGTGTTGTTTGATAGTACTACATTTTGGGACACTTTGTCATGCAGTAATAGGTAGCTGGAACAATACCCAACAGAAATGTAAATTCATCAAAAGACAAACCTGAAAATATTCATAGCAGCACTTATTTGTACTAACCCTAAACAGGTAACTACCCCAAAACACCCATCAAACAGTGGGTTGGATAAATAATTTGTGGTAATATTAACACAATGGAATATTGGATCTGTGACAATTAAACTCCCTAAGGCATACCCAGGCCCTAAATCAGCATCAGCAGGAAACAGAGTGTAAACATTATGCAGCTCCAAGAAGCATAATTTTTATGCCCACTCAGATGTGACCATGGGGGAAAAGGGATAGGGAAGAGCCTCAGAGAAGGCAAAGTGATGGTCACAACGGACAATAGATTAGGATGTTCCTCCCAGAAGGAAGAACCTGGGGCTGCCAGATGGACTAACCAGGCAGCTTACCCCACTGCTAGGGCTGGAAGACTCCACTCCTCCTCCCCAACTAGACTTGGTGACCACTATGGACCAGTGATGACTGCATGCTTCTCATATTCCCCTTTGCTGAACAAGAGCTATAATTGTGTTAACCTATTCAGTCATTGTTTATCAGATGGATTGTCTTTTATTTTATAAGTCACCAGAACATAAACAGCTACAACTAGACCTGATGGGAAGACCTTTGTATTACCCAAAGATACTGAACTTTGACCTAGATGTAGTAACTGGATGGGAATTTCAAGGTTTCTCTTTTGGAGGCTGAACATGTTCCAAATGTGGGAATGGAGTGTAAAATGGACGTCTGATAGCCAAAAGGTAGACTGTGGTAAAGATTGCTAGTTGCCTATTCCAATAGCGCTCGTCCTCCTCTTCCAGTTGTCAGAACCACAAATTCATTTGGAATGGTAATTGTCTTAGTCCATTTGTGTTGCTATAAAAAAGTACCTGGGGCTGGTCAATTTATTAAGAAAAGAGGTTTATTTGGCTCATGGTTCTGCAGGCTGTACAAGAAGCATGGTGCCAGTATCCACTTCTGGTGAGGGTTTCAGGCCACTTCCATTCATGGTGGAAGTCAAAGCAAAGCTGGCCTGTGCAGAGATCAGATGGCAAGAGAGGAAGCAAGAGAGAGATGGGAAAGGTGCCAGGTTTTTTCAACAACCAGCTTTTGCAGGAATTAATAGAGCCAGAAGTCACTCATTACCATGAAGATGACACCAAGCTATTCATACAGGATCTGCCCCCATGACCCAAACATCTTCCATTAGGCCCCACCTCCAGCACTGGGGACCAAGTTTCAACATGAGGTTTGGAGGATCAAATATCCAAGCTATAGTAGCAATGCAACCTACTAAAGTTCTATTATTTCTAGCCTCCCTTTTAGCTAGGTGTGGCCATGTGACTGCATTCTGGCATTGAAGGATAAGCAAAAGTCTTTAAGACTTCTGGGAAGTCTCTTTAGAGAAAAAGGGGCAAGCCCTCCTTCTCTTGCACATCCTACTGACTGGGATACAGGTGTGAGGGCTGGAGCTCCAGAAGCCAGCTCAGACCCTGAGAAAGGAAGCCATTATAGGGCAGTGGAGCAGTGAGCTAGAAGACCCTTAACAGTCCAGGATTGTCCAACATCTGACTACTTGCATGCAAGAGAGAAATAATCTTCTGTCCTTTACAAACCACCATTACTTTGAGTTTGCTGTCACATGTGTTTAACTTAGTTCTAAATGGTGTAGACATAAATTGTCAGATTCAGAAAGCCCAACAAATTCAATGCAATAAAAATAAAAGAAAAGCCGAGTGTAGTGGCTCACACCTGCAATCCCAGCACTTTGGGAGGCCAAGGTGGGTGGATCACTTGAGGCCAGGAGTTCGAGACCAGCCTGGCCAACATGGTGAAACCTTGTCTCTACTAAAAATACAAAAAATTAGCTGGGTGTGGTGACACATGCCTGTAATCTCAGCCACTCAGGAGGCTGAGGCACGAGAATCGCTTGAACCCAGGAGGGGAGGTGGAGGTTGCAATGAGCCAAGATTGTGCCACTGTGCTCCAGCCTGGACAACAGAGAAAGAGTCTGTCTAAAAAAAAATAAAATAAAAATTTAAAAAAAGGAAATTTATACCTAAACACCGATGGCAAAATTGCAGAACACTCGAGACAGAGATCTTAAGGGCAGGCAGGCAGAAAAGACAAATTACCTACCAAAGAATGACAAACTAGTAGTTGACTTATCAACATAAGAACAGAAGCCAATAAACAGCTTAATAATATCTTCAAAATAGAGAAAATAACGGTCAGTGTAGAATTTTTATCCAGGAAAATTCTCATTCAAGAGCAAGAATAAAATAAAGACATTTTCAGGCAAGACTGGTAAGTCCAACATACTCCTACTATAGAACTCCAAAGGATTTATTTCAGGAATAATAAAAATGATTCCAGAAGAGCAATCTAAGGCGTATAAAGGAAAAGTGAGCAAGAAAAAAAATGTAGACGTCTGGTGAAATCTAAGCAAATACTGACTATATAAAATAATGATTTGTGTGCTTAAAAAGAACTACAATTCTAGACAATACTGTATAAATTGGATGACAGTGGTTTGAGTTAAGGTTTTTGTGTTTTGCAGAAGGAGGGTAAAGATATTAACTGATAGCAGATGCTATCAGTGCCCTGCCCATACAGCCTTGGATTTTAGCATTTTCTGGCCTTTCTCCAAACTTCTAACTGGCGGTATTTGGGGCTCTTTGCATGAGGGCTCCTTCTGACCACTGTGTCTCCCCTGCGTGTGTGCAGGACAAGCTGGAAGTGCTGAGGAATTAATGTCCCCAGAAGCAGCCCTCAACTAATAATGCTGGAAATTAATGGATAAACACTCCAGCTCCCTCACCCTCATTCCTTGGTTTGTTCTGCACTGCCTTGTAGAGTTACCTATTGAGTTTTAGCCCTAGTTGTCCACATTGGTAACCAAATGAGACATACTTTACTGGCTTCCTTCCCTTCCCTGTCTCATCTCCCTACTCCCTTATCAGTGTTCTCTCAAGCTACCTCCCAAATAAAACTTTTCATTCAAATTCTTACCTCAGGGTCTGCTTCTGAGGCAATCCAAATTAAGACATTAACTTTGGACATCTGTAATAAATGTAAGTGGACCAAAATCTCCAGTTAAAAGACAGAGATTACCAGATTGGATTAAAAAAAAAACCCAACTACATGTTGCCTATATGATACAAAGATAAAGCATAAGAACATTGAAAAGTTGAAAATAAAAGCATGAAAAAATGATAAGCTAATCAAATTTTATTGAAAGAAAGCTGATGCAGCCAGACTGATAACAGATGAAATAGGCTTTATGGCTAAAAATTATACTAATGATAAAGAGAGTTACACATATTGCTACAAAATTTATTTCACATGAAGATTTAACAATTCCAGACTTGCAAATACCTACTGACATGCCTTTAAAAGATGGTAAAAATTAGAATAACAAGAAGAAATCGACTTATCCATCATTATAATGGGAGATTTACAGACCAAGTAGATAGAAAAAAAATTCATAAAAATATTAATGATTTGAACATCACTAATAATTATTGACTTACATAGAACTTTGCACCAATTAATTTAGGAAAACATTATTTTCAAGCACCCAACATATGTTTTACAACAACTGACACATGCTAGTACATAAAGCAAGTCTAAATAAAGTTCAAAGAATTGGCATTTATATAAATCACTTTCTCTAATAAAAACAATAAAGTTAATCAGAAACAACAAAAAATCTATAGGTTTGAAAATTAAAACATATTGTCTAAATAACTCATGTCATAGGTTAAAAGAAAACTGATGGTCTGAGGCTCTAAACTTTCATGAGGTAAAACAGTGGAACATCTCAATGTTGGGATGAAGGAAGAACCTTTAAGAAAAGAGAACCGAATGTTGAATTTGAAGCTGCATTGACTTCTTTAGCATTTTTTGGGTAAAGGCGACCTTAGTGCTCATTTGTCAACCCTGATTGGCTGTGTTTAGGTGACATGCCCACAACTGAACCAATCACAATGGATAGAGAGATGGCGGGCCTCTGTCTGGTTAGTATGGGCTAGGTCCCACTTCTGTGGAGATGGAATAGGGGTGGGGGTATTTTGACTCCTAGAAACTCCAGAACTACATGGGGTCAGAGAAGACGTCTCTTCTGGGAGGAAAGCTAGAGCAAGAAAATCACCCTTCCTCCATAAATGCAATTCTCTGAATGCCCCCACCTGGCATAATACAATGACTATATAAATAAAAACTTAAAAACCAATCAGCATCTAGTTGCCAGATCCAGTCCCAGGCCCAGAGCTTCTGGGTGATGTATTCTCCTTCTTCATTAGGTTTTGAAACAACCTTCTGTGGATTTGGTAGACTATAGCTTTAAAAAAAGTTTAACCGCCGTCACCATCATGTCCAACATAGGGAGGCCCCAATGATAGAGGGAAAAGAAACACTGCAATAAAATGTCCCATTTGTATACTGCATGGTCTACAGGGAAGGAATTGGGACAGCCCCAGGCAGGGGAGTCACTTCCCAGGTCAGCCAACCCAAGTGACCCCAACTGCCTTCCTATTTCAAGGACACCCCCTGTCTAGGGTTTTCCATGGCCACTTCTGAGAAGGACTTAGGGAAAGACTCCTCATTGGGGTGCTACTTTAATGGCCGCCTCCTCTCAGCATAACTGCAGGGCCTGGGACTTGCCCTTGCATTTGAGCAATCACAGATCACCGTTTGCCAAGCTTGGAGTTCTCTGGAAATTTTATTTTCCCACAATCCTACTGGGGAGGTGATCCGTTCGATTTTTTGTTAACTAGTAACTAACTTCAGAAATCTATTCCTGGTCATGGTTCTTGAACTGAATTTGCCCTTGTAGTTTCTGACACTTAAGGATAAGTACAGCCCCTTTGGCCTTATGCCCAAATTGAGGGCTTCCTCTGGACTTGAAATGGGAACAAAGCTAATCTGACTTCCGCCTCCAGCCTGTATCCCAGTGCATGGTGAAAAAAGAGAGAATTTATTAGCTCAATTTACAGGTAGATCCAGGGATGGCTCCAGCTGAAGGTATAGCTAGATTTTGGGGCCCAAATGATACTGTCAGTGCTCTGTCTTTTATTCTGTCTCTCAGATCTGCTTGCCTCCACTTGGCACCAGGCTAAATAAAGTTGTGTTCATATGATGGGGAAGAGAGCTCCTCAAATTCGTACTCATTCAAATTAGCAAGCAGCTGAGAGAACATTCTCTCCTCATATCAACCTTAGACGATTCTCTGATTGACCCAGCTTGAGTTCTGTGGCCATCCTTGTGGCCAGGTGGGTGGGGCATTTTTGCCAGCAGTCAGGTACCCACCCCTGTGACAGAGGTAGGGCTGAGCACTCTGATTGGCAGCTCTGTAGGGACCATATGGAGTGGGACAATATGTGTCACAGGAAGGGATGCCAGGCAGATGAAGACAAGGTTCATTCTGGACAAGCAAGAGAAATGAAGGCCAAATAGTAGGATAAGATGTGGGAAGCAACTCTGCATAAGTTCCTGAACATTGATTAAAAGGGACCCCCGATACACCCTGAGTTTCCCAACAATGAAAGCCAATAAGTTCCCGAACATTTATTATAAGGGACCCCGATATACTCAGTGACCTAGTGAGTTTCCCAGTGACGAAAGCCAATAAGAAAACACAATCAGTCATGTAAGCCAGATGCTGGCTGGGGTCTCCAGGCCCGGGGGAGGTTCAGAACATGTCTTGAGTTTTCTTCTGTTCCCCTGGGGGCCAAGTTTCTCTGAGCTCTTGATCTTACAAAGGCTACCTCTTTCCACACCACATTGCTCGCAGGTGTGAAGCTTAGCCTTTTCTTTGACTTCTATGAAAGACTCTACTCACACAAAATAGTGAAGATGTTCACAAAAAGTCAAGGTTGGGGAGATGGAGGACACTGCCTTTGGCCCTCTGCCACTGGCCTTTACTCCACACACTATCTTATAGGCATCCCTTCCCTTCCTCTCCTGGCTTCTCTGAATTTTCTCTCCAGCCTCTTAGAGGCCAAATTCCCCACTTTGTCTCAGGCAGAACAGACTATCTCTTTTGAGTTACTTGTAGAAACATCCAGTGCTTTGGCTTCCTACTCCCACCACTCACAGCTTATGGAAATGTTTTCCCAAACAAAAGCCATTTACTGCCTAAGAAAAATTCTACTCCCAGCAATTAAAATAATACAGTTTCCTTTTATTATGGCACTTTCCTAGGGATGAAGACAATTCCGGTGCTCTTTCGCCCCTGCAATCCTGTGTAAAGGAAACTGAGTCACATCCACCCCAATGTGTCCACCATAAACCCAATCAGCTGAAACATACAGTGAGGGCCCAACACCCAAGGGCAATGAAAGCAAATGTGATACTTGCAGGGAAGGTCAGAGTTCCAAGAGCACAGGCGTTGATGGTCTGGTTCCGTCAAAAATCTAAAGGAGGAGATATATTAAATACACTCCAGGCAATCCTCTGTGAATGTCATTTCTCACAGGGTTGAGATTAGGGTTGACAGCAGCAGTTCAAATCTGAAAGATTCACAAGGTCACAGCACACAGGCATTGACGTTATGGATTACAACAGATCCATAGAGTTTTAAAATTGACCAAACGAAAGATGAGGCAAATATTATTATAATGTCCATTTCACATTTGAGAAAACTGAGGCTCAGCTTGGTTGAGTACGATCAAGGTCAGAGCCAACGTTTGCATCCAGTCTGTTTGATGCTGATGCCTCTAACCTTGAAATTTAACTCTTGGTCTCATTTCTGTTAGTTTGAAAGGCAATAGGTATACTGGTTAAGAGCAGAGGCTCCAGGTTCAAATCCATCCTGGCTTTACTATTTAGTAGCTGAGAGGCCTCGTGTAAGTTACTTAACCACTCTGTTCTTCAGTTTCCTTAGCTGTAAACTGAGGGTGGCAATAGCACCTGCCCCGCAGGGTTGTTGTGACTATTAAATGAACTTAGAACAGTGTCTGGCATGCAATAGGTACGCAGTGCACTATTCTTCTTCCCTAACTAGAGCTTCTTATGTCTGTCCGGTCTTCATCAATAGATCCGTAGGAAGCACCCGCCAGACACTGTGTCCCGCCCCTGCCTTCAAGCTGCTCTAGCAGAGATGGGAGAGACACAAGTGTCAACAGCCTAACGGCAGTAACCCTATTACGCAAGTTGGAGCAACAGGCTTCAGAGAACAGAGTAGCAAACTGCCTAGAGGAGGAGAAGGTACACAGAGCAGTGACATTTGCTCCAGCTCTAGAAGAGTGAGTAATGATTTTCCAGGAGAGCCATGCTATTTAAAAGCATGGAGTCCTCAGGAACTGAGAGTGGGGTATGGGTGCATCATGGGCAGCAGGACAGGTGGAGGAGAGCAAAGGGTGTCTGGGGCTGGGGAGGTGATGGCGAGATTAGACATGATTTTTACCTGCAGGGAGGGCTCACATTGGTGTTTAAAATGGTTCTGGCCAGCATCACACGGAGGGTGGTTGGTGGGATTAGGGAGACTGGTTGTTAGGTGCCTGTTGCCTAGAAAGATTTCATTCAGATCTCGTGCCTGGGCACCAGCGTCTCGTGAGAACTCAAATGGGCTGAGTGTCCCAGGCCGAAGTGAGAAGAGGGAAGGTCCCACCCTGGTGAGGCAAAAGCTCCGGGAAATCTGTGTTCATGAGTTCTCTGCCTGCCTGTTTACCTGTGGGGGTGCAGTGTTTCGAGAGGGCCTATAGGCTAAGTGAGGTCTGTGGCCTGCATGAAGGAAAGATAAAATCATGTGTCCCTGAGCTCTGGAACAATACTCAAGAGAGTTGGAAGAAGCATGTGGCCCTTCTGAGGAAACAGTCCACCCAAGAGATGGCCACCATGCAGCTGATAAGGCCAGGGAGTTACCTACATTGCACAAGGGGATGTGTACCCAAAGTTCACCTGATGCTGGAGAGACGTTTTCTAACCGCAGACTAGCTAATCTTGGACTGTAGAGCTGCTCTGCTCCCTAGGAAGAAATGTGTTTGTGAGAACCAGGAAATATGGGCAAGCAAGAGCAGTCAGGTAGTTTTTAGACTCACAATGCACATTAGAGTAGTAAAAGTCCCAAGAACCCCTGCTGTTTGGAAATAATCCTGTGTAAAGTTGCTAAGTCAAGGGAAGAAAGGCAGGAAGGAGGAGACAGGGAGGGAGGAAAAGGGGAGGAAAAGGAGAGGGAAACAAGGAGGCTTCATCCTCAGGAACCTCCTTAAGTGAGCTGCCTCTCTTTATCGTCCTAACCACACCTGCAGCCTGAACTTGGTCAGGGAGCTTCCCTGTCTGCCCTGGCCTGACAGCATATGTTGATGGCACAGCCTTTGCTACTGTCACCTGGGTTCCTGCCACAGCCTTGCCCTTGCTGAATCTGCCATCCTGATCCGGTGTTTTCTCTCTGGTTGAGTAACCTGACCCAGCCTCCAGAGTGCCTCTCCACATTGACTGGGGTCCATACCACACCCTCAGATACCCCCACCTTCCTGTCACTCCAGTCATCCTGCCGGACATCAGTGACCAGTGATGTGCTTACAGAAGAGCCATAGTGGCATCTATGGTCCTAGGTGGCTTAGATCTGGGGAAGGCCTACAGGGCTGGCTGTGCAAATACAGCTATTTATTGTGAGCAGCTTGCAGCTTCAATGTCTTTTGCTTCTTTCCAAATCACCAAGCACAGAGCAGAGAATGAAGGAATTGTCTCATGAATGCCATTTGGAATGGCTGTGTTTGCTATAGAGCACTGCCATCCTTTTGCTAGAGTCTCTGCCTCATGTCTAGGGAGATCTCACAGTTGGGGGTGGGGGGTGACATGAAGCCATTTGAGGGTGGCTATGCTCTGATACCGGAGCTGGTTGGGCCCCCAGGCATGTGAGGAGGAGCCAGGGAAGGGAAAGAAAGCACCTTCTGCCTGCTTCCTTGCTTCCTCGTTCTCTTCCTGCCCTTTCACAGCCCCGTGGACACCACTTCTGAGTGGCCTCCCTCCTGTTCACAGGCACCTCTGAGATTTCCTGGCTGACACATCGCATCTCCCTCTGGCCACAGCCAAGCAACACCAGATGTCTGCAGTAGCAGTAACACTTTGGATTCCTGATGGAAAACTCCAAGACGAGCCTCTGTGAAATACCTGCTTCATTTTGGCTTCATTTTCATGCCTCATTATCTGACCCATTTACTTCTTACCTCAGGGCACAGACCACGGCTGTGACACTCCGTAAAATCCTGTGGGATGGGGAAGAGTGAAAATGACACACCGGTGGGGCAAGGTGGCTCATGCCTGTAATCCTAGCACTTTGGGAGGCCGAGGCGAGTGGATTACCTGAGATCAGGAGTTCGAGACCAGCCTGGCCAACATGGTGAAACCCTGTCTCTACTAAAAATACAAAAATTAGCCAGGCGTGGTAGTGGGTACCTGCAGTCCCAGCTACTCTGGAGGCTGAGACAGGAGAATCGCTTGAACCCGGGGGGCAGAGGTTGCAGTGAGCTGAGATGGCACCACTACACTCCAGCCTGGGTGAAAGAGTGAAACTCTGTCTCGGGGGGGAAAAAAAAAGACACAGACCTCTCAGGGCATGGCTGCTTAGGAGGCTATGAGGCTCTTGCAAGATTTTCCCCATTTTTCATGGCTGCCCTCAGAGAATAGAATTGCCACAATTTTAAGGATAAAGAAACAGGCTTGGAGAGGCCAGAGGCTTGCCCAATACCACACACACAGGGGTGCCTTTGTGTTTCTGGGTCAATGCTGTTTTTCACACAGACTGGACCTCATGGGGGTCAGGAGCAGTGGGACCACCTCGTGCTCTCTCCGCGCTCATACCTTCTCATGGTGTCAATCTCCCCTTCCCTCCCAGACAGAGCAATGCATGCTTGCCACCTTGATGGTGCAAGCATCACTAGATCTGAATTTGAGGTGAGGAAATTCAAGGCAACCACAGTACACGTTGTCCCCCGTCGGACCCAGGGAAAGGCACTTGAGACAGGAGCAGGCCTGTGGTGCTCTTGGCACAAGGCAAAATGGAGGAACAGGGTGGTGGTGGCAGGGTGCCCTAACCTGGTCTTGGGGGGTTTAAGAAGTTCCTGTTTTGAAGTGTTTCAATAGCCAGTGAGAGTGAGCCATGGAGAATAAAAATGTACAAGTAAACAGTCGTTCCACTTATACACAGTTAAGGACTTGTGGGAGGGGGGCAAGTTCCAGTTTTTCAACATAGTTTCTGATTGAAAGTGCCATTGTAACCCTCATTATGGCCACCAGCTTAAATTTGAGGGCTCCCGTTGCCCTGGAATAAACCCCTAGTTTTCAGACTTCCTGGAGCCACCATCCTTCATCTCTTCTGTTTACTTTTTTCTCTTCTGTTTAAATTGGAGGGCCATTTATGCCCTCCCCTTCTCCTTGCTGAAGTTGTGTACACAATGACTGGCACAGAGGTGTTTCTACCTGCACAGGCTCATGACATTCTCACAGTCAGCCCATAGATCGGTTTCTTCTCTCAATCTCAGAGATAAGGAAACTGAGGTCTTAAGTGGTTAAGTCATTTGTCCCAGGTCGCCTGGCAGCAAGTTGTACCCACAGTGCTAGCCAATGTCTCGCTGACATGTGTGGGCACCACATGGGCCCATCCATGGTCAGGGACTTTTCCTGGCTCTGCCCATAGCATCCTCATTCGTCTTGTTTGCTTATATGTTTCTTACAACTACCTCACAGCCTCAACCATGTCTTTAAAATTATTCAATTATTCATAGAGCTGGATTTACAAGTCTAGGTCTCCTTCGTCAGGGGTGGCCTTCTCCGCTCCTCCTCCTCCTCTCTGGAGGTGGTTTCATCACAGACTGTAAAGGTTCTGTAAAAAATAATCTAGTCCGTCTGCCTGAAGCAGTTCTCCCCCTGCACCAGTGACTCCTGCTATGGTATACTGGGGTAGTTACAGGATTTTTTTTTTCTTTTTTTTTTTCGAGACAGAGTCTTGCTCTGTCACCCAGGCTAAAGTACAGTGGCACGATCTTGGCTCACTGCAACCTCCACCTTCCAGGTTTAAGCCATTCTCCTGTCTCAGCCTCCTGAATAGCTGGGATTATAGGCACATGCCACCACACCCAGCTAATTTTTGTATTTTTAGTAGAGACGGGGTTTTACCATGTTGGTCAGGCTGGTCTCAAAATTCCTGACCTCAAGTTCTCCACCCTCCTCAGCCTCCCAAAGTGCTGGGTTTACAGGCGTGAGCCACCGTGCCCGGCCCTAGTTACAGATTTTATTTGGCTTTCCCATTCTCAGTCCTCTAGTAACAATGTTCCTCCTTTTTTTTTCCTTTAGGGAATTGTCTTTTCTCTAATCCTAATCCATATGGCTCAGCTGTCAATCACAGTCCTCCTCTATCCCCTGACAACAGAGGAGAGATGTGTGACTGAGGCCTGGCCGAGCAAAAGACTCGATCCCTCTGGCCATTGTGATTGGTTCAGGGACAACTTCGTGGTCAAATGATTACAATTTTACCCTCTCCAAGCGGTGACACAATGAATAGGCTACAGTGGTACCAATGTCAGTTTTCATTTGCCCAGTTATTCCCACAAGATAAATATCTGGACTGTAATTGCCGAGTTATACATATATACATTTTAAAGGCTGGTACATTTTGTGAGATTGCCCCACAGATAGGTTGGTGCAAATTTACACCATTCCAGCAATACGTGGGAGTCTGCTTTGCACACCCTAGCAACACCTGGTGTTGTCAGTCTTTAACATTTGCCAGTTTGATAAGTGGAGACAGCTGTTGAAACCTGTTCTCGATTCTGGGCCTCCCTTGGGTCATGTTCCCACATGCCTGTCCCTAATGTTGCCTCCTCGGACCTTATTTCTAAATCTCTTGCCTGCTTCTTTATCCAACTTTATTGGTCTGCTTATAACCTGGTGTCACTGTACTAGACTAGAAAGTGGGTCTTTATCATATATATATGCCTTTTCTCTTGAAACTCCTTGCAGGTGCTAAGAACGGTTTTGGAATCTAATAATTATTTGTCAGATGAATGAATGGAAACTCCTCTGTGATTCACCCATTTCCTATTCACTGAGTGGTGCCATGTGGTTGGGTCAATGCGAACCTGGGGAGATGAATGCCCAAGAACACCAGATTTCAAGAATCCCAATATTGTAATGGTTATATTGGATGCTTAACATGATAATGGAGCATGACTATCCCATTCCAGGAAATGACACTCCCCACAGGAAGTCCTTGGTTAACCAGTCTTTAGTGATGGTCTGCCATGTCTCTAGTGTGGAGTCAAAGGACCCAGTCCCTGGTCTCAAGCGACTGAACATCAGTGTGAGAGGCAAAACTAACGAAAGAAGGATTTTGAGTTTAAGTGGCATCTGAATCAGGTGGCATTTATGAAATGCAATCCTTTGGGAAAAATAGAACATATAGTGGACTGGAAACGCTTGAGAATATTTTCTAAAAGAGGCGATTGTTAAGGGGATTTTTGTGAGGGTTAGTCAGGTGTTCTGGGCTCTGCCAGTTACATTTTGGGAGTCTGATATCATAGCTGGTGCGGTATGAAGCAATGTTATAAGCCTCTAATTTCCCTTAAATTGAGTTTTTAATCTTTTAGGTTGTTGGGTTTGGATACCAATGGTCCAAAAGGAAGGTCCTGATTCCTAGTATTTTGGGGAGGAATGTCACAACTTGCTACAAGCTCACCAGGAGGCGAAACAAATATTTTTGAGTTAGGGGGAAGGGCTACAGTTGTGGGAATTGCTCTCAGGCTTCCCCAGGGTAGTAAAATTCCCAAGCTATTTCAAACCAATGTTTTTTTCTTCTTTTTAGTGGTGTCAGGACCCCAAGAGGTCACAGTTGCTATTTAATAGAATAGAGCATTCTGGCCCTCTTAACAGGGAATTGTACTCAGACTTCGAAAGGTGGATAGAAATTAGATAAAGGAAGGGAAAAGGAAGTTCATTCCAGGCAGGGTGAATGAAGAAGAGCATTTCCATGAGACTTAATAGTTTATAAGGTCCCTTGACAAACATAATCTTTTTTATAATTCCAAGTAACCCTGAAGTTATGATTTATTATAATTATTAGCATTTCTGTTTTCATATGGAAAAACTGAGGCTCAGAGAGGTTAAACAATTTGTTCAAGCTCTCTCAACTATTTTTCTTTTTTTTTTTGAGACAGGGTCTCACTCTGTTGCCTAGCCTGGAGTGCAGTGAAATGATCATAACTCACTGCGGCCTTGACTTCCTGGGCTCAAGTGATCCTCCCACCTCAGCCTCCCAAGTGGCTGGGACTACAGGCACTCATCACCATGCCTAGCTAATTTTTTAATTTTTTAAATAATTTTTTGTAGAGGCAGGTCTTGCTGTGTTGCCCAGGCTGGTCTTGAACTGCAGGCCTCAAGCAATCCTCCTGCTTTGGCCTCCCAAAGTACTGGGATTACAAGCGTGAGCCACCATGGCTATCCTCTCTCAACTGTTAAGAGGCAGGGCCGGCAGGGTGCGGTGGCTCACACCTGTAATCCCAGCACTTTGGGAGGCTGAGGCAGGCAGATCATGAGGTCAGGAGCTCGAGACCAGCCTGGCGAACATGGTGAAACCCCATCTCTACTAAAAATAAAAAAATTAGCTGGCCATAGGCGACAGAGTGAGACTCCATCTCAAAAAAAAAAGAGGAAAAAGAGGCAGAGCCTAGGCAGCAGCCATTGATTGGGAAAAAAAAAAAAAAGGCAGGGTCAAGCCTCAAATCCATGTCTCTGACCAGGGGTGGTATCCAAAATATTTAACAACTCATATGGCACAGGTACAACACAGAGACTGCTTAGCTGCTCACCAAACCCATTTCCTCTTCTCCTTGGGTTGACAGCTCTCCAGCCTCCTTACTGTTAGAAGTGATGCATGCCACTTTCAGGCCAGCCTCTAACTTTCTGGAAGACATGTGTTGCAGTTGACAGAACATAAGAGGGAAGGAACCTGGACCCCAAATCCCCTCTTAGCGGAGATCCACCCACAAATCAGGAATACCCATTTTAGACTTTATCTGAAAAACAAGCTGCTTTTATCCTTGAATCACGGTACGTTTTCGTTATGGCAGCCAGCTTTACCATAACTAATACAGACCCCCACTGTTAGAACCGAGGTGAGCTGGTGCGCGGAAGCAGAAGCCTGGAGACCCCCGCAGTGCCTGCACCACCCTAGGACAGCAGGTCCTGGAATAATGTCATTTAGTTCAACGTGGTTTTGTTCTAACACTGATGAGAAAAAAATCGATCCCCAGCCAGGCCACTGTCTGTGTGGAGCCTGCAGGTTCTCCTCACGTCCCCGTGGGTTTTCTCTGGGTACTCCAGAGTGTGGGTTGTGTGAGTGTGCCCTGAGATGGGCTGGCGTCCTGTCCAGGGCGGGTCCCCACCGGGTGCCCTGAGCTGCTGCGATGGGCTCTGACACACCCCCACCTTGAATGGAATAAGTTGGTAAATCATTATCTTGCTTGTTTATATTAATCTTTTTAAAATGTATGTATAGTTCACATTTATTTCAATGGTTAATATTCGAAGTATTTTGGTCTCTATTTAGAAGTTTAGTGATGTTTTTACAACCGGAAGTAGGCTGTAGGAACTTAACTTCTGTTTAATCAATTAGCCTCTGGGAAAATTGGTTTCTTTTTACATCGTTTTCCTTAGACATTACTGTAATTGGGGAAAGTACATTCTCAGGCACTTCCAACACCATTAGTCTGAGGATAATCCTTTGAGAATGAGCTGCAGTTGCTGGCTATTACGGGTGGGAGGAGGAGGACAAAAATAATTTTTAAGAAGGAAGGAGGTCCAAGCTGAGCACCAGCATTGTCCACCAGTGGGACCAGACCGTGGAAGCCTTGAATGGCTAAAGAGGAGCTTGAGCTTAAAACACCCCACAAAGCGAGCTCTAGCAGACCCCTGAGTCGGGGTGTTCGGGGATGAACATGAGGGAGCCCCATATCTCATGATCTGGTCACCCCAAGTGAGACAGCTTCCCCACTTGCACCCAAACACACACACTGAGTGTGTTCTGTCTCTGAACTGTAACAACTTGCTTTCCTGTGTATGTCCATTCAGATCCCCTCACCTCTAAGTGGCATATTTTAATTTCAGGAATTGTCATGCTCTTCCCTAAGCTTTCCTGCCATCCCAATCAACCAGCTAACACCACAGGATCCAGTCTGATTTTTAATGTCTGTGACCCCAAGTTCTGGCTGCACATGGAATATACATGGAAAATGGATTAATATTTGTTGACTGCTCACTACGTGCCAGACTTGGTGCAAAGAATTTAAAATAGTTCATTAGTCACCTTCTCCATAGTTCCCGTGACATCCCCAAGGCTGTTCTACAATGAATCCCCCTAACCCCCTGGCCATTCCTGAAGGGAGACAAGGGGCCAGAAATGCTTGGCAGCCCAGTTTTTTTGCCTCAGTTAATATCAATCAGTAAAGCTGTATTGTTTTTACAATTTAAGCCTTCCACATTTCTTATTGGACCTATTTGTAGCTGTTTGATCTTTCTGTGTACAGTAAATGGGATTTCTTTTCTGGGATGCTTTGAAATTGGCTATTGCTGGTGTACTGGAAAGTGATTTTGTATGTTGATTTTTCACTTGGCAACTTTCTATGCTCTCACTTTTAATTCATTTTAAAATTTATTCTCTTTGATTTTCTTAGTAGATAATCATGGAGCTGATAATGATAATTTTTTAACAGCTATATTGAAATACAATTCACATACTGTTACGGGATCTATGGAGTGCCGTTTTTCTTGCCAGAAACCTCTGTGGCTGGGGGTGCCTTTGCCCAAGTTTTGCTCAGGCCTGCTGGGCTCGTTCTGCCCACTCGGCCTGGCAACTGCGCTCAGCTCATGCTACCAGCCTGGATCCCACACCTGCCAAGGGCAAGTCAGGCATGGAGTGGTGAGGGGTGTGTGAGCGAGCATGGGGTCTGGCTACTGAGCAGTCAGACACGCCTGCTGCTGCAGCAGGGTGGGCAGTTCCAGGTGCCAGTGTGGGCTCTCTGCAAGGCTATGGCTGGACCAGGCACACTACAAGCAGTTTCCACAGCTGGCACCAGGGAACATGTGGTGCCTGGAAGCTTGGAGATGCCAAGAACCACAGGGCCCCAAAGAGGGAGTCACAGCCCTGGCTTGGGGAGCTCCCAGGTCTGGGCTCCCCGAAGGGCCACAGCTCTCTCTCCTCTTCACCTGCAACGTGGTGAGCAAGACACATCTCAGCCCTGTTTGTGTTACAGCTGTTTTAGCCCTGCCATTTGATGGGTCCTGGTTCTTGTCCTGTGACCAGAAAGAATGAGGTACACAGAAAAGTGGAGAGTGAACAAGACAAAGGGGAGCTTTGAGTGATAGAACAGCTCTGAGGAGACCCACGGTCCTCTCCACAGCCAGGGTGTCCTGACAAGTGTTCAGTTTTTCGCAGAAAGGAGACCCTGGAGTGGGAAGCTTCTCTCTGCAGACAGGTCATCCCATCATCTCTGCAGCTCTCAGCAGAGAGGAGGCCCTGGAGTGGGTAGCTCCTTTCTGCAGCTGGTCATCCTGATGTCTGCTCAGCTCTGGCTGAGCCCTGGGCTTTTATGGGCCTCAGAGAGGAGGAAGCACATGCTGATTGGTCCATGGGCAGCCCTGGGCAGGTCCAGAAAAGGCACCACAAGTTCCCACTCTGGTCTGTGGGACTGGCAGCCTGGCCCCTAGCCAGCCAGCCTTCAGGCCCTCCTTGGCCCAAAGGTGGGGCCACTGGGGACCCACCCCCTTCCACCCAGGAACCTGTCTGCCTCCTGCTGCCTTTCATGGCATCCAGGCTGTAGTTGCCAAGGGGTGCCTGAAGGCCAGCACTAAGCTGCCCTCAACTCCCACTCAGCTTCCCTCCTATGCTCGTTGGTGACCAAAGTCTGGAGGGGGCTGAAGCAGCAGGGGACTGGTGTGTCAACACTGTCCCAAGCATGCGCACACCCAGCCTGGCTGAGACATCACCCAGACTCGGGCCCAACTTTGCTCCAAGAACGGAGTAGGCACTGACAGCAGAGAGAAGCCAGGCAGTGGGAGCAGGCACTTCTGAGCCTGGGAGGGCCGGGTGTGCCTTCCTGGGCCCCCAAGGGTGCAGTGATGCCTGGGTCAGCAGTTGCAGTTGGGGCAGCTGCAGCTGTGCCTGGGGAGTGGGACTCCTGCCTGCTCTGTGGAGCCAGAGGCCCAGGTCTGCAATGACAACTTTAGCAGCTGCAGCTACACCCAGAAGAGTGGGTCTCCTGCCTGCTCCCAACCCCAAGAGTACAGGGATGCCCAGGTCCACAGCTATGGATTGGGCAGCTGCAACAGCATCCAGGCAGCTCCTGCCCCAACTCAGAAGGAGTGGGTCTCCCACTTGTCCTTAGCTCCTGCTGGCTCAATAGAGAGTGCAGCCCCAGCCATGCCTCACTGCTGCAGCCAGCGTGATGACAGCAGCTGCTTCAGATGGCCTGCCCCTGCCATCAATACCATAGGATTCACCCCATTTAAAGGATATAATTTAATGGTTTTTATATATTCAGAGTTGGGCAACCATAACCACAGTCCATTTTACAAGGAATGGCAACTTTTAAATTCATAATTTTTCTTCTCCTTTCTCTTTTTATTTCTTATTGAATTGGTTAGGATCACCAGCAGACTATTAAATAAAGTAGTAATGGCGGCAGTGGGCCATCTTGTCTTGTTCTTGACTTTTCTGGGAATGTCTAATTTTTTGCCACTGAATAGGAGGTTTGCTACAAGTTTTTGTTAGTTAGCCTTTAGCAAGGAAAGTTTCCTCCTACCTTTAGATTGCTGAGAATTTTAGATTCTAATTCAGAAATAGGCATACATTTTATCAAATCTATTCATGAAAGCATTTATTGTGATGGGAATATCTTTTCTGCCCTTCATCTAGTCCTGTAGCAAATTATCTTAATAGATTCTCTGCTTAAAGCTATCTTTATATTCTTTGTGTATAATCCTTTTAAAACACCACTGGAGTCAAGTTGCTAATAGGTTTATTATTATTATTATTATTGTTGCCTTTAAGTTTTTAGTGAGATTAGCCCATAGTTTTCTTTCTTTCTCTTTCTTTCTCTCGTTCTTTCTACCTTTCTTTCCTTTCTTTTTCTTTCTTCTCTCTCTCTCTCTATCTCTTCTTTTTTACAGGGTCTTGCTCTGTTACTCAGGCTGGAGTACAGTGGCGCGATCATGGCTCACTGCAGCCTTCACCTCCTGGGCTCAGATGATCCTCACCCAACATCAGCCCTGCAAGTAGCTGGGACTACAGGTGCATGTCCCCATGCCCAGCTATTTTTTTTGTATTTTTTTGTAGAATGGGGTTCTCGCCATGTTGCCCAGGCTGGTTTCAAACTCCTAGGCTCAAGCAATCTTTGTGCCTTGGACTCCAAAAGTGCTGCGATTACAGACGTGAGCCACCATGCCCAGCCTAGTTTTCTTTTCTTTCTTCTTCTTCTTCTTCTTTGTTTTTAATATTTTGTGGTGACACAAGGTCATGCTTTTCTCAGAATGCTTTCAGGTAATGACTAAGCTAGAGTGAGGAAGGAACAAGGGCCCAGCCATTTTCCTTGAACACAGCCTCCACTTATTTGTTTATTTATTTATTTTGAGATGGAGTCCTGCTCTGTCACACCCAGGCTGGAGTGCAGTGGCATGATCTCGGCTCACTGCAGCCTCTGCCTCCAGGGTTCAAGTGATTCTCCTGCCTCAGTCTCCCAAGTAGCTGGAGTTACAGGCAACTGCCACCACGCCCAACTAATTTTTTGTATTTTTAGTAGAGATGGGGTTTCACCATGTTGGTCAGGCTGGTCTTGAACTCCCGACCTCAGGTGATCCATCCACCTCGGCCTCCCAAATTGCTAGGATTACAGGCGTGAGCCACTGTACCCGCCTCTAATTTGATTTATAATTTTATTGCATGGCTTCTAGAACTCTGGGGCTTCTTGTTGGCCTGGCAAATACTTGGTCAGATATGTATCCTGGTCTGACAGCTTCTCTTACCTAATCCTGAGCCCACCTTTTCTCTTTTGCAGGTGTGACAAACTGTTTGCATTCCTAACTTCAAGTCAACAGTTGCCTCTCGAGGAGCCAAGATGGCCAAATAGGAACAGCTCCAGTCTACAGCTCCCAGCGTGAGCGACGCAGAAGATGGGTGATTTCTGCATTTTCAACTGAGGTACTGGGTTCATCTCACTGGGGAGTGCCGGGCAGTGGGTGCAGGACAGTGGATGCAGCACACTGTGCGTGAGCTGAAGCAGGGTGAGTCATCGCCTCACCCAGGAAGTGCAAGGGGTCAGGGAATTCCCTTTCCTAGTTAAAGAAACGGGTGACAGACAGCACCTGGAAAATTGGGTCACTCCCACCCTAATACTGCACTCTTCCAATGGGCTTAACAAACGGCACACCAGGAGATTATATCCAGCACCTGGCTCGGAGGGTCTTATGCCCACGGAGCCTCGCTCATTGCTAGCACAGCAGTCTGAGATCAAACTGCAATGTGGCAGCGAGGCTGGGGGAGGGGCGCCCACCATTGCCAAGGCTTGAGTTGGTAAACAAAGCGGCCGGGAAGCTCAAACTGGGTGGAGCCCACCACAGCTCAAGGAGGCCTGCCTGTCTGCCTCTGTAGGCTCCACCTCTGGGGGCAGGGCACAGACAAACAAAAGACAGCAATAACCTTTGCAGACTTAAATGTCCCTGTCTGACAGCTTTGAAGAGAGTAGTGGTTCTCCCAGCACGCAGCTTGAGATCTGAGAACAGGCAGACTGCCTCCTCAAGTTGGTCCCTGACCCCTGAGTAGCCTAAATGGGAGGCATCCCCCAGTAGGGGCGGACTGACACCTTACACCTTCGGGTACTCCTCTGAGACAAAACTTCCAGAGGAACAATCAGGCAGTAGCATTTGTGATACACTAATATCTGCTGTTCTGCAGCCACTGCTGCTGATACTCAGGCAAACAGGGTCTGGAGTGGACTTCGAGTAAACTCCAACAGACCTGCAGCTGAGGGTCCTGACTGTCAGAAGGAAAACTAACAAACAGAAAGGACATCCACACCAAAAACCCATCTGTACGTCACCATCATCAAAGACCAAAGGTAGATAAAACCACAAAGATGGGGAAAAAACAGAGCAGAAAAACTGGGAACTCTAAAAATCAGAGCACCTCTCCTCCTCCAAAGGAATGCAGCTCCTCACCAACGATGGAACAAAGCTGGATGGAGAATGACTTTTGACGAGTTGAGAGAAGAAGGCTTCAGAAGATCAAACTACTCCGAGCTAAAGGAGGAAGTTTGAACCAATGGCAAAGAAGTTAAAAACTTTGAAAAAAAATTAGACCAATGGATAAGTAGAATAACCAATGCAGAGAAGTCCTTAAAGGACCTGATGGAGCTGAAAACCACGGCAGGAGAACTACGTGACGACTGCACAAGCCTCAGTAGCCAATGCGATCAACTGGAAGAAAGGGTATCAGTGATGGAAGACGAAATGAATGAAATGAAGCGTGAAGAGAAGTTTAGAGAAAAAAGAATAAAAAGAAACGAACGAAGCCTCCAAGAAATATGGGACTATGTGAAAAGACCAAATCTACGTCTAATTGGTGTACCTGAAAGTGATGGGGAGAATGCAACCAAGCTGGAAAACCCTCTGCAGGATATTATCCAGGAGAACTTCCCCAATCTAGCAAGGCAAGCCAACATTCAAATTCAGGAAATACAGAGAACGCCACAAAGATACTCCTCGAGAAGAGCAACTCCAAGACACACGATTGTCAGATTCACCAAAGTTGAAATGAAGGAAAAAATGTTAAGGGCAGCCAGAGAGAAAGGTCGGGTTACCCACAAAGGGAAGCCCATCAGACTAACAGCTGATCTCTCGGCAGAAACTCTACAAGCCAGAAGAGAGTGGGGGCCAATATTCAACATTCTTAAAGTAAAGAATTTTCAACCCAGAATTTCACATCCAGCCAAACTAAGCTTCATAAGTGAAGGAGAAATAAAATACTTTACAGACAAGCAAATGCTGAGAGATTTTTTCACCACCAGGCCTGCCCTAAAAGAGCTCCTGAAGGAAGCACTAAACATGGAAAGGAACAACCGGTACCAGCCACTGCAAAAACATGCCAAATTGTAAAGACCATCAAGGCTAGGAAGAAACTGCACCAACTAATGAGCAAAATAACCAGCTAACATCATCATGACAGGATCAAATTCACACATAACAATGCTAACCTTAAATGTAAATGGGCTAAATGCTCCAATTAAAAGGCACAGACTGGCAAATTGGATCAAGAGTCAAGACCCATCAGTATGCTGTATTCAGGAAACCCATCTCACATGCAGAGACACACATAGGCTCAAAATAAAGGGATGGAGGAAGATCTACCAAGCAAATGGAAAACAAAAAAGGCAGGGTTGCAATCCTAGCCTCGGATAAAACAGACTTTAAACCAGCAAAGATCAAAAGAGACAAAGAAGGCCATTACATAATGGTAAAGGGATCAATTCAACAAGAAGAACTCACTATCCTAAATACATATGCACCCAATACAGGAGCACCCAGATTCATAAAGCAAGTCCTTAGTGACCTACAAAGAGATTTAGACTCCCACACAATAATAATGGGAGACTTTAACACCCCACTGTCAACATTAGACAGATCAACAAGACAGAAAGTTAACAAGGATATCCAGGAATTGAACTCAGCTCTGCACGAAGTGGACCTAATAGACATCTACAGAACTCTCCACCCCAAATCAACAGAATATACATTCTTTTCAGCACCACACCACACCTATTCCAAAATTGAACACATAGGTGGAAGTAAAGCACTCCTCAGCAAATGTAAAAGAACAGAAGTTATAACAAACTGTCTCTCAGACCACAGTGCAATCAAACTAGAACTCAGGACTAAGAAACTCACTCAAAACTGCTCAACTACATGGAAACTGAACAACCTGCTCCTGAATGACTACTGGGTACATAAAGGAATGAAGGCAGAAATAAAGATGTTCTTTGAAACCAATGAGAACAAAGACACAACATACCAGAATCTCTGGGACACATTCAAAGCAGTGTGTAGAGGGAAATTTATAGCACTAAATGCCCACAAGAGAAAGCAGGAAAGATCTAAAATTGACACCCTAACATCACAATTCAAAGAACTAGAAAAGCAAGAGCAAACACATTCAAAAGCTAGCAGAAGGCAAGAAATAACTAAGATCAGAGCAGAACTGAAGGAAATAGAGACAGAAAAAACCCTTCAAAAAATCAATGAATCCATGAGCTGGTTTTTTGAAAAGATCAACAAAACTGATAGACCGCTGGCAAGACTAGTAAAGAAGAAAAGAAAGAAGAATCAAATAGACGCAATAAAAAAATGACAAAGGGGATATCACCACCAATCCCACAGAAATACAAACTACCATCAGAGAATACTATAAACACCTCTATGCAAATAAACTAGAAAATCTAGAAGAAATGGATAAATTCCTCAACACATACACCCTCCCAAGACTAAACCAGGAAGAAGTTGAATCTCTTAATAGACCAATAACAGGCTCTGAAATTGAGGCAATAATTAATAGCTTACCAACCAAAAAAAGTCCAGGACCAGATGGATTCACAGCCGAATTCTACCAGAGGTACAAGGAGGAGCCGGTACCATTCCTTCTGAAACGATTCCAATCAATAGAAAAAGAGGGAATCCTCCCTAACTCATTTTATGAGGCCAGCATCATCCTGATACCAAAGCCTGGCAGAGACACAACAAAAAAAGAGAATTTTAGACCAATATCCTTGATGAACATTGATGCAAAAATCCTCAATAAAATACTGGCAAACCGAATCCAGTAACACATCAGAAAGCTTATCCACCATGATCAAGTGGGCTTCATCCCTGGGATGCAAGGCTGGTTCAACATTCAAAAATCAATAAACTTAATCCAGCATATAAACAGAACCAAAGACAAAAACCACATGATTATCTCAATAGATGCAGAAAAGGCCTTTGATAAAATTCAACAACCCTTCATGCTAAAAACTCTCAATAAATTAGGTATTGATGGGACGTATCTCAAAATAATAAGAGCTATCTATGACAAACCCACAGCCAGTATCATACTGAATGGGCAAAAACTGGAAGCATTCCCTTTGAAAACTGGCACAAGACAGGGATGCCCTCTCTCACCACTCCTATTCAACATAGTGTTGGAAGTTCTGGCCAGGGCAATCAGGCAGGAGAAGGAAATAAAGAGCATTCAGTTAGGAAAAGAGGAAGTCAAATTGTCCCTGTTTGCAGATGACATGATTGTATATCTAGAAAACCCCACTGTCTCAGCCCAAAATCTCCTTAAGCTGATGAGCAACTTCAGCAAAGTCTCAGGATACAAAATCAATGTGCAAAAATCACAAGCATTCTTATACACCAATAACAGACAAACAGAGAGCCAAATCATGAGTGGACTCCCATTCACAATCACTTCAAAGAGAATAACATACCTAGGAATCCAACTTACAAGGGATGTGAAGGACCTCTTCAAGGAGAACTACAAACCACTGCTCAAGGAAATAAAAGAGGATACAAACAAATGGAAGAACATTCCATGCTCATGGGTAGGAAGAATCAATATCGTGAAAATGGCCATACTGCCCAAGGTAATTTATAGATTCAACACCATCCCCATCAAGCTACCAATGACTTTCCTCACAGAATTGGAAAAAACTACTTTAAAGTTCATATGGAACCAAAAAAGAGCCCACATTGCCAAGTCAATCTTAAGCCAAAAGAACAAAGCTGGAGGCATCATGCTACCTGACTTCAAACTATACTACAAGGCTACAGTAACCAAAACAGCATGGTACTGGTACCAAAACAGAGATATAGACCAATGGAACAGAACAGAGCCCTCAGAAATAATGCCGCATATCTATAACTATCTGATCTTTGACAAACCTGACAAAAACAAGCAATGGGGAAAGGATTCCCTATTTAATAAATGGTGCTGGGAAAACTGGCTAGCCATATGTAGAAAGCTGAAACTGGATCCCTTCCTTACACCTTATACAAAAATTAATTCAAGATGGATTAAAGACTTACATGTTAGACCTAAAACCATAAAAACCCTAGAAGAAAACCTAGGCAATACCATTCAGGACATAGGCATGGGCAAGGACTTCATGTCGAAAACACCAAAAGCAATGGCAACAAAAGCCAAAATTGACAAATGGGATCTCATTAAACTAAAGAGCTTCTGCACAGCAAAAGAAACCACCATCAGAGTGAACAGGCAACCTACAGAATGGGAGAAAATTTTTGCAACCTACTCATCTGACAAAGGGCTAATATCCAGAATCTACAATGAACTCAAACAAATTTACAAGAAAAAAACAAACAACCCCATCAAAAAGTGGGCAAAGGATATGAACAGACACTTCTCAGAAGAAGACATTTATGCAGCCAAAAAACACATGAAAAAATGCTCATCATCACTGGCCATCAGAGAAATGCAAATCAAAACCACAATGAGATACCATCTCACACCAGTTAGAATGGTGATCATTAAAAAGTCAGGAAACAATAGGTGCTGGAGAGGATGTGGAGAAATAGGAACACTTTTACACTGTTGGTGGGACTGTAAACTAGTTCAACCATTGTGGAAGTCGGTGTGGCAATTCCTCAGGGATCTAGAACTAGAAATACCATTTGACCCAGCCATCCCATTACTGGGTATATACCCAGAGGATTATAAACCATGCTGCTATAAAGACACATGCACACGTATGTTTATTGCGGCACTATTCACAATAGCAAAGACTTGGAACCAACCCAAATGTCCAACAATGATAGACGGGATTAAGAAAATGTGGCACATATACACCATGGAATACTATGCAGCCATAAAAAAGGATGAGTTCATGTCCTTTGTAGGGACATGGATGAAGCTGGAAACCATCATTCTCAGCAAACTATCGCAAGGACAGAAAACCAAACACCGCATGTTCTCACTCATAGGTGGGAATTAAACAATTAGAACACATGGACAGAGGAAGGGGAACATCACACACCGGGGACGGTTGTGGGGTGGGGGGAGGGGGGAGGGAGAGCATTAGGAGATATACCTAATGCTAAATGACTAGTTAATGCATGCAGCACACCAACATGGCATATGTATACATATGTAACAAACCTGCACGTTGTGCACATGTACCCTAAAACTTAAAGTATATTAAAAAAAAAAAAAGACAAAAAAAAAAAAAACCAGTTGCCTCTTGTGGCACCCAACTGGCACATATGCTATGCTTTCCAGTTTGGTATTTAGCTTTGTAGATTTCTGATTATTTCCTATACTCTGGAAGAATTCATATATCATAGAAAGTATTAGACCCTTGAAAATTAGATGTAATTCACAAATAAAACCATCTGAGTCTGTTTGGGTGTTTTTTTAGAAAAAGAACTTTGACAGTTGTTCTAATTTCTTATGTGTTTATTGACCTATATAGGTTTTCTGTCTCTTCTTGTGTTCATTTTGGTAATTTTGAGAGTTGAACCCAATCTCTCTTCCCTGCTGCAAAATCTCATTGCATAGTCCCTACAAAAAAAAAAATTGGTAATTTACACTTTCTTAGAAAATTTTGTATTTCAATCTAGGTTTTCAATTTTTTAAATTAACAATTTCTTTTTGATCATCTTTGGAAATATTTAAAAAATATCCATAGTTGTATTTTCTTGCCCATTTCAAACATTAATTATCTTTTAAATTTAAATATATTTTAAAATGAATTTTAACTAGATTTGTAAATAGTAATGGTCTTTTCAAAGATCAAGATTTTGTTTTATTAACTAAGTTCATATTTTCTGTGAGTGTTCTACCTCATTAAATTCTGCTGATTTTTATACTCCATCCCTCTACTTTCTTTGAGTTTATTTTGCTGCCTTTTCATTCTAGACTATTGATTTCATGCTCTTTCATTTAGTGTTAGCCCTACTTGTTTCTAATAAACTTATCCTGAGTCCCACTTGGGCCATGTCCCACAAGCCCCTAAAACAGGGTTTCTGATGGTCACTTCTTTCTAGTTTACGGTTTCCTCTTTAACTTAAGAGTAATGTTAACTTAAGAGTAATGTTAGAGCAGGAGTTCCTAACCCACAGGCCGCAGACGGGAGCAGTCTGTGGCCTGTTAGGAACTGGGCCACACAGCAGGAGGCAAGCAGCCTGAGAATGAGCATTACCACCTGAGCTCCACCTACTGTCAAATCAGCAGCAGCATTAGATTCTCATAGGAGTGCGAACCCTATTGTGAACTGCACATGCGAGGGATCCAGGTTGTATGCTCCTTATGAGAATCTAATGCCTGATGATCTGAGGTAGAACAGTTTCATCCTGAAACCAGCCCTCTCACTGCATATATGGAAAAATTGTCTTCCTTGAAACTGGTCCCTGGTGCCAAAAATGTTGGGGACTGCTGCATTAGAGGTTGCTTTAGAACTTCCAGTTGGGGGAAAATACATACATACATACATACATATATATATATATATATATATATATATATATATATATGTATATGTTTGTTATCTTGTATGTTTCATTTGGCTTTTTAATTTTTTTTTCTTTTTTTGAGACCAGGTCATGAGACTGGCTAATTTTTGTATTTTTGGTAGAGATGGGGTTTTTCCATGTTGCTCAGGCTGGTCTTGAACTCCTGGCTTTGAGTTATCCACCCACCTCAGCCTCCCAAAGTGCTGGGATTA